>NC_000006.12:35817575-36120606 GCF_000001405.40 Homo sapiens
TATACAAATGGCCAATTAGCACACCAAAAGATGCTCAACATCATTAGTCATTGTAAAAATGCCAATCAAATCCACATTGAGATACAATTTCACACCCACTAAGATGATTATAATAAAAAAGGTGAATAATAACAAGTGTTGGTGAGCAAGTGGAGAAATTGGAACCCTCATTCACTACTAATGCAAATCTTTTGCAACTGCTGCAGAAAGCAGCCTGGCAGTTCCTCAAATGGTTAATCATAGAGTTACTATATGACCCAGTAATTCCACTATTGGGTGTACACACAAGAAAATTAAAAACAAATGTTCACACAAAAACTTATACACAAATGTTCATGGCAGCATAATAGCCAAAAAATGGAATACAATTCAGTGGTTTTTAGTATATTCCATCTCCTGATGAACAGATAAACAAAATGTGTATATCCATGCAATGAAATATTATCCAGCCATAAAAAGGAATGAAGTAGTAAGCATTGCTACCATGTGGATGAACCTTGAAAACATGTTAAATGAAAGGAACCAGACACAAAAGACTGGTTTCCATTTGTATATCTGTGATTCAATTTCTATAAAATATTCAAAATAGACAAATCCATAGAAACAGAAAGCAGATTAGGAGGTGGCTAGGAAGGAGGGGAAACAAGAGTGATTGCTAATGGGCACAGGGTTTCTTTTTGGGGTGATGAAAATGTTTTAGAATTAGTGATGATAGTTGCACAATCTAGTGAATATACTAAAAGCCATATATATATATATATATATATATATATGTATTTTTTTTTTTTTTTTTTTTTTTTTGAGACAGATTCTGGCTCTGTCACCCAGGCTGGAGTGCAGTGGCATGATCTCAGCTCACTGCAACCTTCACCTCCTGGGCTCAAGTGATCCTCCCATATTAGCCTCCCAAATAGCTAGGACTACAGGCCCATACCACCACACTTGGCTTTTTAAAAAAATTTTTTTTGTAGAGACGGGGTTCCACCATGTTGACCAGGCTGGTCTCAGAATCCTGGTGTGCACCTCAGCCTCCCAAAGTGTTGGGATTATAGGTGTGAGCCACTGCATCCAGCTTGTTAGTGAATTATATTAATTAAAAAAAAAAGGAAGTGCTGAGGATCTCATAGCATATATAAAGCACTAACAATGCCTGCACATTGCAAGTGATTAATAAATTAGTTCTCCCTTTTTTTTTTTGATGCCACAGTAGCAGATCTGATAGTTCTTTCTCCTTTCTGTCTTTCCAGCATATTCACTATTTTTTTTCCTTTGAGACAAAGTCTTGCCCCGTCATCACCCGGGCTGGAGTGCAGTGGCGTGATCTGGGGTCACTGCAACCTCCGCCTCTCATTTTCAAGCGATTCTCCTGCCTCAGCCTCCCAAACAGTTGGGATTACAGGCATGTGCCACCACACCTGGCTAATTTTTTGTATTTTTAGTAGAGACAGGGTTTCACCTTGTTGGCCAGACTGGTCTCGAACTCCTGGCCTCAAGTGATCCACCTTCCTCAGCCTCCCAAAGTGCTGGGATTATGGGTGTGAGCCACTGCATCGGGCCATATTCATTTTTTATATCACCCATCTGCCCAACCAATAACAGCTAATGTGCTTCAGCTGCCTAACAATGCCTTTAGGCACTGGAAGTACAGTGGTTAAGGGAAATCTAAGTTGGAGCTTATGGTCTGGTAAGGGAGACAATCATGCGATACAGTTACAAGCTGATAAATGATATGAACAAAAAAGTGCAAGCTTTCTTGAGAGTAAGAGGAATCTGATGTAGTTTGGAGATGGAGTAGTGTGCAGGAAATTATCCTAAAAACGAGACTTGGTAGTAACGTATACTGTTCTCTCCTTCATTACAGAGGAGGTGTGAAGCAGCTGAAGGGTCGGTGAGTAATTCTATGGGAGGGTGGTCTGCGTGCCCTTAGAAAGGCTGGGGCTCTCTGCTTCCTTACTGAATCCTCAGGCATCAGGACACCAGGGGCTGGGCTGTAAGGCTGTGATGCTGCTTGGGGAGAGAGGACCAACACCCCACTGGGGCAGGAGCTATTTGGCCTCTGAGACCCTCACTGGGGAGCAAACAGGAAGCCTTTAGTTTTACCTGTGTCTTTTTTTTTTTTGAGATGGAATTTCGCTCTTGTTGCCCAAGCTGGAGTGCAATGGTGCGATCTCGGCTCACTGCAACCTCCACCTCCTGGGTTCAAGCCATTCTCCTGCCTCAGCCTCCCGAGTAGCTGGGATTACAGGTGCGTGCCACCATGCCTGGCTAATTTTTTGTATTTTTAGTAGAAGCGGGGTTTCACCGTGTTAGCCAGGATGGTCTCCATCTCCTGACCTCAGGTGATCTGCCTGCCCCTGCCTCCCAAAGTGCTGGGATTACAGGTGTGAGCCCACGCGCCTGGCCTTACTTGTGTCTTGAAAGGCGGAAAAAGATCAGGGAAAGAAGAAATAATTTCAAACACAAATTCATGTTTTATGGAGCCTGGCACACAAGAACAGACTGTTTTTAGAAGTCATTATTGTAATTTGGACCCTTATTTTCAGAAAGAATTTTTAAGTGATTTGTAAGAAACATACTAGAAAACCTAATAAAATAGAAAATAAAAGTCATAGACAGAAAAACAAATATTCAAAAAAGCTATACTAATAGTATTACTGTCTTGAGTATTAAATTTAGCTCTGATTCCTCATAGCCGAGGCAAAAAGAAAAACAGTAAGTTAACCAGTTTTAATGTCTGGTTTAAAAAGAAGCGCAACATATTCATTTATCTTTTAAGTTTCCAAACATTTGTTAAATGTGATTTAACAAGAACATTCAGGAATGCATTTAAAAAAGAAAAAGAGGACCGGGCGCGGTGACTCACGCCTGTAATCCCAGCACTTTGGGAGGCTGAGGTGGGCGGATCACGAGGTCAGGAGATCGAGACCATCCTGGCTAACATGGTGAAACCCCGTCTCTACTAAAAATACAAAAAATTAGCCAGGTGTGGTGGTGGGCACCTGTAGTCCCAGCTACTTGGGAGGCTGAGGCAGGAGAATGGTGTGAACCCAGGAGGCGGAGCTTGCAGTGAGCTGAGATCGTGCCACTGCACTCCAGCTTGGGCGACAAAGCGAGACTCCATCTCAAAATAAATAAATAAATAAATAAAATAGAATAAAATAAAATTAAAAAAATAAAAAAGAAAAAGAAACCCTCACAACAGTGTTGCCTCCCTAACAGCTGCCTGGAGGACCTACAGCCGACCAGGCGCTTTCTGTGGGAAGGAGGGTTTAGCTCCATTTAAGCTGTTTTTATTTTTGCAAAGTGCCTTCCAATCCTTGACCACATATACTTTAAAAATAATCATACATAAAATTGTCACCTCCACCTCCTGCACTTATTAGAGCATGATTCTCAAACTTCAGCGTGCATACAGTCATCTGGGGATCTTGTTAAAATGCAGATTCTGCTGGGTGCAGTGGCTCATGCCTGTAATCCCAGCACTTTGGGAGACTGAGGCAGGCAGATCACCTGAGGTCAGGAGTTAGAGACCAGCCTGGCCAACATTGGGAAACCCCATCTCTACCAAAAATACAAAAATTAGCTGGGTGTGGTGGCATGCACCTGTAATCCCAGCTACTCAGGAGGCTGAGGCAGGAGAATCGCTTGAACCCAGGAGGCGGCGGTTGCCATGAACTGAGATCCCATCACTGGACTCCAGCCTGGGAGAGAGAGCAAGACTGAGTCTCAAAAAAAAAAAAAAAAATGCAGATTCTGATTCAGTTGGTGGGGTGGGTCTGGGGCCGTAGACCCTGCATTTCTAATGAGTTTTTGGGTGACAGGCTGCTCAAACAGGAATCACATTTTGCATAAAAAAGCATTAGAGCATAATCTTTGTGTGTGTGTGTGTGTGTGTGTGTGTGTGTGTGTGTGTGTGTGTTCTTGACACGGAGTTTCAGTCTTGTTGCCCAGGCTGGAGTGCAATGACATGATCTTGGCTCATGGCAACCTCCGCCTCCTGGGTTCAAGCCATTCTCCTGCCACAGCCTCCCAAGTAGCTGGGATTATAGGCATGCGCCACCACACCCGGCTAATTTTGTATTTTTAGTAGAGACGGGGTTTCTCCATGTTGGTCATGCTGGTCTCGAACTCCCGACCTCAGGTGATCCTCCCGCCTCAGCCTCCAGAAGTGCTGGGATTACAGGCATGAGCCACCGTGCTCGGCTCCCTTTTTTATGTTTTTGCAATATTTTTAATTTAGGTTTTTCAAAGCCAGAAACTCCACAGCACTGGTGTACCACAATTTTTTTTTTTTTTTTTTTTTTTTTTTTTTTTTTGAGACAGGGTCTTGCTCTGTTGCCTAGCCTGGAGTGCAGTGGCACAATCACAGCTCATTGAAGCCTCAACTTCCTGATGCTCAAGTCATCCTTCCACCTTAGCTTCCTGAATAGCTGGGACTACAGGCACATACCTCCTGCCCAGCTATAATAATTTTGTTTTTTTTGTTTGTTTGTTGAAGAAACGATGTTTTGTCATGTTGTCCAGGATGTTCTCGAACTCCTGGGTTCAAGTCATCCTCCTGCCTTAGCCTCCCAAAGTGTTGAGATTACAGGCATGAGCCACTGCGCCTGCCTGGTGTACCATTTTTTAAACCAGACCTTGGTTATTAGACATTTAGGGTTGCTATCATAGATAACAAAACTTTTTGCTTCTGTTGATAATATCCCAAGTGGCATTACTGAATCAAAGGGCAACCACACCTCTCTGTTTGCCTTTTTTTTCCTCACACTACATTTTAAAAGACCTAAGTTTTTACTTGAATGACAATCAGTACTATCTTACACATGAATGAGGAAATTTGCATGTCTAGGTAGAACTGAAGTCAAAATTTGAGCATACATAGGGAAGTGTTTATTATTTATTTTTGATACATAGTTTTTTTGTTTTGTTTTGTTTTTTGTAATTTATTTTGAGATAGCATCTCGCTCTGTCGTCCAGGCTGGAGTGCAATGGTCTGATCTCGGCTCACTGCAACCTCTGCCTCCCAGGTTCAAGTGATCCTCCTGCCTCAGCCTCCCAAGTAGCTAGGACTACAGGCACGTGCCACCACGCCTGGCTAATTTTTTGTATTTTTAGGAGGGACAGGATGGTGTTGATCTCCTGATCTCGTGATCCGCCCGCCTTGGCCTCCCAAAGTGTTGGGATTACAGGTGTGAGCCCAATTTTGGTATTTTTAGTAGAGACAGGGTTTCACCATGTTGGCCAGGCTGGCCTCGAACTCCTGACCTCAAGTGATCCACCCGGCTTGGCCTCCCAAAGTGCTGGGATTACAGGCGTGAACCACTGCACCCAGCCTATATTGGTTTTTAAAATGTCAGATTTTAAACTCTTGGAATCTTTTGTTCTTTTGTTTTTCTTATACCACAGGTCATCTATTTCCCAGACACAGGAAAACTAGGGAATCAAATTCTTCAGAGATAAGAACTTGTTCTTCCAAGTTTCCTTGTTCCTGGCTACTATAGGCCTGAAGCCTGAAGCCTTTTATTATAACACTAAAACTGGACAGTCTCCTGAGACAAGACCTCCTACTGTACTCTTTCTGGGGAAGCAGAACTGCAGTGACCCACTTCAAAGATATTCAGAGGCTGAGCGGTGCAGGGAGTGCTCAGTTGCTGGGGATGGGATCCAAGTCCATTTCTTAGTTCCACACAGCAGCAAATCGCTTCACCTTCTTGAAGCCTCTCCTCTGTAAAGCGAGAGGGCTAAATGGGTCCATCTCTAGGGGCCTTCCCTCCCAGGTCTGTGTCTGATAGCATACACACACACATATATATACACACACACACACACACACACACACACACACACACATACATACACACACACATATATATACACACACACACACACACACACACACACACTCTCTCTCTCTCTCAAACACACACAAATGCCCAACCAGCTCTAAGAGGGCACTGAAGAGGTGGCTGGACATGTGCTGGGTCATTTTTAGGGTGAGGTGTAGGGGGTCTTTTGCTTCTCCCTTCTCATATTTTGTTTTCTTATTGCTGCTCAGAGGGGGGTAAGGAATGGAGGGGCCATCAGAACTTGAATCCTTTAACATCCACCAGGAAGTTTTATGAAGAGTGGGTGATAGGATCTAAAATCTCTGCAGACTTTTTTCCTCCCGGGAGCCAAATATCACATTTCCTTATGGTGCCCACACTGACTCAACCAGAACTGGCTACCAGCTTCAGAAATGTGTTACTTATGTTCAAGTAATTTGTTATAGGAATAGATGACATTTTTTTTTTTCAAAAACTTTGGATTTGGCATATAGTCATCTATAGGGGGATTGGTTCCAGGATCCCCTGCAGATGCCAAAATACATGGATGCCCAAGTCCTCAGCTAAAAATAGCGTAGTATTTGCATATAACCTATGCACATCCTCCTGTATACTTTAAATCATCTCTAGATTACTTATAATACCTAATACAATGTAAATGCTATGTAAATACTCGTACTGTGTGGCTTTTAATTTGTATTTGTTGTTGTATTGTTATTTATTTTTGAGACAGAGTCTCGCTTTCTTGCCGAGGCTGGAGTGCAAAGGTGCCATCTCAGCTCACTGCAACCTCTGCCTCCCAAGTTCAAGAGATTCTCCTGTCTCAGCCTCCTGAATAGCTGGGATTACAGGCATGTGCCACCATGCCTGGCTAATTTATTTATTTGTTTATTTATTTATTTTTGAGACGGAGTCTCATCCTGTTGCCCAGGCTGGAGTGCAGTGGCATGATCTCAGCTCACTGCAACCTCCGCCTCCCGGGTTCAAGCAATTCTCCTGCCTCAGCCTCCCGAGTAGCTGGGATTACAGGTGCCCGCCACCACGCCTGGCTAATTTTTGTATTTTTAGTAGATATGGGGTTTCACCATGTTGGCCAGGCTGGTCTGGAACTGATCTGCTTGTGTCGGCTTCCCAAAGTGCTGGGATTACAGGTGTGAGCCACCGTGCCCGGCCTGTATTGTTATTCTTTACTGGCTTTTCTTCCTGAATATTTTACATCTGTGGTTGATTGAATCTGCTTAGTGGAACCCACAGATACGGAGGACCAGCTACTAAATGGTGAACCTTCAGTTGGCCTCCAAAGGGGAATTCAATTTAGGTAATAGTTCATTGTAGCAAAAGCCAAGACCAAAATCGATTCTTTAGGCTGTCCCCTCCCTGGGGGGTGGTGCATAAAAACAGGATTTTGTTGATTGTCTGCAGTGAACAATTCTGAGGAAAAGGTGTTTTTTCTGGTCCTTGTCCAGTTAGTTAGTAAAGAAACTACCTGGGTGTGCTGTTCTCTCATAGGGGAAGTGTGGGTAAAGAGCTGAACAGATGAATCTTGTTGCTTGATCAACCGATCAGTGATACAGGAACAGTTTTCCTATCTTTGGCTGTCAGCTGTGTGTTTGGCCAATGCACTGTGACAACCTGCTCAGTCACTAGGAATGAGTATCCCAGTGTTGTCACAGTTAAATTGGTGGTGGGAACTTCCATAATGGGATTTGATCTTGTCACTTGGTCCATGGCAGCTAGTTTATGAGAATGATCACATTTGTGTGTATATATATATATTTATATTTATATATATTTTTTGAGACGAAATCTTGCTCTTGTTGCCCAGGCTGGAGTGCAATGGCGCGATCTTGGCTCGCTGCAACCTCTGCCTCCCAGGTTTAAACGATTCTCCTGTCTCAGCCTCCCGAGTAGCTGGGATTATAGGCGTGTGCCACCACATCCGGCTAATTTTGTATTTTTTTTTTTTTTTTTTTTTTTGAGACAGAGTGTCGCTCTGTCACCTAGGCTGGAGTGCAGTGGTGCGATCTTGGCTCACCGCAAGCTCCGCCTCCCGGGTTCATGCCATTCTCCTGCCTCAGCCTCCCAAGTAGCTGGGACTACAGGCGCCCGCCACCACACCTGGCTAATTTTTTGTATTTTTAGTAGAGATGGGGTTTCACTGTGTTAGCCAGGATGGTCTTGATCTCCTGACCTCGTGATCCGCCCACCTCAGCCTCCCAAAGTTCTGGGATTACAGGCGTGAGCCAACACGCCCAGGCTGTATATATGTTTTGAGTGCAGTGGCGTGAAAACGGCTCACTGAAGCCTCGGCTTCCTCAGCTCAAGCAATCCTCCTGCCTTTAGCTTCCCAAGTAGCCAGGACCACAGGTGTGTACCACCACATCCGCCTAATCTTTAATTTTTGTAGACACAGGGTATCATCATGTTGCCCAGCCTGGACATTCATATTTTCTTTTGTTGATAAAATTAATTCACAGTCGGCCAGGCACGGTGGCTCACGCCTGTAATCCCAGCACTTTGGGAAGCCAAGGTGGGCAGATCACCTGAGGTTGGGAGTTTGTGACCAGCCTGACCAACATGGTGAAACCCCGTTTCTACTAAAAATAAAAAATTAGCCGGGCGTGGTGGCACATGCCTGTATTCCCAGCTACTCGGGAGGCTGAGGCAGGGGAATGGCTTGAACCTGGGAGGCGGAAGTTGCAGTGAGCCGAGATCGTGCCATTGCTCTCCAGCCTGGGCAGCAAGAGTGAAACTCCGTGTCAAAAAAAAAAATTAATTAATTAATTAATTAATTAATTCAGTCAGTATCTACTTTATGCAAGCTTGATGAATGACAAAATTTGACAAATTCTGTAGCTTAGTGACTTTTCTATCATTTATCTCATAATTTACTTTTTGAAGAGGTACAAAAAAAATTTCCAGAAGTCTATCCTTGGCCAGGCGTAGTGGCTCACGCCTGTAATCCCAGCACTTTGGGAGGCTGAGGTGGGAGGATCACTTGAGGCCAGGAGTTCAAGACTAGCATGGGCAACATGGCAAAAACCCATCTCTATAAAAATTACAAAAATTAGCTGGGTATGGTGGCGCATGCCTGTAATCCCGGCTACTTGGGAGGCTGAGGTGGGAGGATCACTTGAGCCTGGGAGGTTGAAGCTGCAGTGAGCCATGATTGCACCACTGCACTCCAGCCTGGGCAACAAAGCAAGACTCTGTCTCAAAAAAAAAAAAGTCTATTCTCAAAATATTTCACTGAAATGGCAACTTTAGTGGTCTGCAGAAGCTGCTAGGGGCTTAAGGTGCATCTGCCTATAACCCACACCTTGCTCAGCTACTCGGGAGGCAGAGGCAGGACAATTGCTTGAATCTGGGAGGCAGAGGTTGCAGTGAGCCGAGATTGTGCCACTGCACTCCAGCCTGGGTGACAGAGCGAGACTCCGTCTCAAAAATAAATAAATAAATAAATAAATAAATAAAACAAAAAAACAAACAAAAATCAGTAATGTCAGCACTCCTTTTATGAAGTCAACCTTATTCTTTTCTCACTCTGGCTTGCCTCTCTCTGCTTTGGGCTGTTCTGTAGAGTCAGTTATGGTGCTCGAGCTTCACTGACAGCCCTGAGTAGATATGGTCAAAATAGGAAGGGCCAGTCATTTATAGGTGAAATGTGAACCTGAAGAATATCCTCAGTGCTCATGACCTGACAATCCTGTTACCTACTGCTGCTTAACAAATTACTCCAGAATGCAGTGGCTTAAAACAACATACATATCTCAGTTTCTGTGGATTAGGAATCCTGACAAGGTTTAGCTAAGTGTTTTTGCCTCAAGGTTTCTCACAAGCTGCAATTGTGTTGGATCCACTTCCAAGCTCAGTGGTGGTTTGCAGGATTGTTTTTCACAGTTTGTTGGGATGGAGGGTCTCAGTTCTTTTTTTTTTTTTTTTCTTTTTTTTTAATTATTATTATACTTTAAGTTTTAGGGTACATGTGCACATTGTGCAGGTTAGTTACATATGTATACATGTGCCATGCTGGTGTGCTGCACCCACTAACGTGTCATCTAGCATTAGGTATATCTCCCAATGCTATCCCTCCCCCCTCCCCCCACCCCACCACAGTCCCCAGAGTGTGATATTCCCCTTCCTGTGTCCATGTGATCTCATTGTTCAATTCCCACCTATGAGTGAGAATATGCGGTGTTTGGTTTTTTGTTCTTGCGATAGTTTACTGAGAATGATGGTTTCCAATTTCATCCATGTCCCTACAAAGGACATGAACTCATCATTTTTTATGGCTGCATAGTATTCCATGGTGTATATGTGCCACATTTTCTTAATCCAGTCTATCATTGTTGGACATTTGGGTTGGTTCCAAGTCTTTGCTATTGTGAATAATGCCGCAATAAACATACGTGTGCATGTGTCTTTATAGCAGCATGATTTATAGTCATTTGGGTATATACCCAGTAATGGGATGGCTGGGTCAAATGGTATTTCTAGTTCTAGATCCCTGAGGAATCGCCACACTGACTTCCACAATGGTTGAACTAGTTTACAGTCCCACCAACAGTGTAAAAGTGTTCCTATTTCTCCACATCCTCTCCAGCACCTGTTGTTTCCTGACTTTTTAATGATTGCCATTCTAACTGGTGTGAGATGATATCTCATAGTGGTTTTGATTTGCATTTCTCTGATGGCCAGTGATGATGAGCATTTTTTCATGTGTTTTTTGGCTGCAGAAATGTCTTCTTTTGAGAGGTGTCTGTTCATGTCCTTCGCCCACTTTTTGATGGGGTTGTTTGTTTTTTTCTTGTAAATTTGTTTGAGTTCATTGTAGATTCTGGATATTAGCCCTTTGTCAGATGAGTAGGTTGTGAAAATTTTCTCCCATGTTGTAGGTTGCCTGTTCACTCTGATGGTAGTTTCTTTTGCTGTGCAGAAGCTCTTTAGTTTAATTAGATCCCATTTGTCAATTTTGGCTTTTGTTGCCATTGCTTTTGGTGTTTTGGACATGAAGTCCTTGCCCACGCCTATGTCCTGAATGGTAATGCCTAGGTTTTCTTCTAGGGTTTTTATGGTTTTAGGTCTAACGTTTAAATCTTTAATCCATCTTGAATTGATTTTTGTATAAGGTGTAAGGAAGGGATCCAGTTTCAGCTTTCTACATATGGCTAGCCAGTTTTCCCAGCACCATTTATTAAATAGGGAATCCTTTCCCCATTGCTTGTTTTTCTCAGGTTTGTCAAAGATCAGATAGTTGTAGATATGCGGCATTATTTCTGAGGGCTCTGTTCTGTTCCATTGATCTATATCTCTGTTTTGGTACCAGTACCATGCTGTTTTGGTTACTGTAGCCTTGTAGTATAGTTTGAAGTCAGGTAGTGTGATGCCTCCAGCTTTGTTCTTTTGGCTTACGATTGACTTGGCGATGCGGGCTCTTTTTTGGTTCCATATGAACTTTAAAGTAGTTTTTTCCAATTCTGTGAAGAAAGTCATTGGTAGCTTGATGGGGATGGCATTGAATCTGTAAATTACCTTGGGCAGTGGGTCTCAGTTCTTTGCTGGCTGTTAGCCTCTCCTTAGGGTTACTCATATGGCAGCTTGTTTCCCAAAATAAGGGTTTGAAAGGAGAGCAAGGCAGTGTGCATGGGCAGAGAAGCCAGACCATTTGTAACTGTCTCAGAAGTGATATCCCATTGCTTCTGCCCTATTCTAACAGAAGAAAGTTCAGCCCACACTGAAGGCAAATGGATTATATGAATACCAACAGGTGGGAATCACAGGAGCCTTTTTAAAGGTTTTCACAATTACTTAAATTTTCTGTGGAAATGGGCATTTATCAGAATTTTTTTTTTTTTTTTTTTTTGACAGGGTTTTGCTTGCTCTGTTGCCCAGGCTGGAGTACAGTGGTGTGATTACAGCTCACTGCAGCCTCGACTTCCCAGGCTCAGGCAATCCTCCTGCCGCAGCCTCCCAAGTAGCTGGGACTACAGGCATGCGCCACCACACCTGGCTAATTTTTGTCTTTTTTGTAGATAGGGGTTTTGCCATGTTGCCCAGGCTGGTCTTGAACTCCCGAGCTCAAGCAATCCATCCGCCTCAGCCTCCCATAATGCCAGGAATGCAGGCCTGAGCCACCACACCTGGCTATCAGAATGCTTTATCAGGACAGAGATTAGATTCTGGTATCCTTATATGTTGATGGATACATGTTTGTTTTGTTGTAAATTAAGTTGATGAAGATGAATGGTTAAGGATTCCAACCCTGAAAACCCATCTCACTTTTGTCATCTGTCTTCAAAGGATTTATAATAAGGTCTACTAAATTTATTTTCCAATATCAACCACTCTCTCCTCTATCCTAGTGAATCCAAAGCAACCAATGCAAACAATCACATCTTAGTGGCACAACTATTAAGAACATAGCTCAAATGGCAGGCAGCTGATGCACTTCAATAAACAGTCTAATTCTGCCATTTGGAGGGCAACGCTTGTTATTGTATTAAAATAGGCAAAAAGTAGATCTAAATTAAGGACAACAGGCAGAGATTATTATTTTAAAAAGTGAACTTGGAAGGATATAAAATCAAATTGAACATCATATGTATTAGAAACTCTCCTCCCTTTAGAAGAAATGGTGCAGCCTGTAAACACAACTACGTACCGAAGTAAACTTGCTTAATCCTCTGGTTGAATTTTTTTTTTTTTTTTTTTTGAGTCAGAGTCTTGCTCTGTTGCCCAGGCTGGAGTGCAGTGGTGCGATCTCCACTCACTGAAACCTCCGTCTCCCAGGTTCAAGCAGTTCCCCTGCCTCAGCCTCTCAAGTAACTGGGATTACAGGTGTGCAGCACCATGCCTGGCTAATTTTTAAATATTTGGTACAGATGGGGTTTCACTGTGTTGGCCAGGCTGGTCTTGAACTCGTGACCTCAAATGATCCACCGGCCTTGGCCTCCCAAAGTGCTGGGATTACAGGTGTGAGACAACATGCCCGGCCCCAAATTTCTAAACACTTAACATTATCTCAAGTGTCCTGGCCTTTAAACTGGGATATTTCTCTTGTATCATAAGGACTTAGTGTGGATTAATATTTTTGCGAGGACTTAAAGATAAATGCATATTACACATGTAGTTTTTATTTTTTTGAGACGAAGTTTTGCTTTTGTTGCCCAGGCTGGAGTGCAATGGCGCCATCTTGGGTGACCACAACCTCCGCCTCCTGGGTTCAAGTGATTCTCCTGCCTCAGCCTCCTGAGTAGCTGGGATTACAGGCATGTGCCACCATGCCCAGCTCATTTTTGTGTGTGTTTTTTTTTTTTTTTTTTTTTTTTTTTTAGTAGAGATGGGGTTTCTCCATGTTGGTCAGGCTGGTCTCGAACTGCCGACCTCAGGTGATTTGCCTGCCTTGGCCTCCCAAAGTGTTGGGATTACAGGCGTGAGCCACCACACACGGCCTACACATGTAGTTTTTAAACTCCAACTTTTACTTTACTGCAATCTACCTTCCCAAACCTCCAACTTAAATGTCTTTAGCAACACACAAAAAAACTTCCTTCCCAGTTGGCCTCAGGTTTATAGTCACTTTTCTATATTAATATTCTGAAGATTTTGTAAGAGCTTTATGCTACCAATGCTTTGCTATCTCCCAAACTGCACTGACTATTCAAGCTTCTCTGGTGCCTTAAGGTCTTATTAAAAAAAATTTTTTTTGTAGTGATGGAGTCTCATGCTGTTGCCCAGGCTAGAATGCAGTGGCGTGATCATAGCACACTGCAGCCTTGAAATCCTGGGCTCAAGCAATCCTCCTGCCTCAGCCTGAGTAGTTGGGACTACAGGTGCCAGCCAACACATCCGGCTAATTTTAAAATTTTTTATAGACACAGGGTCCCACTATGTTGCCCAGGCTGATCTTGAATCCCTAGGCTCAAGTGCTCCTCCTGCCTTGGCCTCCCAAAGTGTGGGGATGACAGGTGTGAGCCACTGCACCCGGCCATAAGGCCTTATTTTAAAGCAAATGTAAGTTCGATTATCAGCAAATCACCAATTTTCTGTGATATAATAATCTAAGGGCAAAGCAGTTTCCTTATAAGGCTAAACTGGTAAGAGTACAGGTTTCAAAAGAAAAGAATGGGCAGTAACGAAGTCCACTTATAAGCTGGGACTGCTCTGCAGCAGCTAAATAGTTTCCCTGTGGACACGCAGAGCAAATTCAGAATTAAAGGGGGTTGTAAACCCACCTGTTTGTTGGCTCTTTTGAGATAGCTACAAGCTCTCCTGTAACAGCACTAAGGTTTCCCCCAATTCTGGGAATTCTAGGTCCATATATTTAACACAAGGTGTAGGAGGGCCTGCCTAGGTTGGTCAGTCTGGTGAACAAACTGGTTTCATGGATTCCAATAGGTTACATTTTAACACTATGAAAACACTGTGTTCTAAGTATTGCACAATTAAAACAAATTAACTAGAACAATTTATGTAGTTCAGGTGTAGGTGGGGAAAGATGAATAACACTAAAAACTACCACAAATAAAAATGAAAAGTAAATTAAAAACTAGACAAGTGTATGAAGCAAAAAATAAATTATCTCTAGTATATAACGAGTCCTGACCAAGTCATCAAATACGGAAGCACTCCAACAGAAAGCTGGACAATTTACATAAATAATCAAAAAATGCAAATACCTATGAAAAGTTTATGACCTCACCAGTAATCCAATATGCAAATTATAACGATATTCCTGTGGGGAGGGGGCAGGGCACAAACTAGCGATTCATAATAGGCCTGTTCATACATTGGTGTATACAGAAAAACAGTCCAACCATTCTGCTAGTTGTCCAGATAAGTTAGGCAATATTTATTTATTTATTTATTTATTTATTTATTTATTGAGACGGAGTCTTGCTGTTGCCCAGACAGGAGTGCAGTGGCGTGATCTTGGCTCACTGCAACCTCCAAGGTTCAAGTGATTCTCCTGCCTCAGTCTCCCAAGTAGCTGGGACTACAGGTGCACGCCGCCATGCCTGGCTAATTTTTGTATTTTTAGTAGAGACAGTGTTTCACCATATTGGCCAGGATGGTCTCAATCTCTTGACCTCGTGATCCACCTGCCTTGGCCTCCCAAAATGCTGGGATTACAGGCATGAGCCACCGCGCCCGGTGGCAATATTTATTAAAAGCCTCAAAAATGTGCTCTCTGGCCCAGACAGTTCAAGAATCTATCCAAGAAATGAGATAAGTGTATGAAAGCCTGTGTAATACATCATGCCATTGCCTTAATAAGAGCTTATATTTCTAAGTCTTCTGAATTTTGCACGTACCGTGCATTTATAATTTGAGAAAAACAACCACCCCTGACAAATCTTCTGGAAGAAAGTGCTATTGGATGTAGGGAAAAACAATTAAAAAAAAAATGCTGAAAAACAGTATTCCAAAAATGTTAATTTGGCTGTTAATTCTACCCCACTCCCAATTTAAAACTAGAAGCAAAACTATGAACCCCACAAAATGGCAAGTGTGCAATTTGTACACTTTCATTGCATATTTAAATTAAAAAAGCATACTCAACCAATCTTTTCCTCCTTTTACTCAGGGCAGAGCAATTTGGACAACAAATGAACAGAGATTTTTGGAAACATGTAGGTTATTAAATAATTTGTTTATTGTACGGCATTTACAAAGAAAACAGACAATGCCCTCAGTAGAAAGAATAAAAATGTATTTAGGGCTTTATTTTTAACTGACAGCAAATAGAAATCCTTTAGTGAGATCGTGGCAATTTGACAGTATTATAATTAAGCTCAATAAAGGTACATGGGGTACCTGGAAGATCAAGATCTACAGCTGCCTATTTCCACATCTTTCAATCCATCTGGCTCCTTAAATAGGGGAAAAAGCCCTTATTTGGTGGAGAAGCATTTCCAAAATGAAGTTACAGGTTCTATTAAAACTTACTGTCACATCAACTGTTAAAATAGGGCCTTTTGTGTTTTGTTATTTCACCTTAATATCACCAGAATTCCTGTAATTCCACAATTGTGATTTTACTATGTAGAAGATAATTCAGTTCTAGTCTATTGCTTTAGATGTAAAAACAGCTGAAAACCCAAAGTGGATTAGAATTGCTGAAGGATTTCCCTGCCGTTGTTTGATACAATCTATTCTCTTGATTCTTGATAGGTGCATAGAAAGCCTAACTTAAAATTCTTTCTACAGGAACATGTCTGATTTCAGGAGTACCCAATGAAGGATCCGATGAATGGCTGGCCAGTTACTCAGAGTAATATGTTTATGAGTTAAATGGATTGCATAACGGCACCACTTTTCCTTTGTCACTGTGGTGGATAAATGACAAAGTAGATTCCAATCTCCTGTATAGAAAGGTGGTTACCCAATAGCCTCACTGGTGGCTTGCTAGCAGAGCCTCAAGTTGCACCTCTGTGGCTTTCTGTAAATTCGAGTCCTACAGCCACTTCGAGAACGCTGCAATCCCCAAGGCCCACTTGGTCCATGCTGAAGAAGCGGCTGTGACCCCAATCCTGCCTCTCTTTTGCTCTTCAGTATTACTTACTGGAGGAATATGTAATATTCTAGGTCAAGTCTAGGAGAGGCTCATCCTAAAAAAAAAATTGCAAAGTCTTTTCTCAATTAAAACAAAAAAGCCTCAAGTACATCTCAATCATGTCAAAATTATGGTTAAAAATTGACATTATGTAGGGAAATAGCAGCAGAGAATGGCTAATCTTAAAAAATAACGAACCAACCAACCAAAAAACAAAACAAAACAAGACCAACAAAAAAAAGTGCCATCCCACCCCTCCCCTTGGTTCTTTCATTTGGGGTTATATTAAAGACTCGAGCCTCTGAGAAAATCAGAAAGGCAAAGCCATAGAGGAAAACTGCTTCAAGGCCAGAATTTTGGGTAAGGTAAAGAAAAAGCTGTACATGAAAGCAGGGGACTGTTTGGAAAAGAATCAGAATCTCAAGATCTATTTTTCTTAAATGGGAAAGCTCTGAAACCCAGATCTCCGTTCTACCATCATCCTGATCCTTTAGTTATGGGGCAATAAACTCAAGTGCAATGAGTAAAGTGCCAGCCATGGATACAAAAACAAAAAATAAAACAAAACAACCAACCAAAATAACTCTGGTCTTAGGGTAATAGAAGACATACAGGAAAGGACTGTTTATAGAACACCTGAGGTTCTCAAGAAATTACTATTCAATGGTTCTGTTTTTGCTTACATTAAAAATCAGACTGAAGATTCAAAGATCTTAACTATTAAAGGATGAAAGGAATTTGACAGTGCTTTGAACAGTGATAAAATGGTACCCAAATTTGGTGTTCATATAGCTATTTAAAAAAGACAGTAGCTTAAAAGTTGCAGGAAAAAATGTGAACACAGAGAACAACAGAAACAGTCCAGGAAGATGATGCAGCCCGGACACAGCAAGTTTAATGTCTCTGCTGTACATAGAATTAAGACCCTTTCCCCCTCCTCATCCTTATGCTGGCAATAGGATATGCACTAGAAAATTTGACTCTTAGAGTCAATGAATAAAAGGATGGGCTCATACACCTTCATAGCTCTTTTCAAAAAGGATGCTTATAATTTAAAGGATGTCCTAATGGGAAGGAAAGGTACAGGGCAAGAGGCTGTTTCACATTTTAGTCCATTAGTCTTTGGCAGAGCCCAACCAAGGCCAAATTCACCTAGGATGCCCAATGGCTGTGGGGATCTCCACAGGGTCAAGTAAGCAAACCCAAATGAACATGTTGGATTAAAAAAAAAACAAGATCTAGAAACTCTTGAAGGAAGAGCTTCACCCTGAAAAGGGAAGAGGAAAATGCTTGAAGGGGAAGGGCGGAGGGTCAGTGTGTGATCTCTGCTGTGGTGCTGGGCAGGGGCTTAGGAGTTAAGCCAAGGGTGCCGGAGACACTCGGCGGCAGTGGCTCTCTTCTCAGGGATCAGCTCCAACATGGGCAGTAAGAAATCTGTGAAGCCAGCTGCCTCTTCCTGCGACCACTCATACTTCTCCACTAGAACCTCAAAAAGGCCCCAAGGTTTCAGCTTCGTGATATGTTTCAGGTCACCTGCAGTGAAGACAGTACAGAAAAAGCCACTGATCAACACAGACAAATGACAAGGTACTCTTGTGGAAACCCACAAACTAACCCATGTAGTCTATGAGGAATCAAATTTTGCAATCAGAATCTAATCCTTCATTCACAAAGCATTTCTTTTCTGACATATGCCTCAGAAAGAAGTGCCTCTATTCTTCATACGGCTCCAAAAATTTAAGGTAATTTGTTTTCTCCCCTATTCTAGGATTTTTTTGGTCCCAGTCAAACTGGGTGTGACAATCAAGAAGTAGGTATTTACTACTAAAATAAACATGAAATGCCTATGTCTTCAACATGGTCTTATATGGTGTGCAGAGACACTCTAGTACCACATACCGAGAATAATTTGCTTATACTCTTTTTTTGTGTATGTGCTCAATAGTTTAGTAAATGTTGCTTTACAGTGAGGCAGTAAAGTTAAAACATCATGTCAAGCATGGATAAAAGCAACAAAAAAAACCCCAAATCCTACACAGTTTTCAGATACAACAGCTTCATATACTCTATACCAGGGGTCCCCAACTCTATACCAATACCCCCTATGGTACCAGTCTGCGGTCTGTCAGGTCTGCACAGCAGCAGGTCAGTGGTGGGCCAGCAAGCATTACTGCCTAAGCTCCACCTCCTGTCAGCTCAGTGGCTGCATTAGATTCTCACAGGAGCGTGAATCCTACTGTGAACTGCAGTAGGGATCTAGGTTGCATGTTCCATAAAAGAACCTAATGCCTGACAATCTGAGGTGACACAGTTTTATCTCCAAACCACCCCCCAACCCCCCCATCCATTGAAAAACTGTCTTCCACAAAACCAGTCCCTGGTGCCAAAAAGATTGGGGACCGCTGCTCTACACTATACTGGAGTATCAACCTAATTGCTTCTTTGAAGTGACAACTTTTTAAAAGATAGTCAATTATTAATAGCTAAGGCAAATGCTGCTTTAAAATTTTAAGTTGGCCAGGCACAGTGGCTCATGCCTGTAATTCCAGCACTTTGGGAGGCTGAGTCGGGTGGATCACTTGAGCTCAGGAGTTCAAGACCAGCCTGGGCAACATAGTGAAACCCTGCCTCTACCAAAAATACAAAAAAATTAGCTGTGTATGGTGGCACATGCCTGTGGTCCTAGCTACTTGGGAGGTTGAGGCAGGAGGATCATTTGAACCTGGGAGGTGGAGGTTGCAGTGAGCCAAGATCGTGCCACTGTACTCCAGCCTGGGTGACAGAGTGATACCCTGTCTCAATAATAATAATAATAATAATAATAATAATAATTTTTTTTAAACATAAAAATTTTAAGTCTCTTTTGTGAGCAGTGAGTGCCTATTTGATTACCTACCTGGTAAACACACATGCCTTAATCTGACTGCACATGAGGAGGAACTCTTATGAAACATTTTACAATTTTCCCACCTAAAAAGAGGTTTAAGAAAGGGTAATGTTTCTGAGGATGGCTCCTGCCAAGGATTGAGAAAAGTCATTTTTCTCAGCACTTCTGTAGAAGTTGTGAGGAAAAAGGGAACCATGGCACAATGGGGGTAGAAAAACCAGACCATTTCCTAGATGCTTCTAGGTCAGGTTTTCACATTTCAGGTTTTTTTTGCAATGCTTAAGAAATATATTATCAAGTCAAAAATTGGAAGTTTTGTTTTTGTGGTTTTTTTTGTAATAACAAATACATAAAACTAAAAAGTGTGAAGTTCGTTTGTATGACTAATGTACTTCGAGTGACTGTGTTAGGTGTCACTGGGATGCAAAGATGAGTGAGATGTAGTCCCTGCCCTTATGTAAGAAGCTTAAATTACCTGCCCTTTGGTAGAGGCAGTTCTTAGACCAAACGCCAGCAAAAAATTTGCCCATTTTTCAGAAGTGCTATAGAAGTAATCAACCAACTGCATGCAGGCACTATACATATTAACTGTTAGTAAGAAGTATACTTTATTATTATCTCCATTAAGAAATCAGCAAACTGAGGCACAGTTAGATCCTGTCAAAGGTCACATGGCTAGTGGAGTAGCCAGGATTTGACAGTCTGGCTCCAGTCTCTGCTCTTTTTTTTCCCCGAGACAGGATCTTGCTCTGTTGCCCATGCTGGAGTGCAGTGGCAATCATGGCTCACTGCAGCCTTGACCTCCCAGGCTCAAGTGATCCTCCCACCCCAGCTTTCGGAGTAGCTGCGACCACAGGTGTGTACCACCATGCCCAGTTAATTAAAAATTTTTTTTTGTAGAGACAGGGTTTTCCTGTGCTGCCCAGGCTGGTCTTGAACTCCTAGACTCAAGTGATCCTCCTGCCTTGGACTCCCAAAGTGTTGGGATTACAGGCGTGAGCCACCATGCCTGGCTCCAGTCTCTGCTTTTTTTTTTTTTTTGTGAGACAGAGTTTCACTCTTGTTGCCCAGGCTGGAGGGCAATGGTGCGATCTTGGCTCACTGCAACCTCCGCCTCCCAGATTCAAGTGATTCTCCTGTCTCAGCCTCCTGAGTAGCTGGGATTACAGGCGCCCGCCACTCTTCCCAGCTAATTTTTTGTATTTTTAGTAGAGACGGGGTTTCACCGGGTTGGCCAGGCTGTTCTCAAACTCCTGATATTGTGATTCGCCCACCTTGGTCTCCCAAAGTGCTGGGATCACAGGTATGAGCCACCGCGCCCGGCTCAGTCTCTGCTCTTGACCACTTTTTTTACCTCTTTTTTATCTCTTTGCTAAGTCACAGGTTAGCATTCAAGGCAGGCCCATCATTCTGTAGGACATTGGGAATATGTGCTTACCTCTTCATTTTTAAACACTTCTGCCTCCTTAATGTCTGGGAACACATTTACTTTACCTTTTTTGGTGAAAAATTCCTTGGAATATTTTCCTGCCACAATGAGCTTGCGAGGCACCTTCCCCAGAAGTTCTATGATCAATGCAATGTGATCTGTATATTTCAAACATTTCAAGAGGGGGGAAAAAAAAGATCCGTAACAAGAGTAACAAATGCAGCTCTAGAAAACAGCAGAAGGAGCAGCATGCACATCTCTTTGTAAAGCCTATCAGGCTTACTTTCTATCCTAAATGGGAAGAGGAAGACTCTATCCATCTAATGGAGAATTCACAAAGTCAAATTTTTGTGGATTCAGTGATAACTAAAAACAATCTTGGTGTGAATGCTCTGCTTCCTGAAGTATCCCTGGGTCCTACATAACAATACTACCTCTGTGACTGAAGAAGTCTTGTGAATATTTCCCACTGAGGGAAAAGCGTCTTGGAATTCTGCCTATCAGCTCTATAATGTGCACAATGTGGTCTAAAATAGAAGGGTAAGAAGAACAGATCAAGGACAAGCTGTAAAAGAGGTTTTTCTATGAATAGCTTTTTCAAGGACTAGCTGTTTAAAAGTAACTACAAATAAAACCAAGGATACTGAAGGAAGACTGACTGGGAAGGCCAAGAATTATTTCAGGTGGTTGGTCACCCGATAGTGTCTGGCAAGTCCCATTCTGGATTTTGGAGGCTTATCTTCATCTTTAGTTCTATTTTGTCTATATATCTAGGTTCAGGTAGGTTCTTTAGGTAAGATAAAAAACTGTCCAAATATGTGTTAGGCATTCTAGAACTATTATTTGTGATCATTCTGTCTCAGCCTCCCCAGTGGCTGGGATTTCAGGCATGTGCCACCACACCTGGCTGACTTAAAACATTTTTTGTAGAGATGAGGTCTTGGCATACTGCCAAGCTGGTCTCAAACTCCTGGGCTCAAGCAATCCTCCTGCCTTGGCCTCCCGAAGTGTTGGGATTACAGGCCTGAGCCACCACCTGGCTGATACCCCATTTTAAAGATGAGAAAATAGAACTTCAAAAAGCATGAATGGCCTAACTTGAAACTTCAGGGCTAATATGAGCTAAAACTCAGATGAAAACCAATGATCTTATGTCTTGTCTAAAGCTTTTAATTTCTTCCTAAAATCACTTTTTAAAAGTAAAGATTAGCACAAACATTTTAAAGTATAGCTGCTTGATGATCTGTAAACATCACAGTATGAATATGGACCATGAGCACAACCAGGGAGGCATGCAGCCTCTTAACCAGGAGGTGAGTCTGGGACCAACCAGTACACACACCTCAGGTAGATCTACTGCCCCCCCCCTTTTTTTTTTCTCTCTGCAGGTGACAGAAGTTAAGAATATAAAACTTTTTTTTTTTTTTGAGATGGAGTCTTGCTCTGTCGCCAGGCTGGAGTGCAATGGCATGATCTCGGCTCACTGCAACCTCCACTTCCTGGGTTCCAGTGATTCTTGTGTCTCAGCCTCCTGAGTAGCTGGGATTACAGGTGCATACCACCAGGTCCAGCTAATTTTTGTATCTGTAGTAGAGACAGGGTTTCACATGTTGGCCAGGCTGGTCTCGAACTCCTGACTTCAAGTGATCTGCCGCCTTGGCCTCCCAAAATGCTGGGATTACAGGTGTGAGCCACTGTGCCTGGCCTGTATTTTTTGTAGAGATGGGGTTTTGCCATGTTGCCCAGGCTGGTCTCAAACTCCTGGGCTCAAGCGATCCACCCACCTCAGCCTCCTGAAGTGCTGGGATTACAGGCGTGAACCACCACACCCGGGCATAATACTCCTGGCCAGAAAAAAAGCTTTAGAAAATACTTTTATCGTGTAGTTACAGAATCATTAAGGTTTAAACTTCCAGTTATGTATCTTATAGGGGAAATAACATGCTAGAGACGTCCATATTATCTGGGAATTTGTGAAGGTTTCAGGTTTTATCTTTCTCATGTAAAGGAGTTAGTGGTGTCATTTAAAGGGGACTTCACATTTATGACTTCCCTACAACCTTTGAGCAGTTTTGACTGAATTTATGGTTTGGTAACAAGTACCTGCATGCCAAGAATTTTCTGCTGGTTTTTGGCAGGACCTGCAAATGTGTTTTTACCATTAACAATAACAAAAATAAGAATACTAAGGAAAAACTTAGACTATAATTTCTAAGAGAGCTTCTTAAAGTTCTTAGAAACTTAAGTAAACTTCCAAGTAAAATATTGGTCCTTTAAATATTTTTCCTATACCAAGGAATTCCCTTGAAATTGTTACTTTACACTTAATTCTTGCAACCTATTTTGGCTTATGATAGGATTGATATACTTGACAGATAAAATTATCAGGTATTATCCCATGAGTTAGGGCTGTGGAAAGCCAGAGTAGAGGACATGGTACTCAGGCTTCTGTCCTACCACGACTCGTAACAAACTATGCACACACTAGTCAGGGGTAAGGGTTTGCTTGTTCCTGCTCTTATAGGTCAAACTGCAGCAGAACAGCATCGGTGGGGCTGATGTTTGACCTAAGGACTATTAGTACTAACTGGTATAGGATGGAATAAATTAGAATTTAAACATCTAGGGAAGATGGTTTTTCCTTGTCCCCTTATTTGGGACTCTGCATATGTATTAAAATTTTCAGGTTTGGTAGCATAAGGTAACACCCGATATAATTCTAGCCACTATATGTGTTCTGTACCACACACTACCATTTATGGAGAATCTAGGGAAGTAAAGGGGAAAAAAATTAATTACCCTCCCAAACAAACATAGTAGGTAGTCTCTAGGCCTATAATCCCAAACACTGTAAGCCTATAACCCTAAACCTATAACCCAGAAAAATAGCAAGCAGAGAGTAGGTAAAATCAAGTAGTAATTATAGTATCCTCTAACATGGGGCTTATATATACAAAATATGTCCAAACTCTACCCACTTAAATAGGCATTCATGGGAATTACATAGCATAGCATTTTCCAAATGGTATTCATTAGGAATATTAGCAGGTCCTACTAACATTACCTATTAATATCCCAGAAGACCACATTTTGAGAAACAAAGAGCACTCTTGGTTCCATACAGCATGAAATATGCATTCCCAAAGATTCAAGGAAAGCACAAAAAGTAAAGAACATGCTCTACATTGGGAGGGTAGATGCTGTAGTGATATCTCAAAATAATCCTCATTAATCCTACAACTAAAACATAAGCTGCCTCAACTGTATAAAACATTTTCTTGGCTGAGCGTGATGGCTCACGCCTGTAATCCCAGCACTTTGGGAGGCTGAAGTGGGTGGACCACGAGGTCAAGAGACAGAGACCATCCTGGCCAACATGGTGAAACCCCGTCTCTACTAAAAATACAAAAATTAGCTGGGCATGGTGGCACAAGCCCGTAGTCCCAGCTACTCGAGAGGCCGAGGCAGGAGAATCGCTTGAACGAGGGAAGTGGAGGTTGTAGTGAGCCGAGATCGCACCACCGCACTCCAGCCTGGCGACAGAGTGAGACTCCGTCTCAAAAAAAAAAAAAAAAAAAAAAAAAATCACAAAACCATTTTGTTTGTTCATTCAAATTATTAACTCATTTAGTTATCTGGATGCCATCATAATAGAAAAATCAGACACACACAGTTGCTGCTTCCACAGTCTCTCAGACAAAGTAACTGGCAGCCTAGGCTTTTCCCACTGGCTACCACAACATGTAAATCCATTCTACTTTGTTTTAAAATGGAATTCCAAAAAAGAAAAAATTAGTTTTATATTCAGAAAAGGGAAAAAAGAATGCTAAATTTTGGCAGAATTTATAGAAATAGGATATAGTCTCTGCATTCAAGTAGTGTGTGTATATTAAAATAACTGACCTCTAAATAAATTTGGAGGCATAATTGAGCAACAGGTTGATGAGCAGGTAAAAAACTGGGTAAAGAATGAACCACTGATATATACAGAAAGGAAGATAACTAGATGTTGAAGAAAAAATTGTCCAGCACACAGAAGTTTTAGGTGAACTGTGGCCTTTTGACTCTGACAGAGCTCTTTAGTATCTTTCAGAAAATATCTAAAAACCTAATATAAAATGTCTTTTATATTTCTAACTTTTCTGGGATTTACATGTTTTGCACACTAACAAGACTAAGGCTCTTCGGTACTAACAAATGATGTTAGCTTAATGTGGAAAGTGTAAATACCACGCACACACATCCATGGTTAAGGGGACTCACCTTCATCTCGAGTGTACTCTTCCCCTGAATGAGGTTCAAACAAATAGTCACCTGTGGCCAGTTCAAAGGCCTAAAAAAAAAAGAGGACAGTATATGAAAGCACAAAAGAAAAGAAGGCCTTTGGAAAGCTGATTGCTATTTGGCTCAATATGAAGTAACTCTTGTTCCCTTGGGAAAACTTATAGATCATTTAAAAAAAAAAAAAAACAAAAACTTAAGATTATTCCTAAAGCATTCCTTCCACATCCCTATCTTAATAAAATGGAGAAAACAGCAAAGACTCAGTAAATACTAACATGTGGGTTATTTCATGCCCAAACCTCCCCACCCTAAACCCTAGCAATTCAGCCCTCCTGAGTTTCCCTTTTTTGGCCGGAAAGGGGCATACCTGGATATTAAGGTGATTCTAAGTTATTATTCATGAGAAGAACAGGTCTTTTTTTTTTTTTTTTGAGACGGAGTCTCACTCTGTTGCTTAGGCTGGAGTGCAGTGGCACGGTCTCGGCTCACTGCAAGCTCCGCCTCCTGGGTTCACACCATTCTCCTGCCTCAGCCTCCCGAGTAGCTGGGACTACAGGTGCCCACCACCACGCCCAGCTAATTTTTTGTATTTTTAGTAGAGATGGGGTTTCACTGCGTTAGCCAGGATGTTCTCAATCTCCTGACCTCGTGATCTGCCAACCTTGGCCTCCCAAAGTGCTGGGATTACAGGTGTGAGCCACCACGCCCAGCCCAGGTCTTTCTTACATTATAATCACACATGGCTAGAAATTGAGATTCTGTACCAAACAAAAAAAATCAAAAAAAAAAAAAAATTCAGACTTCTACTTATGACTCTTTAGTGTTTGACAAGTACATCATTAACTTTTGCATAGGAAGTACTCCCTAGATTGTCCCAGATGGGAAGTTCCTGATTCCTAGGTCCTTTGTTTTTGAGATGGAATCTTGCTCTGCCGGCCAGACTGGAGTGCACTGGCATGATCTCAGCTCACTGCAACTTCTGCCTCCTGGGTTCAAGTGATTCTCCTGCCTCAGCCTCCGGAGTAGCTGGGACTACAGGTGCATGCCACCACGCCCAGCTAATTTTTGTATTTTTAGTAGAGATGGGGTTTTACCATGTTGGCCAGGATGGTCTCAATCTCTTGACCTCATGATCCACCCGCCTCTGCCTCCCAAAGTGCTGGGATTACAGGCGTGAGCCACCATGCCTGGCCAATTCGTAGGTCTTTAGAAAATCAGAAGATTAAGTGTAAAGGGAGTCAGGAGCCTAGCCTATGTGACTGGCAAGTCAGCACTCCCTAATTAGGAAAAGAAAAGCCTGTCTCCTTTAATAGAAAAACCTCTTACAGTGCTCGAGAGTGTCTTAGGAAATGATATCCTTGGGAATAAGTGCCATGCAGAATGAAAAGCAGGGCTACATAAATCCTCACTGATTACAAATGGAGTTTTAAAAATTAGTACACAACAGCAGTTTTTTTTTTTTTTTTTTGGATGGAGTCTCGCTCTGTCGCCCAGGCTGGAGTGCAGTGGCACAATCTCGGCTCACTGCAAGCTCCGCCTCCCAGGTTCATGTCATTCTCCTGCCTCAGCCTCCCCAGTAGGTGGGACTACAGGTGCCCGCCACCAAGCCCGGCTAATTTTTTGTATTTTTAGTAGGACAGGGTTTCACCATGTTAGCCAGGATGGTCTCGATCTCCTGACCTCGTGATCCGCCTGCCTCGGCCTCCCAAAGTGCTGGGATCACAGGTGTGAGCCACCACGCCTGGCCAACAGCAGTTTTAAAAAATGACCTTATTGATAGGGAAGCACAGTTATAAAATAAGCGCTAGTCATAGGTCAATTTTGATTAAATCAATGGTACTAAGCAGTCCAAACAACCTCAAGAACTGTAGAGTCCAGGACTTAGTTGGGGCATATTCTCAATTTAGACCCAAGTTTAGGTCCTGGTGGCTCACCAGTGTCAGTTTCTGCAGTTTCATGACAGAACAGCCTTTCTCAAAACTGTACTACCGTCCAGAGGGAGACCACAAAACCAGAAGTTTCAGGATAGGTTTAGGAATCAAATACTATCTCTAAATGTCAGCAGTGCTATGGCTTCTTGCTTGGCATTGCTTATTTTACATTTCAGTTGTTTATTAAGAAACTGAACCACAGTGATAGAGCAGATACTTGTTCTACCCTGAGTTGTTCCGAGGTTTATAGTCCCAAAGCAACAGAGAAACAAATCATGATTCTTGTTCACCAAAACTTGTCAATCATTCCTGATACCAGTACTTTAAAAAAAAATCTCATGGTCTCATATATAGAGTTCAGTAAAAATACTGAAATTAAAGTTAAAAAAAACAAAAAACAAAAAACACAGAGCCAGCCGCGGCAGTGCTATACGCCTGTGGTCCCAGCTATTCAGGAGGCTAGAAAATGAAATACTCTTCAGTGCTAAAAAGAAATGAGCTATTAAGCCGTGAAGATATGGAGGAACCTTAAATGCATATTACTAAGTGAAAGAACCTAATCTAAAAAGGCTACATACTGTATGATTCCAACTATTTGACATTATGGAGACAATAAAAATATCAGTGGTTGCCAGCGAGTGGGGGACGGGAGGGATGAATAGGCAGAGCACAGAGGAGTTTTAGAGCAGTGAAACGATATTGTATATAATAATGATAGATACATTTGTCAAAACTTCTAAAAGAGTGAAATGAAATGTAAACTACTGACTTTGGTTAATAATGATGTGCCAATGTAGGTTCATTGTTTGTAACAAATGTATCACTCTGGAGCAGCAGATCGACAGTTGGGGAGGCTCTGTGTGTGGGGAGCATATAAAACTTATTTGTACTTTTTGTTCAATTTTTCTGTGAACCTAAAACTGCTCTAAAAAATAAAGTCTATTAAGAAACAAACCCAAATAAAACCAGTGTACCATCCTTTGTTAACCTTCTCTAGACTATTGCCTTTGAGAAGAATGGCTTAGAAGATAGCATGAAATGCATGGAAAAGTTAAAACAATGACAATTTAAACAGACTAATTACATTCAGATCCAGAAGTAAATTGCAAACTCCAGGTAGCAGAAAGGAATACTGACACAGCTTGAGGGGCAATCTAGCATTTCATAAGCAATATGGTTGTGTGTGGTCAGAATGCCAAGGAGTGATTACCAAACAGAAAATGAGGAGTTTCAGGTAAGAGCTGTTTCTATAAAGTAACATGTCCATCATCTGTATCAATGGGCTGGCCAATGGCTGTCTCAAAGTGAGGAAGACAAGTCAGAGTCCTGATGCTTGGCCTTCTGCAGAGATGCAGGTGTGCTCAATGTATTAACTTAAGGGCCCTTATCTTGACCCCAGGTTTGACCACATTAAGAAAGGCTGAAGTGCTGGAAATGTTATTTTAGAAAAAAGGAATTAACAGATGATTCAAATTTCCTGTCTTCAACAATCCATACCAAAGGGAAGTAAAATTCCAGAGCAGGGCTGGAGGCTGGAACAATAAAGTCTGTTTTAAATTTAAAAGGTTGCCAAAGAATAGGGGAAAAGGGAAACACGGAGTTTTTCTTCAATGGTATATAGAGTTTCAGTTTAGAAAGATAAAAAATTTCTAAAGAGGCCAGGTAGGGTGGCTTACACCTGTAGTCCCAGCACTTTGGGAGGCCAAGACGGGAGGATTGCTTGAGCCCAGGAGTTCAAGACCAGCCTGGGAAATACAGTGAGATCCCATCTCTTAAGAAAAAAAAAAAATCTAAAGATATGTTGTATAAAAATTTGAATATAGGCCAGGCGCAGTGGCTCATGCCTGTAATCCCAGCACTTTGGGAGGCTGAGGCAGGTGGATCACTCATGCTCAGGAGTTCGAGACCAGCCTGGGCAACATGGTGAATCCCGTCTCTACCAAAAATACAAAAAAATTAGCTAGGCATGGTGGCACATGCCTGTGGTCCCAGCTACTCAGGAGGGTGAGCCGAGATTGTACTACTGCACTCCAACCTGCGTCCTGCATGACAGAGTGAGACTGTGTCTCCAAAAAAAAAAAAAAGACTAAAAAAATCAGAAATGAAGAAATGAAAGAGGAGACATTATAATGAATACCACAGAACTACAAAGGATAAGAGACTACTATGCACAATCATATGGCAACAGATTGGATAACCCAGAAAAAAATGGAAAAATTCCTTGACAATATAACCTACAAAGATTGAACCATGAAGAAATAGAAACAAGAGATTAGATCTGTAATAAGAAGTCTCCCATCAAAGAAAAGCCCAGGACCTGATGGCTTCACTGCTGAATTCTACCAAACATATAACGAAGAAGTAACAGCAATCTGTCTCAAACTGCCCCTGCTACTGCCAAAAAAAGACAAAAACCATATGATCATCTTATTAGATGGAGAAAATGCATGTGACAAAATTCAGCATCCTTTCATGATAAAAATGCTCACACAATTAGGTATAGAAGGAATGTACCTCAACACAATAAAGGCCATATTTAAGAAGGCCACAGCTAACATTGTACTCAATGGTGAAAAATTGAAAGCTTTTCCTCTAAAATCCAGAACAAGACTCTCCCCACTTCTATTCAACATAGTATTGTAGTATTGGCAGTCCTTACTAGAGCAATTAAAAGGCAGCCAAACAGAAAAGAAAGAAGTACAAATGTCAGTTAGCTGATAACATAACTTTTTTTTGGCAAGATGGAGTCTTGCTCTGTCATCCAGGATGGAGTGCAGTGGCACAATCATGGCTTGCGGTAGCCTCAACTCCGGGGCTCAAGTGATCCTCCTTCCTCAGCCTCCCAAGTAGCTGAAACTACAGGTATGTGCCACCACATCTGGCTAATTTTTTCATTTCTTTTGGTAGAAATGGGGTCTCGCTATGTTATCCAGGCTGGTCTCAACTCCTGAGCTCCAGTGATCCTCCTGCCTCAGCTTTCCAAAGTGCTGGGATTACAGGCATAAGCCACCAAGCCTGGCCTGACATGATCCTATATATAGAAAACCCTAAAGACTCCAGCAAAAACCCGTTAGGACTAATAAACAAATACAGTAAAGTTGCAGGATACAAAATCAACACACAAAAATCAGCAGCATTTCTGTAAACTAACAACTATCTGAAAAATAAACCAAGAGAACAATCCCATTTACAATAGCTACAAAAAAAAAATACTTAGAAACATATTTAACCATGGAGGTAAAAGACCTGTACACTGAAAACTATAAAATGCTGATAAAAGAAATTGAAGACACAAATAAATGAAAATATATCTTATGTTCATGGTTTGGAAGATTTATTTTTATTTTATTTTTTTTTTTGAGAGAGGGTCTTGCTCTGTGATCCAGGCTGGACTGTAGTGGTGTAATCTCGGCTTACTGTAACCTCTGCCTCCCAGCCTCAGGTGATTCTCCCACCTCAGCCTCCCAAGTAGCATGCACCACCACACTTGGCTAATTTTTAAATTATTTGTAGAGATGGGATTTTGCCATGTTGCCCAGGCTGGTCTCACACAATCCATCTGCCTTGGCCTCCCAAAATGCTGGGACTACAGGTATGAGCCACTGTGCCCGGCCTTACTATTGTTAAAATGTCCGTACTACTCAAAGTGATCTATCAGATTCAATGCAATTCCTATCACAATTCCAATATTATTTTTCATAGAAATAGAAAAAACATCCTAAAATTCACATGGAATCACAAAACATCCCAAATAGCCAAGGCAATCATGAGCACAAAGAAGAAAGCTGGGCTGGGCATGGTGGCTCACGCCTGTAATCCCAGCACTTTGGGAGGCTGAAGTGGGCAGATCACTGGAGCTCAGGAGTTTTGAGACCAGCCTGGGCAACACAGGGAGACCCCACCTCTACAAAAAATACAAAAATAGTTGGATGTGGTGGGGCACACCTGTAGTCCCAGCTATTTGGGAGGCTGAGATGGGAGGATCACTTCAGCCCAGGAAGCGGAGGCTGAAGAGAGCTGTGATTGCGCCACTGCACTCCAGCCTGAGTGACAGTATGAGACTCTGTCTCAAAACAAGAACAAAGCTGGAGGCATCAAACCACCTGATTTCAAACTATACTACAAAGCTACAGTAATTAAAACAGCATGGTCCTGGCAAAAAAAGCAGACGCATAGACCAAAGGAACAATATAGAGAGCCCAGAAATGAACCCACGCATGTATGGTCAAGTGATCTTTGACAAAATTGCCAAGAATACAGAATGGGAAAAGGATAGTCTCTTCAATAAATGGTGTTGGAAAAACTGGATATAAAAAGAATGAAACTGGACCACCCTCATCTCACTCCGAATACAAAAATCGAAATGGATGAAAGACTTAATAAGACCTGAAACTGAAAAACTACCAGAAGAAACAGGGGGAAACCCACATGACATTGGTCTGAGCAATGATTTTTTTGGATTTGACCCCAAAAGCCCAGGGAGCAAAAGTGAATACAGACAAATGGGATAACATCAAACTAAAAAACTTCTGTACAGCAAAGGAAACAATAGTGTGAAGAGATAACCTATGGGTTGGGAAAAAATATTTGCATGCTATACATTTGATAGGGGTTAATATCCAAAATAATATGGAACTCAACTCAATAGCAAGAAAACAAACAAACAAACCCAATTAAAAAACAGGCAAAGGACCTAAATAAACATTTCTGAAAAGAAGACACACAAATGGCCAACAGATCTATTAAAAAAAAAGCTCAACATCACTAATCATTAGGGAAATGCAAATTAAAACCAAAATGAGATATCATTTCATATCTGTCAGAATGGCTGTTATCACAAAGACGAAATATTTAGTGTTGGTGAGGATGTGGAGCAAAGGGAAGTCTTGAATGCTGTTGGTGGGAATGTAAATTAGTACAACCCTCATGTAAAACTATATGGAGGTTCTTTAAAAATCTAAAAATAGAGTTACCATATGATCCAGCAATCCCACTTCTGGATATTTACCTCAAAGATTTAAAATCAGTTTGTCTAAGTGATGTCTGCATTCCCATGTTCACTGCAGCACTATTCACAATAGCCAAGTTATGGAATCAACCTAAGTTGATTTTAAAATCAATCTAAGTTGAGTCTATACAGATCAGATAAACAGACAATAAAATGTGGTATATACAGGTTGCTCCAAAATCCAAAACTGACATGACACGCAAAGGAAATGCTCATTTGGAGCATTTCAAAGTTTAGATTTTTGGATTTGAAATGTTCAGCCAGTATGTATTCTGCAAATATTGCAAAATCTAAAAAATTCCCCAAACTGAAACTGGTACCAAGTGTTTCAGATTAGGGATATTCAACTTGTATACACAATGGAATGGAATACTATTCAGCCTTAAAAACAAGATGGAAATTCAGTCATTTGCAGTGACATGGATGGAACTGGAAAACAATATGAAGTGAAATAAGCCAGGGACAGAAAGACAAATACTGCAACACTCTCACTTATATGTGAAATCTAAAACAATTTAACTCATAGAAGCAGAGAGCAGAATGGTGGTTACAGAGACTGGGGGGTGAAGATAATCGGGAGATGATTAAAGAGTTAAAAAAGAAAAAAAAGGGAAAAAGGAAATTTAGTTTTAACTATAACGATGTTTCTAGAAACATCTGACGAGTACATTCGTACCTCATTTCTGTTACTAATCATATTTAATTGCTCAAATCATGAAGATACTAAGTTGAAGGTGGCTTTGAAACTCATTTCAAACCAGATATGCCAAGTTTTGTTCAAATTTTGTTTAGAAGTCTACTTACTGCTCGTCTTAGATATGGAGAAGTAACATAATTAAGTAACCAGTCCTGGTGTTTAGTGCTCTGCAAACAACCAACAGCAGGGGAATGAAGCAAACGAAAGATGTCTTAACAGCAAGGAAGCAATGTTTCAGCACCAGAAAGGCCAAAAGAGGGTTACAATAGCCACAGATCAAAAAGGAAGGTTGGGAAACTCCAGAGTTCAGTTATTAGCTTTTTTGTTGTTACTAAATACATTCTACCACTCACTTCCAGCTTTAAAAGTAGAGTTTTTCCAGTCTTAACACAGCTGTAAATTATATTAATCAAAGCAAATAAATGGTTCTATATCAAAGATGTACGTAAGAATTGCCGAAGAACTTTTCCAAAATGCATATGTCTACTGCACATATCCCTTTCCTATTTAAGAATCATAGACAATTTCTCTGCCTCATATAGAAAGCAAACAACAACAAAAAAAACCCCATGTATCTCAGGGAGTGACAAGTTCTATGTGACAAAGAAAAGTGATAAAGTGGGGGTTATTTCAAATAAAGTAGTCAGGAAGACATCTCTAAAGAGATTATGTTGAACAAAGACCTGCATTAGGTGAAGGAGAAAGCACATCCAAAGGTCCAAGGTAAGTATGAGCTTCACAAGACTAGGGAAAGAAAATAGGATTTTGAGTGGAATAGATGCAATTAAAGGATTTAAAACGGGGAAGTAATATGATTTGATTAACACTTAAGACCACTCAGGCCACTATGTGATAATGTAACATGAAGGGAGAAAAACAGAAGCAGAGAAAGGAAATTAGGAGGTCACTGTATTGATCCATTTGCGAAATGATGATGGCATGGGCTATAATGAGTTAATGGAAAAAGTAAAAAGTGGTTGGTATTGGATTTTTTTTTTCTTTTTTTTTTGAGACAGGGTCTCACTCTGTCACCCAGGCTGTGGTGCAGTCTTGGCTCACTGCAATCTCTGCCTCCTGGGTTCTAGCGATTCTCGTGCCTCAGCCTCCTGAGTAGCTGGGATTTCAGTTGCACGCCACCACCCCAGCTAACTTTTGTATTTTTGGTAGAGACAGGGTTTCACCAGGTTGGCCAGCCTGGTCTTGAACTCCAGATATCAGGTGATCCACCCACCTCAGCCTCCCAAAGTGCTGAGATTACAGGCATGAGCTATTGTGCCCAGCCGGTATTGGATATATTCTGAAGGTAGAACACATAGAAACAGCTGATGGACTAGGTGTAGACAAAGGAAAAAGAATTAAGAATTAACCTAAAAGGTTCAGGTTCTAAGCTTTTAGTCTGAATGGCTGGGTGAACAGGGGGATAATTTACAAAAACAGGATGTGTAGGGTGAAACAAGCATTCTATTTTGAAAATGTTACATTTGAGATATTTATCAGATATCCAAATGGAGTCGTCAAGCAGACAGTTGGACATAAAAAGTTGGATTAAGTATAGAGATGAACTGAGGCTAGAGACATCATGGGACTTGATGAAATCCCCCAGGAAGAGAGGAGGGCCAAGGGCTGAGTCCTTTTTCAATTAAGAGGAAGGGCCTATCTATTTAAGTTCTCATTAATTGGTATAAGCAAAAAGTAAACAATAAGGGCAAGGCACTGCTATAGACTTAAAGCTTTAGTTTTTCTTCGGTAATCAAAGCATGCCTAAAATAAATATGCCAACATACAGTTATATGAACTGACATGTACAAGCTATGAATGAGACTATCTTGCCCCAGCGATCTAGGGCACCCTGGCTGGTGAAAGCTGAAAGCCTTCCTCTCAATTGTGTGCTATTCAATGGGGTTACAATGAAGGTCCTACAGTTAATTAACTATAACTCCATCATTCCTGGGGAACAAATGCTTGCCTCTCTCAATTCCTCCTGCTTCTTTCCCTGTTTAGAATGTCTGACTTGGGGAGCTGTGCATTTAATCACTCCCATCTCTTGAATACAGCAAATACCCAGCTCTCCTTTACCTTCACTGAGAGCAATGCCTGGGATTCTGCACATACCAACTGCAGGGATCTACTGTAAAGACACAGGTCCTAGTGATTTTATTACAGAACTGTGAAAGAGATGAGATTATACTCTGTTTTTTTGGTGTTTGTATTACCTCTGTTTAGCGGAACACTGGCAGCAAAAACAAGTAAACAAAAGCAAACCTATAGCTTTCATTGTATAGGATAAGGAAATTGTACAAAAAGAACTCAAAATATTACTTACTAAAATGGCATTCAAAATCCAGCCTCCAGTGACTTACTGCTGTTGAATAAAGGTGACAATCTTTGGTGAAATCTAAAGAGCTATTGTGCATAGTGCTAGAAGTTATAACCACCTGCAGACATTTCTGCCGTTTCATTCGGGCAGCTCAGATTGGGAATTGGTGATGATGGAGAAAGAGCTCTTGGGTCAAATTACTACACTTTGGATTTTGATAGTTTAAGGATTTTAGTAGCCTTAAGAGTTCTAGACAGACAAGACAGTTATGGATAAACCCCTTTGGATCCCATTTCTGAAAGATTCACTCCCTTACTGAAACACCTGACCAAGAATTAAGTTAGTCAGCCCTGGGTGTCTGCAGGTTCCACATGCTCAGATTCAACTGACTGTAGATTGAAAATATTCAGAAACAGCAACAACAACAGCACAATAAAAATACAAGTAAAGGACAGGCACAGTGACTCATGCCTGTAATTCCAGTGCTTTGGGAGGCTGAGGTAGGATGATCGTTTGAAGCTAGGAGTTTGAGACCAGTCTGTGCAACATAGCAAGACCTGGTCTCTACAAAAAAATTTAAAAATGAGCCGAGTGGGTGGCACATGCCTATAGTCCTAGGCATGTGCCCATATACTCGTTGGCGGGGGGAAGGGGCAGGGCACTGAGGTGGGAGGATCCCTTGAACCCAGGAGTTTGGGGTTATATTGAGTTATGATCACACCACTGCACTCCAGCCTGGGCAACAGAGCAAGACCCCATCCCTAAAAAACAAAATGAAACAACAACAACAAAAAAAAGAAGTTAAAAAAATATGGTATAACAACTTTACATAGCATTTATATTAGGTATTATAAGTAATCTAGAAACAATTTAAGTACACAGAGGCCATATGGTTATATATGTTATATGCAAACACTATGCCATTTTATGTAAAGTACTTGAGCACCTGTGGATTTTGGTATCTGCAGGGGGTCTTAGAACCAATCCCCTGAGGACATTAAGGGATGACTGAATATTCTCTAGTTTTTTCCCTAATCTTTCCCTTGATTAGTAATTGGCCAACTTCTGGGGTTTATGAAGACATGCACTTCACCCCATGTCCTAAATATGTGTAGCTATACTCCTAGAACCTCTCACAAGTGCCAGTGGGAGTCCTACAAATCCTGCCCTGAATTTCAGAGAGCAAAAGGTGAAGAAAAGGAACATATCCCAGAAAGCAATCACTTCAGAAGAGGAATTTACCAGAAAAGGAAGACAACTGGGGACTACAAACATACTTTCCCACAGTGGGAGGAAGGGCATTCAAAGGCCAGAGAAGAAGATAATCTCATCCTGCCAGTTATGGTCCTACCTGTCCTGACTCCAGCATTCGGAGATTGTTTTTTTTTTTTTTGAGACAGAGTCTCACTGTTGTGTTCTTCACAAATATTTTCCCCTTTCCCCCTTTTTTTTGTTTTTTTGAAATGGAGTCTTGCTCTGTTGCCCAGGCTGGGGTGCAGTGGTGTGATCTCAGCTCACTGCAGCCTCTGCCTCCCAGGTTCAAACAATTCTTGTGTCTCAGCCTCCTGAGTAGCTGAGGTTACAGGCATGTGCCACCATGGCCAGCTAATTTTTGTATTTTTAGTAGAGACAGGGTTTCTCCATGTTGGCTAGGCTAGTCTCGAACTCCTGGCCTCAAGTAATCTGCCTGCCTCAGCCTCCCAAAGTGCTGGAATTACAAGTATAAGCCACTACACCTGGGCCCCCTTTTCCCTTTTTATAACTGCCCTTCTAACTATTCCTCAATCATCAATGTAGAGGCAATCTCAACTTGTTCCATCTCATTACCTCTCAGAGAGGGTCCTAATCTTTCCATCAATTAATTACATTGGATGCAGGATGATCCATCTCTTCAGGCACTTCCGATATTCCAGAATTTTTGCTCTATGATCAAATTTAAAGCAACATTTTGTTTTTCTATGTCGACTGGCAAAATAAAAACTTGAGGATCAAATGGGGCTCAATTTTTCATGATATTGTCTCATGTCAGGTAAGTACTTCCATTCCTTGGTCAAGAAAATTCTGACATGTGAGTGGGTCCAGAACTATGAGGTGAGATTAATTACGCCTTTATCTTTCAGCCTTACTTCTTAAGCCTGACATTAGAAATACTTTATTAAATATCAAGCAGGATCTACTGCCCCCCAAACAAAACAGAAATGTGGAATAAAAAAAAAATGTCATTTTCTTACAGTAAACAACTAATCCACTACTAAAAACTACATCTTAGCAAATCCACATTTTAATAAATCAGATGCCATCTATTAACCAGCTACACTTTATAGTTGGTGGCATCTCTATCATTTATGATTTTCTATAGCAAATCAACTCAAATAAAATTCCTCAATAAGCAAAGCTTTAAAGTGTGGCAAGAAAGAAGCCTGAGATTTTATTCCAATATTCTCTCATTTTGTGCAACAATATTAAAACCTTACTTCAGACAGTTCACCAGCTTTACAGACCAATGATATGGGCCCAGCGCGGTGGCTCACACCTGTAATCCCAGCACTTTGGGAGGCAGAAGTGGGCGGATCACAAGGTCAGGAGATCAAGACCATCCTGGCTAACATGGTGAAACCCCGTCTCTACTAAAAATACAAAAAAATTAGCCAGGCATGGTGGCGGCCACCTGTAGTCCCAGATACTTGGGAAGCTGAGGCAGGAGAATGGCGTGAACCTGGGAGGCGGAGCTTGCAGTGAGCCAAGATTGCGCCACTGTACTCCAGCTTGGGTGACAGAGCAAGACTCCATCTCAGAAAAAAAAAACAAACAAAAACCCAATAATATGCCACAACAAAGTGCTCTATAAGGTCATGCCACATTAACAACATGATATCATCTCTATTAGCTTTGAAGACAAAGTTTTTCAGGAATGCAGACAGCAAGAAATCTATGACTTAAAACAGGTTGGAATTGTTATCTGCCCTCTTTCTCAAGTTTTTCCCAGAGTTGCCTGTGAATATTAAATGTTACTTGAAATGAGAGCATAATATGTTTCTGTTTATTCATTAGGTAGTATACAAATATTTATTAAACCCTGTTGAATAATGAAGAAATTGATCTATGTCCCTTTTTCCTGGTAGGAAGTCTCTAAACCCTTGGAATTTCCAAGTGCTAGGTGTCTTTATCCATGGTGGGTCCCTTGGACCATATCTAAGTTTATATTAACAAAGTGACTCATGTTGGGGCCCTATATAGTTGGTTTTTTCGATGTTTCATTCTTGTTGCCTAGGCTGGAGTGCAATGGTGCGATCTTGGCTCACTGCAACCTCTGCTTCCCAGGTTCAAGCGATTCTCCTGCCTCAGCCTCCCAAGTAGCTGGGATTATAGGCATGCACCACCACGTCTGGCTAATTTTTAGTAGAGACAGGGTTTCATCATGTTGGTCAGGCTGGTCTTGAACTCCTGACCTCAAGTGATCCACTTGCCTTGGCCTCCCAAAGTGCTGGGATTACAGGCACGAGCCACCGTGGCCAGCCCCTATATAGTTTTAGATGAAAGTTGGACATACGGGAAAGACCAACCACATGATCAGAAGACTGGGGCTTTCCAACTTCCCAACCTCCAGGGAAGGGAGGGAAAGCTTGAAGACTGAGCTCAATCACATGGCCAATGATTCAATCAATACCTAATTAATTACATCTCAATAAAACTCTGAATACTTGAAGCTTGGGTGAGCATCCCTCGGTGGTGACACACATCAATGTGCCAGGAGGGTGAAAGTCCTGAGGACACAGAAGCTTCACATTTAGTACGCTCTCAGACTTTCCCCTATGTGTCCTGATTTGTATTCTTTATAATAAAACTATAGCAAGCTTAGCACTTTCTGAGGGGGTAATGCAAACCTCTTAATTTGTAGCCAGTTGATTAGAAGTGCAGGTGGCTTGTGGATCCTGAGGCTTGTGGTTAGTGTCTGAAGTGAGGGCAATCTTGTGAGGAACCATGCTCTTAACCTATGAAGTCTGTGATAACTCTGGGTAGTTAGCATCAGAATTACATTGTAAGCAATCACCCAAAATGTGTCAGGCAATGAATCCAGACAGTTATACATAACAGCCATGATTCCTGACAATATGGGGCTTACAACATAGAAGAGAAACAAGTAAACAAACACGATTAGAAATTGTGGTGATTAAAGATATTAAGGAGTATAATACATTTTAAGAAACAATGTAACACATTCCAACATGAGGATATTAGTAGGAAATCATTTATCATCAACTAAATCTGACCACTGGAACAGTTGCTTGCCAGAGGCAAAATAGCCATTTATGAATCTATGAATGATTGGGATTCACATCTTGGGAGCTGCAAAGGTATCTGAGGAGCTGCTGAATTGTACAAAATGAAGCAGTTTCCAGGGGTTTCTTTGGTCTGAAAATAGATGAGTGCTAAAAATGCAAAGATACTTGTAATCTCCTAATCAAAACCAACAACACCTCTTAGTAGTTGTTTTCATTATTTCCCCCCACTAACAATCTGTAGTAAGAAACTTTTGGTTCCTTCACCTAACAGGAACTTAGCAGTAACCAAATGAAATGCCAGACAGGTTTTTGAATTCGGACCTCTCTAGACATAGAATTTAGAATACCTATGGTAAATCATCTGTGTTACGTTCTTTTCTGCTAGTTAATTTGCTGGTTTACTGAAATTAGCAAACAGGGCAAGATATGTACCACTTAACAAGTGAAAGCCAAGGGGAAAAAACATTACCATGCATGCCGTGCTCCAAATGTCAGCAGGGGTATTATAGCCAGATCCGATTAGAACTTCCAAGGAACGATATTGCCTTGTTTGAATATCTTCAGTGAAATGTTTGTGCTGAGAAAATGAAGGAAACAATATTTTAAACTTCATTCTAAAAAGTAACAAGTCAATACTGCTTAATAATGGAGATGAAAATAAACTCTCTGAAGTTTTTCCCAAACCAAAGTTCTCACTTTGCTTATTTCTTAAACAGCATTTTTATGTTATTAGCTCCAACAATCCTTTGCCTTACACACAGCTACTCCAAATTATTTTTACAAACAAATGAGCCTAAACTTAATATACACAGGTCTAGGAAACAACAACAGCTTTTTTCTTTTTAAAAATTGTTTTAGTAAAGATGGGGTCTCGCTATGTTACCCATGCTGGACTCAAACTCCTGGGCTCAAGTGATCCACCCACCTTGGCCTCCCAAAGTGCTGGGATTACAGGCGTGAGCTACCACACCAAGGAATCCAAACTCTTTAACCTTGCAATTTACTATACTTGTCTTTAATAAGTATCTTTCTGTGCCTTTATTGGGATGTTGATGTTCTACCTAGAGTATTTTTTGCTCTTTTGGTCAAATTTCATCTAGTACCCTTTGAAGCCCTGGTGTATACTAGTTTTCTACCTGAAGTTTTCTCTGAGTAATTTCCTCTTTTCACAAATACTGTTCCCTGTTTTTAAATTTCAATAGGATTAGAGAATTGTCTTCCACACTTTCCTATCACATTTGAATATTTGAATTTTGTTTCCTGTATATGACTCATACTAAGCTTCTTTTTGTCCTTCATTATTCATTTATTTTTTATCATGGAAAATTTCAAATATATACAAAAGTAGAAAGAATCATGAACCCCATGCCATTTATTATACTAGTGTCACCTAGCAATTACCACTCATTGCCAGTCTATTTTCAACTGTATCCCAACCCTGCCACCACACCTACACCAGATTTTGAAGTACATACTAGACATTTTCTTTTCATTCATAAATATGGCTTTCTGAAAGATCATTCTTTTTAACTGTGACACTTTGTCACCTAAAAAAAAAAAATTAAGATGCAAAACCAAAGAATCAGAGTTTCAATGTTGAAAGTGCACATCAAATTTTTAGTATAAGAGGTGAAAACAGGCTGAGTGAGGCATATCACTATGAAATTATCTTACAGACTTCCACTGGGGGAAAAGTTTCATATAAAGATCAAGAATCAGAATGGCATCGGTCTTTAGTACCATCAAAACTGGAAACTATAAAACAATGGAGCAACGACATTCTGAAAGAAAATGTTTTCTAACCTAGAATTCTCTACAAAGCCAACTGAGAGTGAAAGCAGAATAAAGACTATCAGATGTGCAAATCCCACCCTTCCCCCACCCAATCTCATACCCTTTCTCAGGAAACTATTGCTTGTTGCATGTACTCTACAAAAAAGATGACATAAACCAAGAAAGATAGGAGACACGGAAAACAGGGGACATATATATAGAGAAAACAATAAATCTCCAGGATGATGGTGAAGGGAAATCCCAAATGACGTAATGTAGCAGACCTATAGGGCAACCCAATCAGATCAATACAGATTAGAAGACTCCAGGTTCTAGGACACAGCGCTTTAGAAAGATAATAGTAGAAAGAACACTCAATGTATCTGTACATATTAAAGTGTATTTACAACACTGGGTAAAAGTATGGGATTGAATTAAGTGATCAACAGTACAAAGAAAACTAAGCAAGTGAAACATGTTATGTAGAAAGGAAAAGGAACCATAATATATGCTCAGTTCAGCTGAGGATAGCCTTAGAGTCTCAATGATATAAACATGGTATGATCATGTAGCCAAAAATTAGATTACATTGGGGAAATGAGGAATTCGTGCTGTGGTGCTAGATAAGCCCCATTTTCCGGGAGGAAAAAAATAATATGTAACACTGAAAACAAAATTGGATTAATATAACCTGTTATTTATTAGTGATATAAAGGTAAATACTGTTAAGGGGAGTGAAAAACTGGTGAAAGAAGTAGGCAGATTTTTAAATAAAAGCTTATATAACTGTCTCCCCCACTGTGTACACGCATGATTGATAAGCAAAAAAAGAAAAAAGAATAAAAAGCTTAGTACAGTGGTCCATCAGTGTACTTCAGGGATTAGTTTCAGAATCCCCCGAGTATAAAATCTGTGCATACTCAAGTTTCACAGTTGGCCCAGAACTCAAATATACAAAAAGCCAGCCCTTCATATATGTGCATTTCACATCCCTTGAATATTGTTTTCGATCCTTGTTTGGTTAAAAAAATCTGTGCATAAGTGGACTTGTGTAGTTCAAACCTATGTTGTTCAAAAGTTGACTGTATGTTTAATAATACAGCTCGTTAAAAATTATGTAAAATTCCATTACTGAATGCCAGATGCTGATGTGCTGAAGAGATCAAGAAGTGAGATCCAATCTGAATTCAATGGGGTGCAACACACATGTATTGTTCACCGCTGTGTCCTAATGCCTACATCAGAGTATGTGCCAGCATGTTTGCTGAATGAGTGAATGGCTGAAAAGAACGTAGTCTTTTTTTTTTTTTTTGAGATGGAGTCTCGCTCTGTCACCCAGGCTGGAGTGCAGTGGTGCGATCTTGGCTCACTGCAAGCTCTGCCTCCTGGGTTCACGTCATTCTCCTGCCTCTGCCTCCCAAGTAGCTGGGACTACAGGTGCCTGCCACAACGCCTGGCTAATATTTTTTTTTTGTATTTTTAGTAGAGACGGGGTTTCACTGTGTTAGCTAGGATGGTCTTGATCTCCTGACCTCGTGATCCGCCTGCCTCGGCCTCCCAAAGTGCTGGGATTACAGGGGCGAGCCAAGAACGCAGTCATTTTAAATGCAGAGACACTGCTATGGTTTGAATGTTTGTCCCCTTTGAAACTAATATTGAAACTTAATGTCCAATGTTAACAGTACTAAGAGGTGAGACCTTTTAGCCTTTAAGAGGTGACTGGGTCATGAGGGGGTCTGCCTTCATGAATGGATTAATGGGTTATCACAGGGTGTGAATGAATTAACAGAGTAGGCTTGTTATAAAAGTTGAAGAGAGATTAATTCTGTTGTGATGTAAGTAACAGAAGACTCCACCGGAATAAAGTGTGCCACATAGGTAAGAAAACACACATGAAGGTGTTCCAAACATAAAGGCACCAGAGCCTGAAACATGGTGTGGGCAGGAAATTGGCAAGCATTTGATGTTTGTACGGTGTGATACTTGTTACAGAGTCAATACGTTTCTCCACAATTTACTTGCTAAAATATTTATTGAGTACCTACTCTGTACCAGGCACTGTTCTAAGTACTAAATATAGATACAGTGGTAAACCAGAAAAACTTTGTTGTGATATGATGTACATTCTAGTGAGAGGCTTATTAAGCAAATAAACATATAATATTAGATTGTGTTAAGTGTTGTGGAGAAAAAAAAAGTTACAGGGAGAAAGGAAGAGTGAGCAAATACCTGAGTGAATATGATAAAGGTATAAGTGTTTGGAGAGTGGCGGTTTGCTAATTACATTAGGTGTTCAGGGGAAGAGCTCCCTGATAAGTGACATCTGGGTAAGAACTTAAAGAAATTGAAGGAGTTGTACGTGAAGAGGATTCCAAGCAGAAGGAAGAGTAAGCTCTCTTTGCTTGGTGGTGTGTGGGCCATGGTAAGGACTTTGGTATTCATTCTGAAGGGAGCCACTGCAACGTTTAGCGAATATATGACTTGACTTACATTTAAAATGGCTGACTAGACACAGGTAGTATGTGCCTCATCCACAGAAAGGAACCAGAACAGTCAGAAGATACCCACATTTTGAACAGATTGTCCAGGAAGGAATGCTAAGATTCACCAGAGAAGTGATAGGAAGCACCAGAAGGAAAGGGTCTGAGGAAGCTGGCATGGGCATACAGTAAGAGAGAAATCCCCAGCATCCCACATTCTGAAAATGGGTTTTATGATCTTGGTTATGGGAGAAACCCTGAACCAACTAGGGCCTCGGGCCTGACATGCAGAACTGCCTAAAGATTGGACAGATGTTGCTCCAAACAGGGAACCCACAGAGAATCCCACAGGCATCTGAGTCTAAGCGGCTTCAGCTGGGTGCCATTTTGACAGCCTTGATACCAGGGATCTGAAGATGCAGCTGCTGTCACTCCACTGCTCTGAGGAGGAAGAGGGGAGGCTAGGCACTCTCATGCACTCCTGGGAGGGTCCCTATCACCCTGCCATGGGCTGCCGGTGAGACCAAGATGTGAGTGGACCACATTCCCCACAGCTTCTTCCCCATGCTGCTGGCCTAAGAGGGACCCTCCCCGCTCTGGTCCCAGGCATAAAGTGCTATTTTGAGAGGTTAATGCTAGGTTGCGCCTTGCCCTTTCGGGCTGACGTGGCTGCAGCTGCCACTTGGCTGAGGAGGGACAGGAAAACCAGGCTCTCCTATGCATACCTAAGACAACAGGCTTTTTTGAGACTGAGACTTGAGTGTACTGTAACTCCCCACAGTTTCTTGCCCATGCTGTTCATTTGAGAGGGAACCTACCCTCTCAGTCACAGGCCAACAGCTGGCACCATTTTGAGAGTTTAAAGCTGGGCTATGCGCTTGCCCTTGGGCGACACGGCTGCAACTGCCACCCAGCTGGGAGAGGAACAGCAGAGACCAAGCTTCTCTAAGCACACTTAGGAAAATACCCACTGCCCTGCTATCGGTGGCTGTAAAACTAGGGACTAGCCCCCTCCGACCCATCACAGCTAACAACAACAACAACAACAACAACAACACAGACTGCTTGCTTGGGTCCCAGCGGGTTGCTCCACCACTCTAACTGCCATCCCCCACATTATACCAGCTGCCCAGGGGCCTGAGAACCTGCCCATATACCCAGTCAGAGACCCAAGAATCACACCTCCAGGACCCACTAACACTGGAATCAACGCTCTGGGGCCTAAAAACAGGAACACTCAGCCCACTAATGCCACCATCAGGGTCCAAAGACTGGCTCAGCTGGCATCCAAGTCCCCAGCAAAACCTCACCACAACCTAAACTGTACCCTAAGCCACAGAGGAAATTGCAGATACCCCTGACCCTGTGTACTGCCAAAAAAGTTATACAAAAACCATACTACCAGAGGTACCCAAAATCAAAATCAAAAAGTATCTTACTTAACCAACAACATATATACAACTTCAGAAAAATATTCTCCCCTACAAAAGCAATTTCAAAAAAATTGGAACAAGTGACTACTGCAACAAATGTGCAGATATCAACGGAAGGACACAGAAAACATAAATAAACAAGTAAATATGACAGCACCAAAGGACCACAACAATTGTCCAGCAACAGATCCCAATAAAAAAGAATTCCTTGAAATGCCAAATAAATCAAAATACTGATTTTAAAGAAGCTCAATAAGATGCAAGAGAAATCTGACAATCAATACTAGGAAATCAGAAAATCCATTCAAGAGATGAATGAGAAATTTACCAAGGTGACAGATATCTTAAAACAACAACAACAACAACAACAAACCCCAGAAATTCTAGAACTAAAAAATTCACTGAAGCAGGGCACAGTTGCTCACATCTGTAATCCTAGCACTTTTGGAGGCTAAGGTGCTTGAGCCCAGGAGTTTAAGACAAGCCTGGGCAACATAGTGAGACCTTGTCTCTACTAAAAAAAATTAGCTGGGTGTGTTGGCATGCACCTGGGGTCCCAGCTACTCAGGAGGCTGAGCCAGGAGGATCGCTTGAGCCCAGGAGATTGAAGCTGCAGTGAGTTGTGATCATACCACTGCATTCCAGCCTGGGTGACAGAGTGAGACAATGTTTCAAATAAATTAATAAATTAAATAAAAAATTTATTCTAGGAAATACAAAATACATTTGAAAGCCTCAATAATAGACTGGAACAAGTAGAAGAATCTGAGAACTTGAAGACAGGTCCTCTGAAATATTCTAGTCAGATAAATATAAGGAAATAAAAAAAATTAGCTGAGCCTGGTGGTGCGTGCCTGTAGTCTCAGTTACTCAGGAGGCTGGGGCAGGAGGACTGCTTGAGCCCAGGAGTTAAAGGTTGCAACAAGCCATGATGACACCACCTCATTTCTACCTGGGCAACAGAGACCCTGTTTCTTAAAAAAAAAAAAAAAATTAATTAATTAATTAAATGAATGAATAAATAATTTTTTTTTCAGTTTAGAAAACCTCTTTAAGAAAATAGTAGATAAAAATTTCCCAAGTCTAACAAGAGAGTTAAGGCATCCAGATACAGGAGGCCCACTGATCCCCAGGCAAATACATGGGGAGGGGGAGGTGGAGGGGGAGGGGAGACTTTCCCACACAAAACAAAAGCTGAGGGATTTCAAAAAAAAGCTGAGGGATTTTATCAACACCAGACCTATCCTTACAAGAAATCTTAAAGAAGAGAGAAAATCTTTCTTCAATCAGAAAGAAAAACTCATTAATGAGCAATAAGTAATCATGTGAAGGTACAAAACTCACCAGTAACAGTAAGTATACAGAAAAACACAGAATATTATAACACCGTTAATTGTAGTGTGTAAACTACTCTTACCCTAAGTAGAAAGATCAACCAATCAAAAATAACTACAACAACTTTTCAAGATATAGACAGTCAAAAATGCTGCTGGGAAAACTGGATACCCATATGCAGAAAAATGAAACTCAATCCCTATCTCTCGTAATACATAAAAATCAAATCAAAATAGATTAAAGACTGAAATCTAAGATCTCAAACTTTGAAACTACTACAAGAAAACATGTGGGAAAATCTCCAGGACACTGGTCTGGGCAAAAATTTTCTTGAGCAATACCTCACGAGCACAGGCAACCAAAACAAAAATGGACAAATGGGATCACATGAAGTTAAACAGCTTCTGCACAGCAAAGAAAACAATCAACAAAGTGAAGAGACAACCCACAGAATGGGAGAAAATATTTGCAAATTACCCATCTGATAGGGGATTAATAACCAGAATATATAAGGAGCTCAAGCAACTCTATAGGAAAAAAAAAAAATCTAATAATCTGATCAAAAAATGGGCCAAAGATTTGAATAGACATTTCTCAAAAGAAGACATACAAATGGCAAAGAGGCATATGAAAAGGTGCTCAACATCACTGACCATCAGAGAAAGGCAAATCAAAGCTACAAGAGCATCTCACCCCAGTTAAAATGGCTTACGTCCAAAAGATAGGCAGTAACAAATGCTGGCAAGGATGTGGAGAAAAGGGAACCCTCCTGCACTGATGATAGGAATATAAACTGGTTACAACCACCATGGAGAACAGTTTGGAGGTCCCTCAGAAAACTAGAGCTACCATATTATCCAGCAATCCCACTGCTGCGTATATAATCAAACGAAAGGAAATCTGTATATAAAAAAGATGTCTGCACTCCGATGTTTGTTGTAGCACTATTCACAATATTTAAGATTTGGAAGCAACCTAAGTGTCCATCAACAGATGAATTAAAAAAATGTGGTGCATATACACAATAAAGTGCTATTCAGCCATAAAAAAGAATGGGATCCTGTCATTTACAACATGGATGGAACTGGAGATCATTATGTTAGATGAGATAAGCCAGGCACAGAAAGACAAATTTCACATGTTCTCATTTATTTGTGGGAGCTAAAAATCAAAACAATAGAACTCAAGGACACAGAGAGTAGAAGGATGGTTACCAGAGGCTGGGAAGGGTAGCATGGGAGAAGTGGGGAGATAAGGATGATTAATGGGTATAAAAAAATTACTTACAAATAATAAGATCTACTCTTTCATAGCACAACAGGGTGACTATAGTGAATAATAATTATATATTTAAAAATAACTAGAAGAATATAATTGGATTGTCGTAACACAAAGGATAAATGCTTGAAGGGATGGATACCCTATTTTACTCCATGATGTGATTATTTCACATTGCATGCCTGTATCAAAACATCTCAGATACCCCACGAATACATACACCTACTATGTACCCATTAAAAATTAAAAATTAAAAAAAATTTTAAAACAATCACACTATCCAAAGCAATCTACAGGTTCAATGCAATTCTTTTCAAAATACTAATGTCATTTTTTCACAGAATTACAAAAAACAATTCTAAAATTCATATGGAATAAAAAAAGAACCTAAATAGCCAAAAGAATCCTAAGCAAAAAGAAAAAAGCTAGAGGCATTACACTGTCTGACCTAAAACTATACAAGGTTACAGCAACCAAAACAGCATGTATTAGTATTAAAATAGATACACAGATCAATGGAACAGAATAGAGAACCTAGAAATAAAGCCATATACTTAACAGCAAACTGATCTTTGAAAAGTCAACAAGCACATTCACTGGGAAAAAGACATCCTTTTCAATAAATGGTTCTAGGAAAACTGGACTGCCATATGCAGACGAATAAAAGATCCCTATCACTCACTGTATACAAAAATCAACCCAAGACCAATTAAAGACATGAATATAAGACCTGAAACTCATGACTAAGACCTCAGGCAACAAAAATAAAAATAGACAAATGGGACTTAAACAAAAAAGCTTCTGCACAGCAAAAGAAATAATCAAGAGTCAACAGGCAACCTACAAAATGGGAGAAAAAAATCTGCAAACTATATGACCCAACAGGGGACTAACATCTAGAATTTACAAGAAACTCAACTCAATTAAAAAAAAAACCAAATAATCCCATTAAAAGGTAGACTAAGGACACGAATAGGGATTTTTCAAAAGAAGACAAATGGCCAACAAATAAATGAAAAAATGTCCACTATCACTAACCAGCAGAGAAATACAAATTAAAACCACAATGAGGTATCTTTCACCAATCAGAGTGGCTATTACTAAAAATACAAAAAATAATAACATGTTGGAGAGGATGTGGAGAAAAGGGACTTCTTACACACTCTTGGTGGGAATGAAAATCAGCACCATCTCTATAGAAAATAGTATGAATGGCCGGGCGCGGTGGCTCATGCCTCTAATCCCAGCACTTTGGGAGGCCGAGGTAGGCAGATCACAAGGTCAGGAGATCGAGACCATCCTGGCCAACATGGTGAAACCCCGTCTCTACTAAAAATACAAAAAATTAGCCGGCTGTGGCGGCACGTGCCTGTAGTCCCAGCTACGCGGGAAGGGTGAGGCAGGAGAATTGCTTGAACCTGGGAGGCAGAGGCTGCAGTGAGCAGAGATCGCACCACTGCACTCCAGCCTGGGCAATAGAGCGAGACTCCATTTAAAAAAAAAGAAAAAGAAAGAAGGAAAATAGTATGAAAATTTCTCAAAGAACTAAAAATAAAACTACCACATGATCTAGCAGTACCACTGCTGGGTATCTGCACAAAGGAAAATAAATCATATCAAAAATATACCTATACTTGTATGTTTATCACAGCACTATTCATAATTACAACTACGGAATCAACCCAAGTGTCTAGGAGTAGATAAAGAAAATGTGGTATGGAATGAACACAATACTATTCAGCCATAAAAAAGAATGAAATCATGTGTTTTGCAGCAACATGGATGGAACTGGATGCCATTATCTTAATTGAAACAACTCAAAGAAAGGTAAATACCACATGTTCTCACTTATAAGTGGGAGCTGCATAATGTGTACACATGGAGGTATAGTGTGGAATGATCGACAATGAAGACTCAGAGGGTGGGGTGAAAGGGTGGATGAAGGGATGTTACTTGGTGGTTACAATGTGCACTGTTCCAGTGATGGATCCATTGAAGGCCCTGACTTCACCACAATGCAATATATCAACCTAGCAAAACTGCACTTATACCTCATGAACATATACAAATTAAAAAAAAAAGTATCACTCTGATAGATGTGTTGCCAATAGTCTACGGGGAGCAAGGGCAGCAGAAGGGAGAAAGTGAAGAAGCTATTGCAGTCACTACTGAAGTCATCCAGGGTGACCTGGACCAGATGATAGCGTAGTGGAGTAATTCTAATTACTTGGAAAGCTGCTCCACATTCTTATTAGTCAGTGCTAAGCTGGCTTTGTTTTTTCTAAAAGGTTATCACAATATTCTACAATCAATATGGGAAGTAAGATCCTTCTGAGGTCTGAACCATGTCCCATTTAAAAGCATATGGCTCTTTGAGTACTGTCATTTATGTGTGAATCATTCTATTATAAATTTTAAAAAGATGTCCATTAAAAATAACCTTGGTCAGGTATGGTGGCTCATGCCTGTAGTCCCAACACTTTGGGAGGCCGAGACGGGCAGATCACTTGAGGTCCGGAGTTTGAGGCTGGCCTGGCCAACATGGTGAAACCCCTCCTCTACTAAAAATACAAAAATTAGCCAGGGCATGCTGGCGCACGCCTGTAATCACAGCTACTTGGGAGGCTGAGGCAGGAGAATCACCTGAATCCGGGAGGCAGAGGTTCCAGTGAGCTGAGATTGAGTTACTGCACTCCAGCCTGGGTGACAGAGCAAGACTCCGTCTCAAACAAAAAAACCTTAAAACACTTTATTAGATACACAGTAAAAAACAACAGTATAAATAATTCGCCAATTAAAATGAGATTCCACTATTTAGCCTGAAGATCATACAAGAAAATACTTTTCTGAGTTGTTAAAGGTAGAATAACTGATGTATCTTTTCTTTTCTTTTTTTTTGAGATGGGAGTTTCACTCTTGCTGCCCAGGCTGGAGTGCAATGGCGTGATCTTGGCTCGCCGAAACCTCTGCCTGCCAGGTTCAAGTGATTCTCCTGCCTCAGCCTCCCAAGTAGCTGGTATTACAGGCATGCGCCAACACGCCTGGCTAATTTTTTTGTATTTTTAGTAGAGACGGGATTTCTCCATGTGGTCAGGCTGGTCTCGAACTCCTGACCTCAGGTGATCTCATGTGATCCGCCAGCCTCCGCCTCCCAAAGTGCTGGGATTACAGGCATGAGCCACCGTGCCTGGCTAACTGAAGTATCCTTTCTAGAGTGTAATATGACACTATACATCAAAAAACATATAATTATTTCTAATTACATGTCATTACGAATAACTAAAAATAAGTTAAATGACACTATACATCATAAAGCCCTTTTAAAAATCACAGAACTTCTGACTTAGCAATTCTATGTCTAGGACATGTCCTAAGAAAAACTATACAAAGATTTGCGTGCAGAGTCTCATCACAAAGAGCTGTCAAAAATATGTAGATTAAAGTGTACTAGGGAAACAATGTAATGAACTGAATTGTATTTAAATTTCTGGCTGACAAAGCAAAGTGTCCAAAATATGTTAAGTGAATTAAAAGGAGGTTACAATTTATAAGTTAGTCATCAATTTTGAAAATGGGAGTAGGGGAGTATGAACATAGGCACTGAGTGTCTGAAAGTTAATAATGATATATATATTAAAAACAAGATTGGCCAGGAGTTGACATTACTGAATCTGGGTGATGGGTATCTGGAGTGGGGTGGGGTAACAGAAGGACTTTTCATGATCACGATTACCATTCTACTTTCGTAAGTATATTTAAACTTTTCCATAGTAAAAGGTTTTTTTAAATGTAAAAAAATATTCACTGAAGTGTTGTATCAATCTGGGTACAGAATTATGGATGTTTTGCATAACTAAGTCCAAATTCTCATTCATCCTCCCAGTCACTTCAAAACACCATTAAGGCAAGTTTAACTTACCACCCAACAAGCATTTCCAAGGTCAGCAATCTTCACCTTGAGCTTTTCTGCATTTTTTGGCTCAAGGGGATTAACAAGAAAATTTCCAGCCGTGGATTTTCCTACAGACAACAGGCATCATCAATAAGACTGTTCAATGAACAGAGAAATACTCAATGAGTAATAAAGCTCTCCAAGGTAAGAGTAATACAGTCAGCAATACCCAAGTGACAACTTACATTTTCTGAGACAAAAAGAGCACAGCAACGCCTTGAGTTTCCAGAATTAAAAACCTCTGCCCTCACAGCAACAAATGAAGTGCTGTGTACTCAGTACATGATGGATAAAGTTAGCTACAGATTACAATTTAAACGTAACTTAGACACACCTGTTGTAAAGCTATAGTTACAAAAACAATCATACTTTTAGTCTAGAAATCTGTGAATGTGTTGTGCAGGGAAGGAGTGTTGAGGAAGTATAGCTGCATAGGTACCTTTGTTGTCCAGTGGTCCGTTATGTTCTTGCTCTTGTTCATCTTCACAGGGTATCTCTGCCCGAATGCTTTCTTGAAGTTGGCTAATGTGTTGTTCACTGAATGACTGACCTACAGTTGAGGAAGACTGGCACACCATGGTGTCTGACACCTCAGATGTTATAGGTGTACAAGAGTCTGTTTCTTGAGATGTGCTGCTGTCTCCATTTTGGGAGCTTAGGAAACTAGATTCCTGATTCAAATTTTGGACATCACAGTCATTAGCATTATGTAGATCCTCTTTATGTCTCAATGTTTCATTATTACTGTTCTGAGTATAATTAATGACTTCAATCACTCCATTGCAATTAATTTCTGCTGCACCACCCTCTGTATCACGTTCCATAAGCGTTTGATCCTGGCCAATGGTACTTGACTCTTCTAAGGAACAAACGAACAAAAAAAGATATATGCATATGTGTGTGAGTGAAAGAACAGAAACATTTCTCACAAGATTAAAACATTTTCTAGAACTTATACTGAGTGACATAAAAACATGACTAAACATCTAAAACCTATTTCCGGAAGGGCCAAGATCTTACTTTTACCCAATTGTTAAATGAAATCTATGTTCCATTTCCTGAGAAAAGTTACAAATTACATTTAAATATTACCTGCCTAACATTTATGACAAGATCCATATTCTTATAAAGATACCCCCAGAGATGTGTTGTATGTATGAAACCACTGTATTATATAGCAATGATAAATTAACGTTAAAGTGTGTTGTACAGTAATTTTCGTGATGTTCTATTTATACCAAGTTTTTCTTGGGTCATTTTATTAGGTGGGTTCTCTTTCAAGGGTCTTTCAACAGGACTCTCTGATTCTTCTTGCTTGTTTGGTCTTTTTTGCCCAGGGCCCGACTCTTTCTCCATTTCCTCAATTTCCTGCATTCGCTTCTCTAGTAATTCTGCCTGGCGCTTCTGCTTCTTCTTCAATTTCTTCTTCTTATTCTTTGACATTTTGTCAGCCTGGGCGGAGATTACAAACAGATAAAGCCTTCAGGTGGCTAATTAATTACCCCCAGTTGGAGATAGTTGTTAACTTTAATTACTTCCTAATTAAATTTCACAAATCTTTCCCTAACATAGCACTTAAGTCTTTCATTAAATTAAAAGATGCGGGATACTCTTATAAACCCAAATAAAAACAGAATAAATAACAAAGTGTGGTCTTCTGAGCAGTCCGTGGGGTTGGTTTACATTCAGACAAACTCGAATTTTTTAGAGGCCTCACCAGTACAAATGTGATGAAGGTGCATGGGAATTTACTGGAGAAAATTATAGAAGCGCAGGAATTTTTTTTCCTTTTGGTTCTCAAACTTGAAACAAACTGTTACCATCCACAACAGAAGAACCCATGCCCATAGTCCATAGATCAAAATTAAATATAAAAACACCTTATACTTACTGGTTTAGGCTGGGGAGCAGTACTGACTGAAAAGAAAAGAAAACCAAGTAAGAATTCTGGCATTCATCAGGCAATATAAACTAAGGCTCAGATAAAACACTCTACCAGAATGAAAAGTCTTTCTTATGTAGTCTACATTGCAGAGAAAACTATTGTTTTTAAATGACTTAAGTAGAAGCTATATTATTACCATTTTTAAAGAAAATAATGAATAGAAATTGCCAAACTTAAAAAAAAGGGATAAATAAAATTCTTCCTCCCCAGGTAAACTAAAGTTGCTAAAAATCACCTATTTTCCATTCCCATGCACTGCTTAAAATAGAATGGGACAAGCAACAACCTCTTCACCTCAAATGCTACCCAGAATCTGTCAGTTTTAAAAGGGGAGTCTAGGTGACATCAAGAGCTATAGTAATTTGCTCTACAGCATGTCATGGATAACAGTGTAGCTTAGCTGGAAGGTAGGATCTTCAGTCTTCCTCTTTTTAAAATATTAGTATAATAACTGTGGTTAACAAAAAACACATAATAAAAATTTATACTCTAGATAAGTGTACATTCAGTGGTTTTAACACTATTCACACTGTTGTATAACAGGATCTGTAGAATGTTTTCATCTTGTAAAACAGAAACTACATCCATTTAACAACCAACTCCCCATTTCCCCCTTCTTTAGTCTTCCTTTTTAAAGAAGTGTATAACTAATAACTCAACTTGAGGATCAAGCAAGTTCCTAAAAAATGACACACTACTAAAACTAAAATCTGTATCTCAAAAGAAAAAAAATCATAAAGCAGCCTTTATTTATTTATTTAATTTTATGTCTTAGACAGGGTCTCACTTTGTTGCCTATGCTCGAGTGCAGTGGTACTATCACAACTCGTGGCAGCCTTGACTTCCTAGGCTCAAGCAATCATCCTGCCCCAGCCTCCTGAGTAAATGGACTACAGGCACGCATCACTATGCCTGGCTAATTTTTTTAATTTTTGTAGAGACAGGGTCTTACTGTGTTGCCTAGGCTGGTCTCAAACTTCTGGGCCCAAATCATCCACCCACCTCAACCTCCCAAAGTGTTGCGTTACAGGCATGAGCCACTGTGCCTGGTCCCGCAATTTATTTGGTATATAATATTGTGTGGCACACTACTAACTGCTTTACCATTTAATCCCAATAATTCGCAGTTGAGGGAAAATAAAGTAAAATAACTCAGCTAAGGTTTCTCAGTCTAGGATGAAGCCCAAATTCAAACCAAGTCTGTCTACTCCAGTGTTTAAACCTAAACTATTAATAGCAATGTTATCTTGTCCCTCTACAGACTACCAGTCCTATAAATGAGCATGTGTGATCACAGTTAGAGGTAAACACTTCAAAAATCATCAACTCATAAGAAAAAATATTTTTAAACAATACACACCAGCTTTTATAACATACAACACAAAGACACAATATCTAGTTTTCTCCTTCCCCTATGGAAGTAACAGTGAGAATGTCTCTTGGAAGCTGATAATGTTTCTTAAATATGTTATTGTTGAAATGGATTGAGTGGTGTTTAATTCCCTGGTAACAGAATAAAAATAGAAATTTCTTTTTAACTTCTAATGATAGCGAAGTCCCTAAAAGAAAATACACCTGCAGATCCGGAAGGCGGAGGAGCTCCAGATCGCTGCCATTCTGTTGCTTCTGCAGCCAGCCTCCGAATGTACTGCTCATTCACTGACAATAAGATGTTCTCTGGTTTAATGTCAGTGTGGATGATACGGCACTTGGTATGTAAATAATCAAGACCCTGTAACACCTGAATGGAAATAGAGTGGCAGACTTGCAAACACAAAATACAGGCTTTCTGGAGAAGTAAGAGATTATAACATGACATTAAAAAAAAAAAAAAGATATGATAGCGTTTTCTATAGAGAATAAAAGCACCTTTTAAAAAAGCACAAATAAACTTTCTCAGAAAGATTAAACTATGAAAAAGGCAAGAAATTATTTACAATAAAAAATTCTTCAATGTTTTACAAAGCTGATTCTATTTGGAGATATTCTTCAACTATGTACAATGCAAAGACTGAGAATAAACTTCAACACACACACACCCTCTAAGTGTTGTAATGTAGGTGCTGACAGACATTTAGATATCTTTAATTCAAATTTCCTCACTGAGGAAGAATTGAGGTCTCTTGCTGCCCAGTTTGGAGCTCTTTCCAGGACATATAATCCAAACAAATTTTTGCACCTTGAAGTATTAATATTTTCCTGATGGTAAAATCTATACTGTATATTGAAGGCTCTTTAGAAAATTAGAAAATGCCTATGAATCATGCTGTATAAAGAGATGGCAATAATCTGACATAGCAATTATCTATTCATGTAAAATTACTATTTGCAACCAGAACTTCTGGATAAGGGCTCCAATGTTCCCAAGTCAGGAACCTCAGCTTCCCTTTCTAATTATTATAGGAGGCAAACCTGGGGGAAAATGGTTATGCTAAAACATTTAAAAAGAGAATAAGCACAATAAATTCTAAAGGTTGAATGAAATATTTAATTTTAGCAATTAACTTTTTTTTTTTTTTTGAGATGGAGTCTTGCTCTGTCGCCCAGGCTGGAGCGCGGTGGCGCGATCTCAGCTCACTGCAACCTCCGCCTCCCGGGTTCAAGCGATTCTCCTGCCTCAGCCTGCCGAGTAGCTGGGATTATAGGCGCTTACCACCACACCCGGCTAATTTTTGTATTTTTAGTAGAGACGGGGTTTCGCACTGTTGGCCAGGCTGGTCTCGAGCTCCTGACCTCAGGTGATCTGCCCGCCTCGGCCTCCCAAAGTGCTGGGATTACAGGCGTGAGCCACCGCGCCCAGCCAATAACTTACTTTTTAAAACAAAGAATTTTAAAACAAAAATTCTTTTTTTTTTTTGAGACGGAGTCTCGCTCTGTCGCCCAGGCTGGAGTGCAGTGGTGTGATCTCGGCTCACCGCAAGCTCCGCCTCCTGGGTTCACGCCATTCTCCTGCCTCAGCCTCCCGAGTAGCTTGGGACTACAGGTGCCTGCCAAGACACCCGGCTAACTTTTTGTATTTTGAGTAGAGAGGAGGTTTCACCATGTTAGCCAGGATGGTCTTGATCTCCTGACCTCGTGATCTGCCCGCCTCGGCCTCCCAAAGTGCTGGGATTACAGGAATGAGCCACCACACCCGGCCTTAAAACAAAAATTCTATTGGAAAAAATAAAGTCCTGACACTTCAAGAATATTAAAAAATCACTACATAGTCAAGACTAAGATACTTGCTGATTCAAGATACATACTTGCTGAATAATTTTTTTGACACAAGGCAGTGGAAGCCCCTGATAATTGGATTTGATGATCCACTTGAGCAGATGATGCCCCAAAACTTCAAATACCATGCAGATATCTAGGAATTCATTAAGGAGGGAAAAAACGGCACAAAAGAAGAACACGGCAAGACAAGCTGTGAATTCCACCCTATTAAATGTTATGTATTATTTTCTTTCAGTATAAAAAGTTACAGAGCTTGAATGAATAAATATGTAGCTGTTAATATTCTAAAATTTCAAAGTCTAATGCTATAGTCAATGAAAGCATTCATGAAACATTAAATTGTGGGCGGCTGGCTTCATCAATATTATTATGTACATTAAAATACTCAATGGTAAAAGAAAAAGTGAAACCTACATATGCAAATAGTGAAAGAAAGCAGTAGGCTCAAGCCTCAAGCTGTTGATTAGCTTCAGGTAAATTAGTTTCTTCCCTAATATCAAAATTGGTGTCCAGGGTAAAAATTCCCACTCTCACAGCTTCAAAGCAAGGAAAAACAAATTATTCCTTAACTATAGAAGAGATGAATGTACAAGAAAGACTTAAACCTCAAAAACGTAAATGCCAACATTTTTTTTTAAATAGGAAACTTGCTTAATGCTCTGTATTTTACAAAACTAATCTTGATTCCAGTGCCACCATGTGTTGTCCTTATGTATGAACAACCTGATGACACCACACAGCAGGAATACTCTGAGTCTAAAATTGTGCAGGGCACTACAGAGATTTTAGTAGTATCTTGATGTCTTCCACCCCCACTGGCTTCTACATGCAAGTTAAGACATACATATATAGTAATGGTCTAGTGCTCAGACTTTAACATTCTCCATTAAAGGAAAGCCTGAGCTCCTTGGAAAAATGGCCAAATCCAAGGTAGGAAAAATAACAGGGTAAACTTGGAACACCTTGCTGTTCTAACAAATAAAAGAACCTGTCAGGAAGAAACAGGAACCATCTTGAAAAGGATGTCACCAGCCAACATGGAGACTTCTTTTTTTTTTTTTTTTTTGAGACAGAGTCTTGGCTCTGTTGCCCAGGCTGGAGTGCAGTGGCACTATCTCAGCTCACTGCAACCTCTGCCTCTCGGCACTACAGGTGTGTACCACCACGCTGGGCTAATTTTTGTATTTTTAGTACAGATGGGGTTTCACCATATTGGCCAGGCTGGTCTTGAACTCCTGACCTCATAATCTACCTGCCTTGGCCTCCCAAAGTGCTGGGATTACAAGCGTGAGCCACTGCGCCCGGCCAGACCACTATAAAGGATAAAATTATGAGTTAATATATGAATTAAAAACAGAACAAGTCCACACTGATCTGAAAGTAAGTGTGGAGGCAGGAGGAAGAGAAACATCTTCTTTAGAGAAGAAAGCCAAATAATAAATACATAAGGGATTACAGAAATAGAAAATCACCATTTTTACAATCACTATAGTATACTATTACTGATTCAGGTAAGAATCAGTGAATACTAAAACAACTATGTGAAAGACTGTCGGGAAAAAGGATTGTCACAGTGTCAAAATATCATTCCACAGATTGCTTATTAATTACAAAAAGAACAAAGTACCTTTACAACTGGGAAATCTGGAAGGCACTGCCTTAACCAAGTGATCAAACTTACTACCACCAATGATAAGCACAAATTCACACCATGTGCCTTCTAATGCAATATACTAATATGCATTCGAATGCATATTCTAATGCAATAATCCATGTACTATGCTTGACAAACACGGTTAACCTGAATTTAATCATGAGGAAACAATCAAACAAATCCAAACTAAGGTGGCATAAAACAACTAGCCTGGATTCTTAAATTAAAAAAAAAAAAAAAAAAAAAAGGCAATGTCATAAATGTTCCAAACTACGTAAGATTAAAAGCACATGACAACCACAAACACAGATCAAAATTACAGTAAGATAGCATCTCAAACTAATAAATGACTAAAATAAAAAAACTAAACATCACCAAATGTAGGTGAGGTTGTGGAACAATTAGAACTCTTGTATTATGCTAGTAGAAGTCTAAAATGGTACAAGCACTTTGGAAAACTGCTTGGCAAATTCTTAAATATAAAACCTATGACAGGTCGGGCATGGTGGCTCATGCCTGTAATCCTAGCACTTTGGGAGGCCGAGACAGATAGATCCCTTGAGCCCAGGAGTTCAAGAAGACCAGCCTGGGCAACAAGGTGAAACCCTGTCTCTACAAGAAAAATCCAAAAATTAGCCAAGTGTGGTGGCGTGTGCCTGTAGTCCCAGCTACTTAGGAGGCTGAGGTGAGAGGATCACCTGAGCCCAGGAGGTCAAGGCTGCAGTGAGCAGAGATCATGCCACGGCACTCCAGCCTGAGTGACACAGTGACACCCCGTCACAAAAACAACAAACAAAAAACCCCAGCACCTATCAAGTTTTCTGCTTTAGCCAAGATGGAGTAACAGGCACTGGACTTATCTTATTGAAAAAACAATACTCAAACAGACCAAATACAAAAACAACAGAAGACTCTGGACATCAGACAACAAGTACAGTGATCCCTGAAAAAAGGAAACAAGAGCTGAACCCTGGGATTGCCCCATCTTATTGCCTTGAGGCTTTCCAGGTAGACTCCACAAGTTGAATCAATGGGAGCTGAGAGTCTGGAGAGACCAAGGCAGCTATAATTCACTGAAAAAGGTACCAGAGAGAGGGGAGAGCTGCAGAAAGAGAGAAATTTGGAGATTTGCAGAGGGGGCCCGCCCCTTCAAGGATTCAGCAAAGCACATGTGTGTGAGGAAACTAGCAGAGGCAGAGAAGAAAAAACATCTTAAAGGATTATAGAGAACAATGCCCAGCATTCGCATAGGGCTTGGAACAGTGCCTGTTCCCAGCAAAGAGACTAGAAAAATTTAGTCACAGGGTATTGGGTAGGATATATTTGGGAAGGTCTTGCCTCAGTAGAGGGAATGATTAGATCTGGACTGAGCAATGCTTTGGATCCATCTAACAAATCATAAAAGTAAAATCTAAAAGGATAAAACACTTTCCAAGTAACATCACACCATCCCAGAACAAGGCTCAAGAAGATTTATAGAAATACAAAACATCCAGCAGCCAACAAGGTAAAACTTACAATGTGATTACCAGGTAGTAAAACATATCCAAAATTAAAATAATCGATCATGTGAAACTGACTTAGAACCATCACAGATGTTAGAATTAGACAAGGACAATAAATGGTTATTATAGTTGTATTCCATATGTTCAAAAAATTAAGTAGAGACATGAAAAGTATTTTTTAGAAGACTGAAAATGGGCCGGGTGCAGTGGCTCATGGCTGTAATCCCAGCACTTTGGGAGGCCGAGGTGGGCGGATCACGAGGTCAGGAGTTTGAGACCAGCCTGACCAATATGGTGAAACTCCATCTCTACTAAAAATACAAAAAAACTAGCCAGGCATGGTGGCGCGTGCCTGTAGTCCCAGCTACTTAGGAGGCTAAGGCAGGAGAATCACTTGAACCCAGGAGGCGGAGGTTGCAGTGAGCAACCACTGCACCACTGCACTCCACTGCACTCCTGCACCACTGACTCCGTCTCAAAAAAAAAAAAAAGACTTGAAAATGAACTTCCAGAGACAAAAAGTGCAATGTGAGAGATCAAAACACACTGGATGGAACAAATGGCAGATTAGATTTTGTAGAATAAAAAGATTAGTGAATTTGATGGCACAGCAACAGAATTAGTCCAAAATAAAACAATTTGGAAAAATAATCCAAACAAACAAATCCACACATCCACAAAAGCAAGCTTTGGGGGCAACTCAAATAGTGACCTCCAAAAAGGGAAGACAGGAAGGAGGTGAAAGTATGTGCTTTTTGCAATGAATCAACAAATCATAAAGGTAAAGATTCACCCAGTAGCAAAGCATACCCCTAAGTGCTTAGATTCTGGATGTCATTTCCCACTGAATGGAATTAGGGCTTCTTAGAGAAAAACTGATTCTAGATTTAAGACAGGAAATTCACAAGGTGAGCCTGCAATATCTTGATGCCAGGTAATAAACTGCCAAAATGTCATACAGATCCTGACTCAAGTAAGAATCGTAAACTAGAGAAGAGTCTGAGAAGATGGTGGAGTAAGAAGCCACCAGAAATCTGTTTCCCCACCTAGACAACCAATGCATTGGCAGAATCTGTCTAATGTGATTCTTAAGAAACTCTGGAGTCTACTGAGGGCTCACAACTTCCCGAAGAAGAGGCTTGGATAATAATTATTGTAAATGTTGGTCAATTTCAGCTCTTAGCACAGTGGCAACCACCTATCCCCTAATCCTATAGCAAGCAGCCCTGCACACAGTTTGTTGGAGCCATGGTGGGCAAAAAGGATCCTGCCCCAAGTATCAGAGTCGGGTGGCCATTTTTGTAACCCCCCTCCATTGTTTTAAGCCCCTCTTCTGGCTCAAGTGATCTTGCAAAGATTTAAAGGGCCAGTGCCCTATTTCCTCTCCTTCAATTTCTTTCTTTTTCCCCTTTGGGAGCCAGACATTAAGACTAGGACATTTACGGCCAGGCACAGTAGCTCACACCTGTAATCCCAGCACTTTGGGAGGCCAAAGTGGGCAGATCACTTGAGGCCAGGAGTTCGAGACCAGCCTGGCAAACATGGTGAAACGCTGTCTCTATTAAAATTACGAAAATTAGCCAGGTGTGGTGGCATGCACCTGTAATCCCAGCTACATGGGAGGCTGAGGCAGGAGAATCACTTAAACCCAGGAGGCGGAGGTTGCACTGAGCTGAGACTGTGCCACTGCACTCTAGCCTGTGTGACAGAGACTCTTGTCTCTAAATAAATAAATAGACTAGGACATTCAAAAGCAACTGCATATAGAGGGAAAATCAGAAAGTGACTGCGCATGCCCAGGAAAAGATGCAGACTGAGCAAAGACCTTTCGTTTACATCTCAGGCTGATCCTTGGAAGAGAAAGACTACATAAGAAAAACAAATACAAAAACAAAACAGAGCCAGGTACAGCGGCTCATGCACGTAATCCCAGCACTTCGGGAGGCTGAGGCAGGATGACTGCTTGAGCCCAGGGGGTTGAGACCAGCCTGGGCAACATAGCAAGACCCCATCTCCACAAAAAATAAAAAATTAGCTGGGTGTGGTGGCATGCAACTGTAGTCTCAGCTATTTGAAAGGCTGAGGCAGGAGGACTACTTGATTCCAGGACATCAAGGCTGCAGTTTAAGTCATGACTGTGCCACTGTACTCCAGCCTTGGCAAGAGAGTGAGATCCTGTCTCAAAAAAATAAATAAATAACAAACCCCATCAAACCTTAGGGATATGGCCAAATCTAATTTCCAGAGTTACCATATTAGATTTAAATGTCCAGTTTTCAAAAGAAAATCACAAGGCATATGAAGAAATAGTTAAGTACAGCATATTCAAACGACAAAAATAAATCAACAGATACTGTCCCTGAAAAAGACTTGATGCAGACCTACTAGAAAAAGACTTTAAAACAAATGTCTTAAAGATGCTTAGGCCAGGTGTGGTGGCTCATTCCTGTAACCCTATCACTTTCAGAAGCCAAGGCAGGAGGACTGCTTGAACCCAGGAGTTCAAGACCAACCTGGGCCACACAGTGAGACTCCATCTCTACAAAATTTTAAAAATTAGCTGGGTGTGGTGGCATGCACCTGTAGTCTGGAGGCTTAGGCAGGAGAAGTACTTGAGTCTGGGTAGTCAAGGCTGATGTGAGCTGTGTTCGCACCACGGCACTCCAGCCTGGGTGGTGTGAAGACCTTGACAGAGCAAGACCTTGTCTCAGAAAAAAAAAAAAAAAAGCTCAAAGAACAAAAGGAAGATGTGGAGAAAGTCAAGAAAACAATATATAAACAAAACGGAGATATTAATGAGGATAAAAAAAAAACTAAAAAGAAACCAAAGGAATTCTGGTGCTGAAAAGTACAATAACCAAAATGAAAAAATTAACTAGAGGGATTCAAAGGCAGATTTGGGTAGGCAGAAGAAAGAATCAGCAAACCTGAAGTTAGGGTGATGGAAATTATCAAGTGTGAGGAATAGAAAGAAAAAAGATTGAAGAAAAGTGAAGAGGCTTAAGGGACCTGTGGGACATCATTGAGTAGACCAAATATACACTGTGGCAGTCCCAGAAGAAGAATAGAGGAGGAGGCTGGGCACGGTGGCTCACGCCTGTAATCCCAGCACTTTGGGAGGCCAAGGCAAGTGGATCACTTGAGGTCAGGAGTTCAAGACCAGCCTGGCCAACATGGTGAAATCCCATCTCTACTGATATACAAAAATTAGCTGCGTGTGGTGGTGTACACCTGTAATCCCACCTACTTGGGAGGCTGAGGCAGGAGAATGGCTTGAACCCGGGAGGCAGATTGCAGTGAGCGGAGATTGCACCACTGCACTCCAGCCTGGGTGACAGAGTGAGACTCCATCTCAAAAAAAAAAAAAAAGAAAAAAAAAAAAAAAGAAAAGAAAAGAAGAAGAAATGGCCAGACAGAATATTTGAAAAAAAAAACAACGGTTGAAAACGTCACAAATTAGATGAAAGACATGAATCCAAAAAGCTCAATGAGCATCAAGCAAGATGAACTCAAAGACACCCACATCAAGACACATTATAATCAAACTTTTGAAAGATTAAGAGGGAATCTTGAAAGCATCAAGAAGAGTGACTCTTCACATACAAGGGATCCTCACTAAGATTATCAGCAAGTTTCTCATCAAAAATTTTTGGAGGCCAGAAAGCAGTGGGCCAATATATTTGAAATACTAAAAGAAAAATAATGTCAACCAAGAATCCTATATTAAGAAAAACAGTATTTCAAAAGTGAGAGAAAAATTAAGACATCCCATGTAAACAGAAGCTGAACGAGTTCATTACCAGATGTGCCCTGGAAATGGTCAAGGGAGTCCTATAAGGTGAAATGAAAAGACACTAAACAATAACACAAAGCCAGGCATCCATATGAAGAAATAAAGATTATCAATGAAGGTAAATACTTGAGCAATTATAAAAGCTAATATTGTAATAATGGTTTATAACTCCTCTTTTTGTTTTCTACATGATTTAAAAAACCAATATGTCAAAAAATAATTAGTCTAAAAGCTAGTATGATTATAACTTTGGTTTGGTAGAATACACATATAGATATAGATATAGATATAGATATAGATATAGATATAGATATAGATATAGATCCAACTATATGCTGTCTACAAGAGACTCACTTTAGATCCAAAGACACAAACAGATTAAAGTGAAAGGCTGAAGAAAAGATTCCATGCAAATAGTAACCAAACGAAATCAGGGGTGGCTATACTAATATCAGACAAAATAGATTTTCAATCAGAAAAAGTTATAAGAGATAAAGAAGGACATTATCTATATTAATAAAAGGTTCAACATACCACCAAGAAGATATAACAATTATAGACATTTACATACTTATTAAAAGACCACCAAACTATATAAAACAAAAACTGACAGAATTAAAGGGAGAAATAGTTCTACAATAATAGTTGGAGATTTTAATGCCACACTCTCAATAATGTATAGAACAAGCAGACAGAAGATAAGCAAGGCAATAGAGGACTTAACACAATAAACCAATGAGATCTAATAGCCATTTAACAGGTATAGAGCTTCAGTTTTACAAGATGAAAAGTTATGAAGATGGATGATGGTAATGACTGCACAATTTTATGTTATGTGTATTTTACCACAATAAAGAAAAAATTAGACCAAAGAGGAAGAAGAACAAGAACAATAAGAACAACCAGTAGTAGCAGTAGTAGTAGTAGCAGTAGTAGTAGTAGCAATAGTAGTAGTAGTACTAGTAGTAGTAGTAGTAGTAGTAGTAGTAGTAGTAGTAGTAGTAGCAGCAGCAGCAGAAGAAGAAGAAGACAAAAAGAAAATAAAGCACAAGACATTTGGTGAGATTGAAACACTGACTAGAGAAACTTGTGACTAAGAAACTGGTCACAATTTTTTTTTTTTTGGTATAATAATTGCATTCAGGTTATCTTTTTATTTAACAAATCTTTTTGTCAGAGAATGCATCTTGTTGTGCCACCCACACTGGAGTACAGTGGCACTATCATAGCTCACTGCAGCCTCAAACTCCCAGGCTCGAGTGACCCTGCTGCTTCAGCCTCCCAAGTAGCTGGGACTACAGGCATGAGCTACCATGCCTGGCTAGTATTTTTTTATTTTTGTAGAGACAGGGTCTTGCTATGTTACCCAGGCTGGTCTTGAACACCTCAGCTTTGCAAGGTGCTGGGATTATAGGCATGAGCCACAGTGCCTGGCTAGGTTATATTTTAAGAGTCCTTGTCATTTAGAAATACATTCTAAAACAATTACAGATAAAATGTTTAAGATTGGCTACAGAATTATCAGGAGGTACAGACAAAACAAGATTGGCTATAAGTTGATAACTCCTGAAATGGGTAATGGATCTGTGGGGATTCATTAAACTATTTCTACTTCTTTACATTTGAAATTTACCAATGATTCTGCTGAGAAAAAAAATTTCCCCACCCGAGATGGAGTCTTGCTCTGTCACCCAGGCTGGAGTGCAGTGGCATGATCTCAGGTCACTGCAACCTCCGCCTCCCAGGTTCAAACCATTCTCCTACCTCAGCCTCCCAAGTAGCTGGGATTACAGGCACGTGCCACCACGCCTCGCTAATTTTTGTATTTTTAGTAGAGATGGGGTTTCGCCATGTTGGCCAGTCTGGTCTTGAACTCCTGACCTCGTGATCCGCCCGCTTTGGCCTCCCAAAGTGCTGGGATTATAGGCGTGAGCCACTGCACCTGGCCAGGAAATTTTTTTAAACAAGCAATTAAATAGGCTGGGCATGGTGGCTCATGCCTTCAATCCCAGCACTTTGGGAGGCTGTGGCAGGTGGATCGCCAACATGGCAAAACCCCGTCTCTGCTAAAAATACAAAAACTAGCTGGGCGTGGTGGTGTGCATCTGTAATCTCAGCTACTCGGGAGGGTGAGGAAGGAGAATCGCTTGAACCTGGGAGGCGGAGGTTGCAGTGAGCCGAGATTGCGCCATTGCACTCCAGCCTGGCCAACAAGAACGAAACTCTGTCTCAAAATAAATAAAAATAAAAAAGCAATTAAATAAAAAAAATTATCAAAACAAGATTATTTAAAATGCAGATTACTTAAAAAGACTAAACATAAAATAGGATTGTAAAGCTATTCTCTTATGTTTCTAGCTTCCATCTGCTTAATTTTTATTTGTTGAGAGAAGTATTACAATTTGAAAATGTTTTAATTTGTAAGCAGTGATATTAAAATGACCAAACATATAGTAGCTTAAAAAAAAACTTGACAGAACATCATAATCAAGTGGCAAAAAGGAAGAGCCAAATAATTTGAGTGAAAGAAAGCTAATGAGTAGCAATCAGAAGCACTAGTAATTGAAATCACAAGGTTATTTTTTTTTTTTTTGAGGCGGAGTCTTGCTCTGTCGCCCAGGCTGGAGTGCAGTTGGCGCTATCTTGGCTCACTGCAATCTCCTCCTCCCAGGTTCACGCCATTCTCCTGCCTCAGCCTTCTGAGTAGCTGGGACTACAGGCGCCTGCCACCACGCCCAGCTTTTTTTTGTATTTTTAGTAGAGATGAGGTTTCACCGTGTTAGCCAAGATGGTCTCGGTCTCCTGACCTCGTGATCCGCCCACCTCGGCCTCCCAAAGTGCTGAGATTACAGGTGTGAGCCACTGCACCCGGCCCACAAGGTTATATTTTTAAAAAAATCTAATGGGGAGACAGTGTAAAGAAAATAACAAAAGGCTGAAAATAAAAGGCTTATGTTATTGAGTAAGCACATTTAGGGCACATTATGAATAAGAGGAGCTAGCAAAACAGACAGAATACAGCATGAAAAAAAAAGTATCCTAAAGACATAGGAGGTCATATAAGCAGACAATAATGACTGGCTAATGTCAACATTATATAGAGAAACCAACTGTCCTCCTTCTTAATCATTCTTTTCCCCTCACCCTCCAGGCAAGTAGAGTGAGCCAGTTTATATGGAATTCTGTAAGAACTAACTTTCTAGTTTAGGGCCCTTTATATTTTAATATGAGAAACGATAGTGGTCCAGAGAAAAAAACGCCTGAACAAACATACACACGAATGTGGATGTACTGCTCTGTGTGGGTATGTTATGTTGGGAAAACGGGTAGAGGCAGGAGAGTGACATGAGCCATTACTAACCCTTAACATAGTGTTTTGAGTTATATCCTTTCAATCTCTAACAGTAGTAAATAATGCAGGAGCAAAGACAGCTGGGAGATAAGGATGAAGAAAGACAGGAAAAAATGGCTAAGAACAAATGGAGAAAAGAATAAAATAGGGAATCAATGGACAGAAGCTACAGAGAAACCACCTAGCAATGTTTGAAAAATATCTTGGGGGCCGGGCACGGTGGCTCACACCTGTAATCCCAGCACTTTGGGAGGCCGAGGCGGGCAGATCACCTGAGGTCAGGGGTTTGAGACCAGCCTGGCCAACATGGTGAAACCCCATCTCTACTAAAAATACAAAATTAGCTGGGTGTGGTGGCATCCACCTGTAATCCCAGCTACTCGGGAGGCTGAGGCAGGAGAATCACTTGAACCCAGGAGGCAGAGGTTACAGTGAGCCGAGATTATGCCATTGAACTCCAAAAAAGAAAAAGAAAAATATCTTGGAACTTGAAATTCAAACCTACTAAGATATTTCAATAGTTAAAAAGCCTTCTTTGCTTAGTTAGGGTCAAATAAAGGTACTCAGCATTACTGGGGAGATTTGAGAGTATTTCTATAGTTTTACTTGGAACTTTTGCAAATTAGTAAAGAAATCTGGCACAATGACAAACATTACAAGATTAAATAATAGAAAAAACAGATATGGCCATCACGACACCCTGTGTAGGTTTTTAAAAAATTACTTGGTTTAGAATTCTTAATTCTTTGAACACACACACACACACACACACACACACACACACACACAGAGAGAGAGAGAGAGAGAGAGAGAGAGAGAGCCATCTACAAAGTGACCACAATAAGCACAAGATACTGTTTTAAGATGGTTGCAGCAGTTTTCCTTAGACATCTGGGTAATCTGTGATTTGTATTTTTCTAAGAAATGACTCAGAATTGACTTTAGAACAATAGTCTTTCCACATTATCAGCTGTTCTCTCTCCTTTCCCATCCCTTCCTTCCTGCTTCTCTGTTCAAATCTCTTCCCATAGTCTACATGAAACTAGTCATATGTAGTCCTGTCTCCTTTAAATACAAAAAGATCAACAGCAATTAGGAATGTGCATTAAAGGAAGCTAAACATGCATGAAAAGTAAAATAATGTATGAAATGTCTTTATACATTTTAAAAACAGCTTATAAACAGGTGATTTTAGATTTATCCAATCTAAGTAAGATTCGACTTCATCTTTTACTGAAAAATCTGATTGACCTTTATAAGCACAGCTGTTGCAATAACCTTTCCATTAGCTCACCGCACGTCACTTTGATACCTGTGAAGAAAATCAGCTATGGTTCCTTTCAATTCTACAGTTCTAAAACATCCAGATAAAAACATAAAACAAGTCAGTTTTTCATTATAATAGAATGTGAACAATTACACCCTTTTAGACTCTAAACATAAACTACATTCACAGCCTCTTCAAAGTTGAGGCTTAGTATAATAAATACAATCATACCTTAAATTGTTCATCCAGTTTCTTTCTTCCTTTCTTTTTCTTTCTCTCTTTTTCTCTTTCTTTTAGACAGTATCTTTTTTTTTTTTTTTTAGACAGAGTCTGGCTCTGTCCCCCACGCTGGAGTGCAGTGGGCTCAATCTCGGCTCACTGCAACCTCTGCCTCCCCAGTTCAAGTGATTCTCCAGCCTCAGCCTCTCCAGTAGCTGGGATTACAGGAGCCTGCCACCATGCCCAGCTAATTTTTGTATTTTGGTAGAAACAGAGTTTCACCATGTTCGCCAGGTGGGTCTTGAACTCCTGACCTCAGGTGATCCACCTGCCTCGGCCTCCCAAAGTGCTGGGATTACAGGCTTGAGCCACCGTGCCCGGCCTACTCAGTATTTTTCATAAGAAATTACTTCCCTTAAAGTTTCTGTGCTAACTGACAAAAATCATAGACTCTTTACTTAGTGATACAACGCATTTTCTAAAAGTTTCCTTTGATTTCGCTTTAATTTGCCTGAAAAGAGGACAAGAAGCTTAAAGCAATATTCTGAAAAATCACACCACACAAAATTAGACAAAATTCAGATGTGTGTTCAGAAGTGTACAATAAAAGAGGTAATTTTATTATAGTTTGCCTTAGAAAAGACACCAAGGCCATCTACACAACAAATCTAGTTCCTTTCTTTGGGATTGGGATGATTTATTCTCAAATAGGTTTTTAAAAGGATACGTGTTCCATTAACTCCTGATATTTTAAAGTCATCTAGTAGTTGAACAACCATTTCTCTATTTGGATCATTAGGGTCTGAATTGCGAACCTGTAGTGGGGAAGAGACAGTGTTTAGCACAAGGTAAAGCATGGAAATAAACCAGATGGTAGGGGAAGAATACTTACAGCAAATTAACTACAAGAAAGAGCTCACATAAATCTATTTTTAAAATATACTAAAATTTCAATAGCTTTAATGGAGAAAAATCTTAAATAGTCAATTCATAAGAGGAAATACAACCAACAGGAACTATTTTTCTAATTAAACTATTTTGCTCCCTGATATCAATCAAAGTGTGGCCTCCAAATTAACTGATGATTACCAGGCTATGAGGAACTAAGAAGATTTTGCAGGATGCAAATCAACTACAGCACTAACCACACTGTTTTTTTCAGCGGACATTTTTTTTTTCATGGAAAAACTTTCTCAATGAAGAAAACAGTATGTTGATTTACTTTTGGGTAGGTACAAGGCTCCTTATCTTGTCACAAACGGACATTCTGAAAAGTACTGTCTTAAGCCAGATGCAGTGGCTTGTGCCTGTAACCCCAGCTACTCTGGAGGCTAAGGCAGATCACTTGAGGCCAGGAGTTGAAAATAAAAAAGAAAACTACTGCCATAGAAATCTCCTGGTGCAACATTCTCACTTTATGAATAAAAAATCTGAGACTCAGAAAGAAAAAAATGGTAACATGGAGGACATACCGGGGTAAAGGCGACCTAAACCCAGGTTTTCTAATTCTGAATTTAAGTTCCTTCTACCACACTGGCATATTCCTAATTTAAAACAGAACTAAAAATACATTTTTGATAGAATTTATCTCAGTTTCCAGGTATAAATGGAATCAGTAAATACAGTATTTTTATATTATGTATTCTATAACATATTTGAAAAACAACAAAAAAGATGCTATACATTTATTTACACAACTTTCCTTTTAACCATAGTAGGAAAAAAAAACATTATGACAGTAGCTACCTGGCCTGTAAAACATGCTCAGTGAATATTTTTATTCATTTGAAAGGTTTTTTTTTGGTTCATGCGTGTAAGAAGAATTCTCATCATAGCATTTGCCACCAGTTCCCTACTACATGCATGGTATGTGTAAATATTGTTGTCTTCCTTTACCTCTTTAAGGTTACTAGAACTTTATAGAGAAAATTATCCATGCTAAAGAGCCTCCACTTGGTGTGTTTTTATTCAATGAAACTTGATTTATTTATAATTCTTCACATTCATACATATAATCTAATACTCACTGACTTCAGCAACCGGATTTCATCTAGTGCTGTTTCAGTGTAATGTTCAGCACTTTTAACTACTTTCATTGCCACAAATTTCTTCCCCCTAAGAAACAAACACAGGCAATTAAGACTACATAGCCTACCCTTACTTTAGGAAGCTAAGATTTAGCTATAAGATGGTTAAAAAGGACAAATATTGATTTCACGTTTCCCTGTAGCCCAAACAAGCTACTTCTATGGGAACATTTATACTTGTTAATGACACTAACTGGCCAGATTTCATTTATAGGAAGAATAAAAAATCTGTTCTCAGATAATCTCAGTTGTTGAACATTTTCTCTGAGTTAAAATCCTTCTTTTGAATATCTCCCTGAGTTACAAGCAAAACTGCAAAATGAGGATAAATAAGGGGAAAGATATTACCAAATTCCAAGTGTTCTGTGTATATATCTGTATATAGGCAAAAACTAAAAGGTTAAAAGCTGTAATATTTTCCCATAGGCAGCCAGAAGAAATACTTCGGTGAAAAGAAAATGATAAAAATCACAAAAAAATCAAACGACAAAAGCTTTACCAGCATTAATTTAATCACTCCTGTCTCTATAGTAGAAAGGGAGATATATAATACTGATTCTTCACGAAAGAAAAGTGGTTTCTCCAAGAATACAGAGACTATTGCCAACAACAAAATTCTGATAAATGAATCAGGCTAGAGATAGATTGAAGCCTGGATCAGCAGTGGAAACTCAGACAAACACATTTAGACATCATCTAACTAATTCTTTTACAGAACCACTAAAACTTACTGAATATCCCATGATAACCATACTGTTGAAAAGTGTCCCCAGCCTAACTTTCGGATCACATGGTATCTCCCATTGAATAGATCTCCAATTTTCACAAGATGATAACCTCCTGGAAGAAACAGGGGAAATACAATCAGAAAAACCAGGATGAGAAACAATGGTAAGAAAAGGCATTTTTAACATCACATTTTTCAACATCTATATACCTTTTATCAATAAAAAGTTTCTTTTATACAATCAATTCAACAGAAGAAAATCTTAATAGTCAAATCAGCCACATAGTATTACTGAATTCATGTTATTAAAAAAAGTGAGTAAGATTAATGATTTAGATTGAGCCTACAACAGTCTCATCCAAAAACAATAAAAAGGTTGTATATCATGATATTCTTGTCTCTCAATAATTCAATAGGTTTATCTAAACATATATATCTATTTACAATTACAGTCTCAGGTGTTTTTTAGGAGACAGAATAATTCTGTTTATTTAGCAAAAAAAAAAAAGCAAGTAAGCAAACGGGATTTTCTCTAAATAAAAACAAAACAAAACAGCCCAGGCACGGTGGCTCATGCCTGTAATCCCAGCACTTTGGGAGGCCAAGGAGGGCGGATCATTTGAGGTCAGGAGTTCGAGACCAGCCTGGCCAACATAGTGAAACCTGTCTCTATTAAAAATACAAAAATTAAGGCTGGGCATGGTGGCTCACGCGTGTAATCCCAGCACTTTGGGAGGCCGAGGTGGGTGGATCACCTGAGGTCAGGAGTTTGAGAACCAGACTGGCCAACATGGTAAAACCCAGTCTCTACTAAAAATACAAAAATTGGCCAGTGTCATGGTGCATGCCTGTAGTCCCAGCTACTCGGGAGGCTGAGGCAGGAGAATCGCTTGAACCCAGGAGGTGGAGGTTGCAGTGAGCTGAGATTGTGCCACTGCACTCCAGCCTGGATGACAGAGCCAGACTCTGTCTCAAAAAACAAACAAACAAACAAAAAACAAAAAACGGCAAGGCGCGGTGGCTCACCCCTGTAATCCCAGCACTTTGGGAGGCTGAGGCAGACGGATCACAAGGTCAGGAGATCGAGACCATCCTGGCTAACACGGTGAAACCCTGTGTCTACTAAAAAAAAAAAAAAATACAAAAAATTAGCCGGGTATGGTGGCGGGCGCCTGTAGTCCCAGCTACTCGGGAGGCTGAGGCAGGAGAATGGCATGAACCCGGGAGGCAGAGCTTGCAGTGAGCCGAGATCGCGCCAACTGCACTCCAGCCTGGGCGACAGAGCGAGACTCCGCCTCAAAAACAAAAAAACAAAAAATCCCAAAAATTAGCCAGGCGTGGTGGTGGGTGCCTGAGGCACAAGAATCGCTTGAATCCAGGAGTCAGAGGCTGCAGTGAGCTGAGATCGTGCCACAGCACTCCAGCCTGGGCAGCTCTGTCTCAAAAAAACAAAACAAAAAAACCCCCAAAAAACCAGAAAACAGAAGAAGGCCTGAAAAGGCTGCCAACAGTGGCAAGAATCAAGGTATTTTCATATTTATCTTTGTCAGCTGAGAATAAGAAGGACCACATTCTTCTAGATGGTATGATACATTCCATTTTGTGTTCCTACCCAAAGACTCTAGAAAGTCTCATCAAGAAACAGAAAAGATTAACAGGCAACCTAATGACACCATTTAAGTGTCTGTCATTCCAGTTTAACTTAACAGCCATCACTATGAGAAAAAAAGTGGTAAGAAGGTATTTTGTAAAAATCTATATGCCAAAATGTTATCACTGGTTATATGTGGCTGATAGCATTGCAGAAGTCTTTTACTTTCTTTTCTGTTTAACACAGCTCTGAAATTTTCTAAGGTAAATATGTATTATAATTTTTAAAGAGGAAAAAGGTAAAAACATTTAATATAAAATTAGGCTTTGATAAATTAAGTCAGACTAAGAACAAATACTATTTCCTATGTTTTAGAGAAAAGGATACAAGTAAACAGCAATAAAACTGTGTTTATGCTGATAGATCAAACATCCAAACGAGAAATTGCAAATAGATGGCTCATGTCTCACTTCATACCTCTTTATGAACTTACCTTTACAATAATCATTAGGATCTTCTTGCTCATCATCATCAGATCCCAGAATCTCCTCTTCCTGCTCTGGTAGATCACTCTCAGAGTGGGGAGCAGAGCCTCGGTGCTGAGTTTCAGATCTAAGAAATGATACAAAAATGCCCATTCCATTTGGACAGAAGAAAATAAGACATTATCAAATGCTGCCCTCCCCACAAAAAACTAAACTTTCAGATAATATGAACAGAGTATTACCAAGTGGCAGCCTAGGAAAATATTAGCTGTAGTTTTACCTCATGTTAGAAAAATACTTTTTAAAAACTTCAGTACATAATAAATAAAATCTGAAAAATATTAAAAAGTACAAAGGAGAAAAATTACTTGAATCTCAATATCCAAACATAATCACTGATAAACTACTGACTCTTCTTCCATTATGTTGCTGTATCTTCATAAAAATATTTATCTGTAATCACATACTACATAAACAAATTTGCATCTGGCTTTTTCTATTACAAACTTTTTTCATTTCTATGAAATCTCTTAAATCTTAACATGGAGGCCAGGCATGGATGGTGGCTCACATCTGTAATCCCAGCACTTTGGGAGGCCGAGGTGGGTGGATCACCTGAGGTCAGGAGTTCGAAACCAGTCTGGCCAATATGGTGAAACCCCATCTCTACTAAGGAAACAAAAAATTTGCCCAGCGTGGTGGTGGGCACCCCACGCTGTAATCCCAGCTACTTGAGAGGCTGAGGCAGGAGAATTGCTTGAACCCGGGAAGTGGAGGCTACGGTGAGACAAGATTGTGCCATTACACTCCAGCCTGGGCAACAAGAGCGAAACTCTGTCTCAAAAAAAAAAAAAAAAAAATCTTAACATGCTTCCCTTAGAAGTATCACTGCTTACTTTGGCACATTCTGCTCAGCTGGACATTTATTTCCAATTTTTCACTACTAAAAATATAGTTGTTGAATACTTTTGGATAATCTTTATTCTGTAATTAGAATTATTTCCCTAAAATTAAACTACTAAGTAGGGGTTAAAACATTCCTATTTATAAAAATAACATGTTAAATGTGGAAAATTTGGAAAACACTTGTTTCAAGGCATACCTAATCAGAACAACTATTAACATTTTGGAATATTTCCTTCTAGTCAGTGGCCATGAATGCTTCGCTTCTAATGATTTTTATGTAGTATGACTGCTTCCCAAAAAGGTTGTACTAAGTTACATCCCCACCAGCCACACATGGGCTTTTGGTATTTAAGTACTACCTCATTCTGAAAACTTAGCTTATTTGATAGGTAAAAATCATATTTCATTTTATAATGCATTAAAAATATTTACTGATTTCCTTCTCTATATGTCTTCAATTAGTTATATCACAACTTTTGTGCACTGAGAAGTTCAAGCAGCATAAAAACCTGAATTTACACTCAGGCTCTGACACTTATTAGTTGCCTGTCTTCTAGGACCTTTAAGCAAAAAAAGCAGGGTACCTCTGGGCCTCATGCCTGTAATCCCAGCACTTTGGGAAGCTGAGGCAGGTAGATCATTTGAGGCCAGGGGTTTGAGACCAGCCTGGCCAACATAAAGAAACCCCATCTCTATTAAAAATATAAAAATTAGCTGGGTGTGGTGGCAGGCACCTGTAATCCCAGCTACTTGGGAGGCTGAGGCACAATAATCACTTGAACTCAGGAGGCAAAGGTTACAGTGAGCCGAAATCGCGTCGTTGCACTCCACCCTGGGCAACAGGGCAAGATTCTGTCTAAAAACAACAACAACAACAACAACAACAACAACAACAACGACAACAACACAAAACAAAACAAAACAAAAAGGCAGGGTACACAGCATTCCTTTCAATAGCTAAAGGAAAATACATCTTAATTTTAATTTTTCAGTATTTATTTACCTTTTCATCAACCTGTTTCATCAGATTATTTTTTCAAAAGATTCAATTAACAGAAAAACATTTTAATAGAAAAACCAGTTACATGCTATGACTGAGCTATTTAAGACATAAGAAATACCTTGATGCAACTAATGATTTAGATTTTTGGTGGCCATTCCAACCTTCCTCAATTCTTGATTTTCTTTTTAATCCCCCAGGGTACACAAAATTAGCTATAAAACTGCATGATTCAATGTTCATTGTAACTGAAAACATGTCTTTGGGAAATTTATTTAGTAATACACTGGCCCACTTTCCTAAGTGGAAATAAGGAGTCTGAATGAAGAACAACATTCTCCAATTTGAGATTAAGATGGAATTCTGAAACAGATTCTCTGATTCAAACTTAATGAAAGTAAATGAAATGGGGCCGGTTGCGGTGGCTCACACCTGTAATCCCAGCATTTTGTGAGGCCAAGGCGGGCAGATCCCTTGAGCCTAAAAGTTCAAGACCAGCCTGGGAAACATGGTGAAACCTCATCATTAAGAAAAACGCAAAAATTAACTGGGCTTGGTGGTGCGTGCCTGTAGTCCCAGCTACTCGGGGAACTGAGGTGGGAGGAATGCTTGAAGCTGCAAGGTTGCGGCTGCAGTGAGTCATGACTGTGCCACTGCACTCCAGCATGGGCGACAGAGCAAGACCTTGTCTCAAAAAAAAAAGGGGTGGGGGATGATTAACTGAAGGCTTGTATAATGGAGTTGACACCATACACTGCACAGCAGACAGACTGGTATTTATCTTGCAGGGGGCAAAAAAGGAGGCCTATTCTCTAAAGAAAATAAAATAAACTGGAAAGAACAAATGCTGTTAGTGTGGATGATGCTACCCCAGAGTAAACTTTTCCAGATTCTGGCATTCAGTGGGACCAAACATCACACAGGTAGCCTCCTATTTACTCTAAAGAAAAAGCTGGCCAGGCACGGTGGCTAATGCCTATAGTCCCAGGACTTTGGGAGGCCGAGGCCAGGAGTTCAAGACCAGCCTGGCCAACATGGTGAAACCCCGTCTCTACTAAAAATACAAAAATTAGCCAGGCACAGTGGCATGCGCCTGTAATCGCAGCTACTCGGGAGGCTGAGGTGTGAGAATTGCTTGAATCCGGGAGACAGAGGTTGCAATGAGCCGAGATCATGCCACTGTGCTCCAGCCTGGGCGACAGAGCGAGACTCTGTCTCAAATAAAAGAAAAAAAAAGAAAAGAAAGAAAAAGCCTTGCTAGGGACGTAGGGCTATCAATCAGGTCTCTAATGCCTCATCCATAAAAATAAAAGGTGACTAAGGATCATCGAACATTTGAGGAAAGCCCACGGCCCCAAAGACAGAGACCAAGATAAGCAATTGGAAAACTGACCCTACAAGAGAGATATGCATTCAGGAGAAAGACCAAACTTAAAAACTAGTTAATATGAATAGAGAAATGTTAAATGATGCCGATTTCCATACAGACTATGATGCTCTAGTCTAAAAGATGAGTAAAGTCAGAAAGAAGTTCTAGAAAATAAACTTGACCATTCCCTAAATGTAGGGGGGAAAAATGCCCACTTATCTCATAATCGCCCATTATCCCGTAATATCTCTACTCAAGATAATAATGCTCAAAAAGAGATGAGACAAACACAATCAAACCAGAAGTTCCCACATCTGAATAATAGAGTTGCAGAAAGAGAAACTTATGAAAATAGAAGAGATAAAATTATTAAAGAAATTCAAGAAATTTCTGGAGATTGAACGGAAGCTCTACTTAATTTTTTATTAGGGAAATTTTTAAATCCCAGTGTTAAGAAGACTCTAAAGGCTTCTAGGTAAAAAAAGCTAGAAGGGCAGTAATTAGACTGTCATCATCTATCTCATCAGAAAGCCAATACACTAAAAGACAATGAGGCAATGACTTCTAAATTCTGAGGATTTTTTTTTTAACCTAGTCTAAGTATCAACAACATTTGAGAGCAGAATAAAGTTTTTCAAATATGGACCAACATTGAAACTTATCTCCCATTCATCTTCTCTGAAGAAGTTACTTAAAGTCAAGAAAACAAAGCAGTAAAACTGAGAAAGAAGACATAGGATCCACAGGATTCTGTTTTACAGATCAAAAACAGAAGAGCCAAAAAGGAAGTTCCAAGAGCACAACTATAGAGAAGGCCTGAAATGCATTTAATCTGACCTAGAGCCAGAGACCAGAGAGCTCTGAGAGATTCCGGGGAAAAAAACAAAGACAAGAAAGTATGCTTGAGACATACTTTCTGGAGGAATCTAACAATATGATAAAAAAGAGGTAACACAAGGGAGAAAAACATAATTACGAATTCCAAGAAACAAACAAAATCTAAACAAAAAAAGTTATGTAATTATAGCACAAGACACAGTCAAAATAACATAAATGCAGATTATTGATTTTCTACTTCAAAATCAACCTAATGATAAAGCACAAAATACCTAATTATGGCTACAAAGTAGAACGTAAGGATTCTTTGTAAACACTGTAAAGACAGAATTTAGGGGCCAGTTGGGAGAGAAAGAAAAGTCCACCAATATTTTCATGTTACGAAGTTAAAGTGCCTACAGTTAATGAAACCAAAAACAAAGGTTGAGGCATATGCTTGTGTGTGTGTGTGTGTGTGTGTGTGTGTGTGTTCATCCACAGTTCCTGGCTCGTAACTCCCACAGCCCTTGTTAGTCTTTTGTTATAATGTTGGGGCTCTTTAGGCCTCAAAAGCAGGCCTCAGAAAACAGACCTCCTGCCCTCTTTCACCTGCTCCTTTTTCTTCCCAATGCAGTAACGTAATCCTCCCGTGCCTTTCCATAAAGAAATTATCTGACCTACCTTATCTGATCCTGATTCATAAGATCCCCATTTCAGAGCCCCATACCTTGGGGGAAGGAATGATGCACAGAGAGGCCAAGAATCTGAACAGACAGGCCCTGCTGGGTTTCCATACTCAGTCTATTAGGTCGTACTCTTTTTGTCCAATCACATTTCTACACAGTTGACCATGCTTTGTTCATGCCTATCCAATGAAGTCTTCATGAAAGGCCCAAGAGGGTGAAGTATGGAGAGCTTCCAGACAGCTGAATAAGTAGAGATTCCTGGAGGGTGGTACACCCAGAGAGGGCATGGAAGCTCTGCATTCCTTCCCATACCTTAGGCCCTATGCATCTATTCATCTCTATCCTTTGTAATATCCTTTATTTAGAAAAACCAGTAAACATGTTGCCCTGAGTTCTGTGAGCTCCTCTAGCAAATTAATTCAACCCAAGGAGGTGTCATGGGAAACACAATTTATAGCCAGTTGATCAGAAGCACAGGTAAAACAACCTGGGCTTGCAACTGGCACTGGAAACGGGGGAGAGGCAGTCTTGAGGAGTGAACCCTCAATCCGTGGGGTCTCCAAGAAGACACTGTCAGAACTGAATTGAATCAGAGGACATCTAGCTGGTATCTGCTGCAGAACTGATTGGGTGGTGTATGGCAGGGGAAAAAGTCTCATACATTTGGTCACAGGAGTCTGTGTTCATTGTTGTGGTGTGAGAGCAGACAACAAAACAGTTTGAAGTTTTCCTACTCAAGGTATATTAAAGTTATAAAGTAATCAAAATAGATAATAACAAGTGTTGGTGAAGAAGTGAAAAAAACTGGAACCCTTACACATCGCTGGTGGGAATGTAAAATGGCACAACCACTTTGGAAAGTTTGTTAATTCCTCAAAATGCTAAACATTAGAATTACCATATGACCTAGCAATTCCACTTCTAGGTATTTACCAAGAGATGAAAACATGTATCCACACACCAAGTTGTACATGGATGTTCACAATGCATAGTTGTATGATTTTGTTACCAGTAGTGTTAACCTGAATGGGATCTGGTTACCTTGGAAATGCAGGAACTTATTATGAATGTACTATAAAGTAAAATGCTGACTGATTCCTGGGGACAGGGTGGAATATACAAATACAACATTATTCATAATAACCAAATAGTGGAAATAATCCAAATGTCCACCAACTGCTGAGCGGATAAACAAAATTCATATATCTATACATAAAAAGGAATGATGTACTGATACCTGCTTTAACAAGATGAATGAACCTTGAAAACATTATACTAAGAGAAGCCAGTTACAAAAGACCACATAATCCTAAGATTTTATTTACATGAAATGTCCAGAAAAGGCAAATCCATTGAGACAGAAAGTAGATTAGCGGTTGCCAGGGTCTGAGTAAAGCGAGTAATGGTGAGTGACTACTAATGGGTTTGGAGTTTTCTTACAGGAGGATAAAAATGCTCTAAACTTAGATCATGGTGAGATATAACAATTCTGAATATGTTAAAACAATGGAAGTGTACACTAGATGGGTGAATTTATGGCATGCAAATTATGTCTCAATAAAGCTTTAGAAAACTAGGTCCAAATATAGTGCTTTATTGAGAGGAAGAGAGAGATAAAGTGGTGATAGTACAAGTGAACTATATCTTCCTCAATCATAGCAAGAATTTATGGTAATAGCTAAAGCTGATCAATCAAAGAATAGCAGTAAGTATGCTGGAGATGTGCACGTCTATCCAACTATTAATAAAATAAACAAAAAGCAATGGGTAAAAGTAGTTGCTTTAGGAAGTAGACCTATGTCTAGGGAAAAGGTGAGACAGAGGACTATGTAGCAGTTATTTAATTAATTCATTAATTCATTCATTTATGAGACAGGGTCTCACTCTACCGCCCAGGCTGCAGTGCAGTGGTGCTATCACGGCTCCCTCCAGCCTTGTCCTCCTCAGTTCAAGTGATCCTCCCACCTCAGTCCCAAGTATCTGGGACTACAGGCGTGCACCACCATGCCTGGCTAATTTTTAAAATTTTTTAGAGATGTGATCTCACTATGTTACCCAGACAAGTCTCAAACTCCTGGGCCCAAGTGATTCTCCAGTCTCAGCCTACCAAATTGCTGAGATTACAGGCATGAGCTACCACACCCATCCTGTAGCTTTTATTTAAAAAGGCTTCCACTGCGTATTCTATTGGAACAAATTAGACACCTAAATGTCCAACAAGAGGTGGGTTGAATAGATTTATTAGCTGCATAGATCACCTGTATGTTTATTTAAATTTGATTACCAATTTGTTCATGTAAGGTAAAACCTGTAATTGCTAAAAGGATCATCTATGCAGGCCAATTGATCAATACATTGCATTATGAATGTTTACTATATTTGAAAATGTATCCATGCAATGAACTTTTAAAGTATTTATAACAGCACAATTCTCAATTCCAAAGATATGGAACCAACCTAAGTACCCATTGATCAACAAACAGATAAAGAAAAATGTCGCATCTATACACCATGGAATACCACTCTGCCATGAAAAGGAATGAAATGTCTTTTGCAGCAACTTGGATGGAGCTGGAGGCCATTATTCTAAGCGAAGTAAATCAGGAATGGAGAAAAGCAAATACTGTATGTTCTCACTTATAAGTGGGAGCTAAGCAATCAGGACTTATAGATATACAGAGTGATATAATGGACTCTGGTGACTTAAGGTTGGGGAGAAGATTGGGGGGTTAGGGATAAAAGACTAGATATTGCGTAAAGTGTACACTGCTCAGGTGACAGGTGCACTAAAATCTCAGAATTCACCACTAAAGAACTCATTCATGTAATAAAAACCACCTGTACCCCAAAACTACTGAAATAATTATTTTTTTAAGTTATGTATTACTATATTTTTTACAAGTTAATTTATCACAAAATTTAGCCATGCATGGTGGCAGGCATCTGTAATCTCAGCTACTTGGGAGGCTGAGGCAAAAGAATCACTTGAACTTGGGAGGCGGAGGTGGCAGTGAGCCGAGATCATGACATTGCACTCCAGCCTGGGCAACAGAACGAGACTCCATCTCAAAAAAGTTAATTTATCATATTATCAGGTTCTTCCAGTGTCAAGCATGCCTTCTTCTCTGTTTTCCCTAAAACCTCCCTCTTAAAGCCCTCTGAACTCCAGTTCACATTTTCCAAAACAAAACAAAAATGTCAACAAATCCTACACAGACACCGGGCGTGGTGGCTCACGCCTGTAATCCCAGCACTTGGTGGCCAAGACAAGCGGATCACCTGAGGTCACGAGTTCAAGACCAGCCTAGCCAACATGGTGAAACCCCGCCTCTACTAAAAATACAAAAATTAGCTGGGCATGGTGGCGCGTGCCTGTAGTACCAGCTACTCAGGAGGTTGAGGCAGGAGAATCGCTTGAACCTGGGACGTGGAAGTTGTAGTGAGCTGGGATCGCACCACTGCACTCCAGCCTGATGACAGAGCGAGACTCCATCTCACAAACAAAACAAAACACTGGTGATCTTTAATGAAGCACAATTAGGCAACCACTATACTCCAAACAGATTTTTTTCCAATGGCCTACAAGACCTTACGTGATCTGTCTCTTCATTGCCCCCTCCAACCCATCTCTCTATACATATCTTCTTAGGCTTGTGCTAAAGTGGCACCCTTTCAGAGAACTTCCTTGACTTTCCTATATGAAACAGCAGTGTTTGCCACATGCCCTCTGCCACTCCCCTTAACCCGCTACTTTTCTTCAGCACTTGGCATTTTATTGTCTTCCTCCAGACACTCCCAGAATGTAAGCTTCATGAGGGCAGCCTTTTTTTGTTCAATGGCATATCCTAAATGCCTAGAACCGGGATGTGTACAAGGTATTTCTCTTTCGTATTTAGTTATTATTCATTCTTCAGTTAAAGTCCATTACACATCTGCCCCCAACAGAACTAGACTGTGAAGAGCCTTAAATGTCAAGCATTGAAGCACTTTACAAAGAAGGAAGTGCAGCCATTAGAGTGGCCCTACAGAAGAAATGCTTTAGAAAGATTCCTTTGGGGCCGGGCACGGTGGCTCATGCCTGTAATCCCAGAGCTTTGGGAAGCCGAGGCGGGTGTATCACTTGAGGTCAGGAGTTCGAGACCAGCCTGGCCAACTTGGCAAAACCCCATCTCTACTAAAATACAAAAATTAGCTGGGCATGGTAGCGGGCACCTGTAACCCCAGCAACTCGGGAGGCTGAGGTAGGAGAATCGCTTGAACCTGGGAGGCAGAGGTTGCAGTGAGCTGGGATCGCACCACTACATTCCAGTCTGGGCGACAGAGCAAGACTCCATCGCAAAAAAAAAATAATAATAATAAAAAAATAAAAAAAAATAAAAAGATTCCTTTGGTAAGGTTTGTAAAATGTAGGGGAACCAGAAAGCAGAGATGTTGGGGACCACTGCAGAGATAATAGTTACAGCAAAGGTCTCTGGAGTCAGGAGACTTGAGTTTGATCCTGGCTCCACAGTTTACCAGAGCTCCAAAACTCTGAACAAACTGTTAGTGTAAGAAGCTCTCTGCGCCTCTCGCCTTATGTGTAAAATGAAGGCAGAAATGATGCCTACCTCATAGGGCATTTGCGAGGATATGTTATTCCTGTGGTTAATACAGTGCCTGAACATAAATTTTAGCATTGTAGGTAGAAAATAAAAGAAAAGAAACAAGCAAGTATGTGTTCATGTATTCAACTTAGTTTTACTGAGTGTCTGTAGATATCCCAGGTACTTTTTTCTAGGCACTGGGAATGCAGCTGTGAGCAAGTATAGGGTCCCTGCCTTCACTGTGTTTACATTCTAGCATGAAGTGACAAAAAATAGCCCTAATTTATCTGAACCTATCCGGTTCTTGAGTTTTAGCTGGTGAACAGCAGAAGTTGGGACAGCAAAGTCCTATCTCAGTCTCTCCAGGAGATACATGCTCTACAATGTCAGGCTATGAAGAGAGCTATAGAGAAAAATTAAGTAGGGCAAGGGGACACAGTGTGCTCATGCTATTTTAAATAGTGTTGTGACATTTGAGTAAGGAGGTGAGCGATGCTGGGAGTTTATCTGGAATGATTCAAAACGGTGGTTTCAGAAAATGGAAATTTAGGGAGAGGAACGGATTTAAAGATGGTATGTTTGGGGTTTTAGAAATGATTTAGTTATGGCTCTAAAGGATGGATTAAAGCTGGGCATGGTGGCACACACCTGTAGTCCCAGCTACTCAGGAGGCTGAGGTGGAAGATCACTTAAGCCCAGGAGTTCAAGGCCAGCCTGAGCAACACAGTGAGATTTCCATCTCTTAAATAACAAAAAACTAAAAATTAAAGAGAGAAAGAAGGAGAGACTAAAAGCTGACTGGAAAAAGCACCTTTGAAACTTTAGTTTACTTACATATAAACTTTAGTCTTTTCTGTCTTGGGAGTGGGGAATGGTTAAGATCTCCTAATGCAGGGAACTGCCTTCTGAGGCCTGTGTTAGAGGCTGAATTGTGCCCCTCCTAGAAAGATACGTTGGAGTGCTATCCTCCAATAACTGGGCTTGTGACATTATTTAGATACAGGGTGGGTCTTCACAGAGGTAATCAAGTTAAGATGAGGTTATCAGGATAAGCCCGAATCCAACATGACTACTGTCCTTTTAAAAAGAGAAAATCTGGATGTAGAGACACACACACATATAGAGGGAAGATGATGTGAAGAGACACAGGGAAAAGATGGCCATCTACAAGGCAAGAAAAAGGCCTGAAACAGATTCTCCCTCACAGCCCTCAAAAGGAATCAACCCTCTGACACCTTTTAGACTTCTAGCCTGTGAGATAATAAATTTCTGTTGTTTAGCCACCCAGTTTTTGGTACTTTGTTACAGAAGACTGAAGAAAACCATGTTTGTATACTTATTTCCCTTAAGAAATCCTAAGTCTCTTGAAGGAAAGGACTGTGTCCCAGTCATCTCTGTATCCCTTCTAGAGTTATCACACTTATTTAGATGTGATGCAAAGATTTAACGAGATGCTATTTTAGGTTCTAGCACCTACACACAATGGAACTCAATAAATGCTAAATTTCTCCCACTACCTTTTCCATATATATTTTTCCTGAAAGATTTTTTTCTTTTGCAAATTGACATAATCCTTTACATATCTAATTTTATCCAAACTTAACTTCTGAGACATACTCACAAGTAGTCTAAGTTTCTCAACTCAGAAATCTTAAGCTGGAACTAGGGTCTAACAATATAAAAATAAAAATCTGAGTGCCTAAGTTTATCAGGTGTTACATACAAATAAATATAATTCAACCTTGATCCTCAGGTGACTATACTCCAAACTCTACCATATATACACACACATATATATAAATATACATGAAAATGAAACACCAACACATGAGCTAAAACTATTAGTTTGATACACTAATAGTATTAAGAAATGTCACATAGGCTTGGCACAGTGGCCCCATGTCTGTAATCCCAGCACTTTGGGAGACCAAGGCGGGAGGAATGCTTGAGCCCAGCCTGGGCCAGATGGCGAGACTCCGTCTCTACAAAAAAAAAAAAAAAAAAAAGAAAAAAAAGATTAGCCAGTCTTGGTGGCATGTGCCTGTAGTCGCAGCTACTAAGGGAGCAGAGGCAGGAGGATCCCTTGAGCCCAGCAGTGTGATGCAGCTGTAAGCTATGATCACGCCACTGCACTCCAGAGCCTGGGTAACAAAGTGAGACCCTGTTTCTAAAAAATAAAAAATAATAATAAAATAAAAATCCAAAAAAAAGTCACATAAAAGACAAAGATAAACCCATCTAAGGTAAAGAACGAAGCATGAGAAAGAAAGCAGTCATCCAAAAACTTATTTCACCTCAGTACTGGGCTAGGCACTCAATGCAATTTCATCCTTATAACCTTGCCATCTACAGATAAGGCAACTTGAACTGAAAAGTCAAAAGAAACTGTCCATGTTCACCTAACAATGGTGTTGGAGGCAGGCTGAAATCCGGGACTGTGTAATTCAAAAGGACAAGCTCTTTTTGATAAACAGCATATTGAGCATGTACTGTATTATCCTTCTACCTAGAAATATTAGCATGAATTACCTAATTTATCCCACTGCATTCTTCTTTCTAGTAAAGAAAAATGCAAAATACAATTCCTGTTAAAGCTATTCTAAAAGGCATAAAAACTAGCAGAAGGGAGCTTGTCCTCAAGCTCATATGTAGGTAGAAAAAACCTGGCATCTCTGATCAAATTGCTAAGTGGAGGCACATCAAAAAATGTTCATAAGCTGAAGAGTAGCACAATAATTAAAGGCAAAGTGGGCCAGACATGGTGACTCACACCTATAATCCCAGCACTTTGGGACGCCAAGGTGAGAGAATCACTTGAGCCCAGGAGTTCAAGACCAGCCTAGGCAACACAGTGAGACCCTGTCTCTATTTAAAAAAAAAAAAGCAAAGTGAATGAACGGAAAGATAGGGTTGCCTACAAGGTACATTGATAATCAGTTACAAAATAAGGCTTACCCTAATATTTCAGGAAACAAAAGTTCACAAGAGGCCGTGGTGGCTCACGCCTGTAATCCCAGCACTTTGGGAGGCAGGGGTGGGCAGATTACCTGAGGTCAGGAGTTTGAGACCAGCCTGGCCAACCTGGTGAAACCCCACCTCTACTGAAAATACTACAATTAGTCAGGTGTGGTGGCATGTGCCTGTAATCCCAGCTACTTGGGAGGCTGAAGCACGAGAATCACTTGAACCCGGGAGACAGAGGTTGCAGTGAGCCGAGATTGTGCCACTGCACTCCAGCCTGGGTGACAGAGTGAGACTGTCTCCAAAAAAAAAAAAAAATCACAACACTATCCCCAAAAGGACTGTTAGCCTTGTTCAAAATGCCTAGGCCTCTATGACACTCAGATCATAAATTTTAGAATTTGAGTAAATTAAAAAAGGTTATCAACATGATTGACTACAAGTACCAAGCTTCATACCATTGATGTTTTTGTTCACCAAACAAGAATTGGTGACAATTGTTACGTGGTAGTTAAAATGTATATTAAAATTTCTGAAACTTCTTGATATGCCATCCTAAAATACTCATCAATATTGTTCAAGGCATTTAAGCCACCAATAAATTACCCAATAGCAATGAATTACACACCTGGACTTCTGTCCAGGTTGGAGTACAGTGGCACAATCATGGCACGTAGCAGCCTTGACCTTCCAGGCTGAAGCAATCCCACTTTAGCTTTCCAAATAGCTGGAACTATTAGCGTGCATCACAACACCCAGCGAATTTTTTTTTTTTTTTTAAAGACAGGGTCCCACTGAATTGCCCAGGCTGGTCTTGAACTCCTAAGCTTAAGTGATCCTCCCACCTTGGCCTCCCAAAGTGGTGGGATTATAGGCATGAGCCACCATGCCAAGCCATGATTTTTATTTATCTAGCTCCTGCCAACTGATTTTTGTGTTTAGTGGAAACATTTTACTACAGTTATCTGAAAATTAAGTGTATTCAAATTATTTTGTGGGCTTCTGATAACTTTCTGAAGTTATACCCTGTTAAATTAGTTGAAAAACTGGATACTATGGTCTTCACAGCTGATCTTTGTTGGTCTTTTTCAAATTTCCAAAGCTAATCCTCCACTACGAGGCCCATGGAACCATGGGGCTCTTCCACAACTGTGCTTAATACTATCACTCAGAGAGGGAACTTGCAACAGTCAGCCTATTAATGCCTACCTTTCACCATAAAGACTCTGAGGCAGAGATTACATACTACAGGCTGCAAGCTGAATCCTGCCTGTAAACAAAAGTATACAATGGTTTTTAAATAAAGTCGTGGGCTGGGTGCAGTGGCTCACGCCTGTAATCCCAGCACTTTGGGAGGCCGAGGCAGGCAGATCATGAGGTCAGGAGTTTAAGACCAGCCTGGCCAACATGGTGAAACCCCGTCTCTACTAAAAATACAAAAATTAGCTGGGCATGGTGGTGCGTGCCTGTAATCCCAGCTACTCGGGAGGCTAAGGCAGGAGAACTGCTTGAACCAGGACCCGGGAGGTGGAGGTTGTGGTGAGCCGAGATCACACCATTGCACTTTAGCCTGGGCAACAAGAGTGAAACTCTGTCACAAAAAAAAGAAAAAAAGTAAAATAAAAAAATAAAAAATAAATAAAGTCGTGGGCTGGGCACTGTGGCTCACACCTGTAATTCTAGTAATTTGGGAGGCCAAGGTGGTGAGAGGATCCCTTGAGGCCAGGAGTTCAAGACCAGCCTGGTTAGTACAGCAAGACTCCATCTCTACAAAAGAAAAGAAAAAAAAAATTAAAAATTAAGGGGGCCTGGTGGTGTAGTCCTAGCTACTCCAGAGGCTGAGGCAGAGGGAATGCTTGAGCCCAGGAGTTTGAGATTGCAGTGACCTATGATCACACCACTGTACTCCAGCCTAGGTGACTGAGACCTTATCTCAAATAAAGAACAAAAAACAGACAAACAAAAGTTGTGAACACTAAACAATCTGGAGAATCACATAAAAACAAAGTTCTAGCTTCTGTTGAAAAAGCTGAAGACGTGGTAATAGTGGACCCATCTTCTCACAGGGTAACAGGAGCTAAGAAACCTTTTCTTCTTTAGATATAAAGGAGGAGGCACACTTCACACACTCTAATAAGCACAGAACCATTCCCTGTTGTCTTACTCATAGTATGCTTCATAAGCCATATTCTAAAAAAAAACCCAACATAATCACAAATTACATACAATATTTATTTTAAGCAATAAGCCTAGACGACCCAAATAATTCTGCAAGACTTGGACTTTTTAAAAAAGTCAAAGATGATGTAAAATGAAAGCAAAATGAAACACATGAATCTGAGAAATTAGGTGGTAGCATAATCCTACAGCAAGGAACTAGTCAGTGCAACTATAAAATTCAGTCACTTGATTCTACATCCCCAGTGAAATATACTCTAAGAACAATAACAAAAATTGTGATCTTCTTTAGTAATCATATTGTTGGGGTAGTGCTGGAATTGTAATTCTAAGACTGTTGTGTATATATTGTAGGAAAAAGAAAATGAGCAATCATGATGCTGTTGAGAACTGGGATTTTCAGCGTGGGAGAAAGAAGAGTGAAATATAAAATCAAACAAAAATCCTTGGGTCCTATGATTCCATGTTTAAGTATAACATGAACTCATGATTTTTTTAAATGAAAAAACACAACTTATTTCCTAAGCTCTAGTCACAGAAAAAGCATAGAAACAATGACTAACTCACTCACTAGTAATAAGCTCCTTAAGCGCTCAGATTATGGTCTCCAAATACCATTTCCCACTAAAAGGCTTCTTGGAGAGACAGCTATTTCCTAGCCGGGGGCAGAAAATGTACAAGATAAGCCTTAGACATACTGTCACACCAGATTAAAAAAAGCAATCAAAGACATCTCAGGTTGAGTAAAATGAACTCAGGAGATACCATGAAAAAAAACTCCAATTAGCCAACAGTGGACAAGCAATAAAAATAACCACACATGATACAACATGCACGAATTTTATTATTTTTTTTTTGAGACAGAGTCTCACTCTGTCACCTGGTCTGGAGTTCAGTGGCATGATCTCGGCTTACTGCAACCTCCACCTCCCAGGTTCAAGTGATTCTCATGCCTCAGCCTCCTGAGTAGCTGGGATTACAGGCGTGCACCATCACGCCCAGCTGATTTTTGTATTTTTAGTAGAGACAGGGTTAGGCCATGTTGGCCAGGCTGGTGTCAAACTCCTGGCCTCAAACGATCCACCGGCCTTGGCCTCCCAAAGTGCTGAGATTACAGATGTGAGCCATGCACGAATATTAAAAACATTAAGTAAAAGAAGCCAGTCACTAAAGATAACATATGTTATGATTCCATTTATATGAAATGTCCAGAACAGGAAATTCCATAGGCACAGAAAGTAGATTAGTGGCTGCCTAAGGTTGAAGGTGAGGCAGTGTCGGGAGTCAAGGGGTATGACTGCTAATAGGTCCAGGTTTCTTTTGGAGTTGATGAAAACAACCTAAATTTACACTGCAGTGATGTTTGTGCAACTCTATGAACATACTAAAAACCACTGAATTGCACAGTTAAAATGAGTTTTAATTATACCTCCATAAAACTGTAGGAAAAAAAAACCCACTCTAATGGACTAAACCACAAATACGTTCAAATTTGTGAGTTATTATCAAATGTTTATTGGTCATTTTGGAGCATGCTAGGGATCTGTCAACTCTCTCTCTGGGTAACCAAAGTTATGAGATAAAGTTTCTCTTTATAGAAGTATTACAATTAATAAATTAAGAAATAGAATATTACCATTTTTGAAACCCTAAATAAATTAATGGATCTAAGCAAGGATCAATAGCCACTAACACCACAAAAAGAGAGACAACCAGAATTGATGTTTCCTGATGAAAGTTTACACCACCACCCATAGGTAGTTTGCCAAAAACAAATCTGCAAGGAAAAGAACCACAGAGAACTTACAGAGTAAAAGACTAGAAACTTTTCAAACAAAGGCAATGGAAAGACTTTGTGGATCCTGATCCAAAGAAAATTAGGAAAATTTGAACACAGATTGAATACTTGACATTAAAGACTTGTTTAAAAAAATTTAGGGCAATTATACTACCGTAGCTATGCTTTAAAAAAATTAAGAGTCTATAATTTATAAAATAATATGATGCCTGGGATTTGCTTTAAAATAAGATGGAGTGAGGCTGGGCGCGATGGCTCACACCTGTAATCCCAGCACTTTGAGAGGCTGAGGTGGGTGGATCACCTGAGATCAGGAGTTCAAGACCAGCCTGACCAACATAGTGAAACTCCATTTCTACTAAAAACACAAAATTAGCTGAGTGTGGTGGCACATGTCTGTAATCCCAGCTACTTGGGAGGCTGAGGCAGGAGAATCACTTGAACCCGGGAGGCGGGGGTTGCAGTGAGCCGAGATTGCACCATTGCACTCCAGCCTGGGCAATGAGAACAAAACTCCGTCTCAAAAAATAAAAAATAAAAAATAAAAAATAAGTAAGATGGAGTGAACACATGAATAACAAGAAAGAGGAACAGCCTTGATATAGTTTGGCTCTGTGTCTCTACACAAATCTCATGTCAAATTGTAATCCCCACATCAGCAGAGGGATGAGGTGGGAGGTCACTGGGTCATGGGGGTGGTTCACCCACGCTGTTCTGATAGTTTGTGAGTTCTCACGAGAGCTGATGGTTTTAAAGTGTGGCACTTCCTCGTTCTCGCAGACATTCCCTCCTGCCACCTTGTGAAGAAGGTGCCTGCTTCCCCTTCACCTTCCACCATGATTGTAAGTTTCCTGAGCCCTCGTTATGCTTCCTGTTAAGCCTGTGGAACTGTGAATCAAACTTCTTTCCTTTATATACCCGGTCTCAGGTAGTATTCTTTATAGCAGTGTGAAATGGACTAATACAGTAAATTGGTACCACAGAGAGTGGGGTACTGCTATAAAGATACTTGAAAATGTGGAAGCAACTTTGGAACTGGGTAGTGGGCAGAGGTTGGAACAGTTTGGAGGAGGGCTCAGAAGAAAACAGTAAGATGTAGCAAAGTTTGGAGCTTCCTAGAGACTTGCACTATTTTGACCAAAATGCTGATAGTGAGGTGAACAATGAAGTCCAGGCTGAAGTGGTCTCAGACGGAGACAAAGAACTTATTGGGACTAAAGTAAAGGTCACTCATGCTATGCTTTAGCAGAGACTGGCAGCATTCTGCCCCTGCCCTAGAGATCTGTGGAAGTTTGAACTTGACAGAGATCATTTAGGGTATTTGGCAGAAGAAATTTCTAAGCAGCAAAGCATTCAAGACATGACCTGGGTTATTCTGAAAGCATTCAGTTTTATGCATTCAGAAAGAAATCATTTGAAATTGGGACTTATGTTTAAAAGTGAAACAAAGAATAAAAGTTTGGGAAATGTGTAGCCTGACAATGGGATAGAAAAGAAAAAAACATTTTCTGGGGAGAAATTCAAGCTGGCTGCTAATCACCAAGACAATAGAGAAAATGTCGTCAGGGCATGTCAGAGATCTTGGCGACAGCCCCTCTCATCACAGACTCAGAGGCTTAGGAGGAAAAAGCTAAAAGGGGCTAAGGTACAGCTTGGGCCATTGCTTCAGAGGGTTCAAGCCCCAAGCCTTGGCAGCTTCCACGTGGTGTTGGGCCTGCAGGTGCACAGAAGTCAATAATTGAATCTCTGTCTAGATTTCAGAGGACATATGGAAATGCCTGGATGCCCAGGCAGAAGTCTGCTGCAGGGGTGGAGCCCTCATGGAGAACCTGTGCTAGGGCCATGCAAAGGGGAAATGTGGGGCTGGGGCCCCCACACAGAGTCTGCACCGGGGCACTGCCTAGTGGAGCTGTGAGGAGTGGGCCACTGTTCTCCAGACCCCAGAAGGGTAGATCCACCAATAGCTTGCACCATGTACCTGGAAAAGCCACAGGCACTCAATGCCAGTCCATGAAGGAGCTGCCCAAGGCTATGGGATCCCACCCCTTGCATCGGCATGCCCTGGATGTGAGACACAGAGTCAAAGGAGATTATTTTGGAGCTTTAAAATTTAGTGACAGCCCGGCTGAATTTCAGACTTTAATGGGGTCTGTAGCCCCTTTGTTTTGGACAATTTCTCCCATTTGGAATGGGAACATTTGCCCAATGCCTGTATCCCCATTGTATCTTGGAAGTAACTAACTTGCTTTTGATTTTATAGGCTTATAGGTGGAAGAGACTTGTCTCAGATGAGACTTTGGACTTGGGACTCTTGAGTTAATACTGGAATGGGTTAAGACTTTGGGGGATAGTTGGGAAGGCATGATTATTTTGCAATGTGAGGACAAGAGATCTGGGAGGGGCCAAGAGTGAAATAATACAGTTTGGCTCTGTGTCCCCACCCAAATCTCATCTCAAATTGTAATACCCACATGTCATGGGAGAGACCACGTGGGAGGTGATCAGATCATGGGGGTGGCTCCCCTCATGCTGTTCTCATGATAGTTCTCACGAGACCTGATGGTTTTGAAGTGTGGCACTTCCTTGCTGTTGCACACACTTCCTCCTGCCAACTTGTGAAGAAGATGCCTGCTTCCCCTTTGCCTTTCACCATGATTCTAAGTTTCCTGAGGCCTCCCAGCCATGCTTCCTGGTAAGCCTGTGGAACTGTGAGTCAATTAAACCTCTTTCCTTTATAATTACCCAGTCTCAGGTAATATTCTTTACAGCAGTGTGAGAACAGATTAATACAAGCCTCATTTCTTTCTTTTTTTTTTTAAGATGGAGTTTCGCTCTTATTGCTCAGGCTAGAGTGCAATGGCATGATCTCAGCTCACTGCAACCTCCACCTCCTGGGTTCAAGAGATTCTCCTGCCTCAGCCTCCCAAGTAGCTGGGATTACAGGCATGCGCCACCGCACCCGACTAATTTTGTATTTTTAGTAGAGACGGGCTTTCACCATGTTGGTCAGGCTGGTCTCGAACTCCCGACCTCAGGTGATCCATCTGCCTCAGCCTCCCAAAGTGCTGGGATTACAGGAGTGAGCCACCACGCCCAGCTTGCAAGCCTCATTTCTGAGATGGAGAAAGTTTTAGTGGTCTGAATAGAAGATCATACCAACCACAACATTCTCTTTAGCCAAAACCCAATCCAGAGCAAGGCCCTGGATTTTATGAAGTTTGTGAGAGGTGAGGAAGCTGCAGAAGAAAAATTTGAAGGTAGCAGAGGTTGGTTCATGAAGTTTACAGAAAGAAGCCATCCCCATAACATAAAAGTGCAAGGTAAAGCAGTGAGTGCTGATGAAAAAGCTGCAGCAAGTTACCTAGATGCTAAGATAATTGATGAAGGTGGCTATACTAAACAGCAGATTTTAGGTGTAGACAAAAGAGCCTTCTATTGGAAGATGATGCCATCTAGGACTTTCATAGCTGGAGACAAGTCAATGACTGGCTTCAAAGCTTCAAAGGACAGGCTGACTCTTGTTAGCAGCTAACGTACCTAGTGACTTTAAGTTGAGGCCAATACTAATTTACAATCACAAAAATCTTAGGGCTCTTAAGAATTATGCTAAATCTACTCTGCCTGTGCTCTATAAATGGAACAACAAAGCCTAGATGACAGAACATCTGTTTACTGCATAGTTTACTGAATATTTTAAGGCCACTATTGAGACCTTCTGCTCAGAAAAATAGATTCCTTTGAAAATATTACTGCTCATTTGCAATGTACCTAGTCACCCAAGAGCTCTGATGGGAATGTACAAAGAGATTAATGTTGTTTCCATGCCTACTGACATAACATGTATTCTGCAGCCCATGGATCAAGGAGTCATTTCAACTTTCAAGTCTTATTATTTAAGAAATACATTTGATAAGGCAATAGCTACCATAGTGATTCCTCTGATGGGTCTGGGAAAAATCTATTGAAAACCTTCTGGAAAGGATTCACGATTCTATATGCCATTAAGAACAGTCATGGGGAGAGGTAAAAATATCAACATTAACAGGAGTTTGGAAGAAGTTGATTCCAACCCTCATGCATGACTGAAATGTTCAAGACTTCTGTGGAGGAAGTAACTACAGATGTGGTAGAAACAGCAAGAGGACTAGAATTAGACATGGATCCTGAAGATGTGACTAAATTGCTCCAATCTCATAATAAAACTTGAACAGATGAGGAGCTGCTTCTTATGATGAGAAAGTGGTTACTTGGCCGGGCGTGGTGGCTCACGCCTGTAATCCCAGCACTTTGGGAGGCCAAGGTGGGAGGATGGCTTGAGCCCAGGAGTTCAAGACCAGCATGGGCAACATGGTGAGACCCTGTCTCAAAATAACTGATTAGTTTATTAATTAATTTTTTTAAAAAATAAGTTTCTTTCTTTTTTGTTTTTAAGAGCTAAGGTCTCACTATGTTGCCCAGGCTGGCCTTGAACTCCTGGGCCCAAGCAATCCTCCCATCTCGGCCTCCGAAGTAGCTAGGACCACAGGTGCATGCCACCACACCCAGCAGAAAGCGGTTTCTTGAGATGGAATCTACTATTGGTAAAGATGCTGTGAACATTGTTGAAATGACAACAAGGGACTTAGAATATAACATAATCTTAATTTATAAAACAGTAGCACAGTTTGAAAGGACTGACTCCAATTTTGAAATAAGTTCCTCTGTGGGTTAAATACTATCAAACATCATCGCATACTACAGAAAAATCTTTGGGTAAGGGAGGGTCAATAAATGCAGCAAACTTCATTGTTTAAGAAATTGCCACAGCTACTCCAACCTTGAGCAGCCGCCAGATGAGTCAGCAGCCATCAATACTGAGGCAAGACCATAGCTGGGTGCAGTGGTTCACACCCCTAATCCCAACTACTCAGGAGGCTAAGGCAGGAGGACTGCTTGAGGCCAAGAATTCAAGGCCAGCTTGAGGGCAACATAATGAGATTCCATCCCTTAAAAAAAATAAAAAAATAAAAAATAAAAAATGAGCTGGGCATGGTGGCATGTGCCTGTAATCCTAGCTACTTGGGAGACTGATGCAGGAGGAACGCATGCACCCAGGAGTTCGATGCTGCAGTGAGCTATGATAGCACCACTGCACTCCAGCCTGGGCAACAGTACCAGACCCCATCTCCCTTAAACAAAAATTATTATTGAGGCAAGACCTTATACCAGCAAAAAGATTATGACTCACTGAGGGCTCAGATGATCCTTAACATTTTTTAGCAATAACGTATTTTTAAATTAAGGTCTGTACATTTTTAAAAGACATGACGCTACTGCAAAGTTAACAGACTACAGTACAGTGCAAACATAACTTTTATATGCATTGGGAAACAAAAACTTTGTGTGACTCGCTTTGAGGTGGTCTGGAACTGAACGTGAACCCATAGTATCTCCAAAGTATGCCTGTAATACTTTAGCCAATTTAAAAATATCCCCAAACTAGTAACAGTGATAGAGAGGATTTGGAGAGCATGAGCAAAAGAGCTTACCTAAAGTGGGAAAAACCCCACAAAAAAGTGCCAGTTATTCCACAAGGTCTAAATTGATTTTAGTTGATCATCTTTCTTCCCTTCTTTTGGAGACAGGGGTCTTGTTCTGTCACCTAGGCTGGAGTGCAGTGGCATAATCACAGCTCACTGTAGCCTCTACCTCCTGGGCTCAAGAGATCCTCTCACCTCAGTCTCCTGAGTAGCTGGGACTACAGGCACGTGCCACCACACCCAGCTAACTTTTGTGTTTTTAGAAGACAGGATCTTGCCATGTTGCCCAGGCTAATCTCAAGTTCCTGGGCTCAAGGCCTTGGCCTCCCAAAGTGCTGGGATTACAGGCATAAGCCACTGTACCGAGCCTTTTTCACTTTTAGTAAGGGAATTCCTAAGCACCCGCAGCCTTATTCACTTTGGCACTTCAACAAGTTGCTGGTTTCAAGTAATCTAAAGGAAAATGGTAATTTGTCAAGCCTGGGATGCACTGTAGTAGAAACACTAATGTAAATAAAACTTACTAACCAATGAAACTACAGAGGAAGAAGAGAACAAAATATTTTCTGACAAGAGAAGTTCTAGAAATTCAATTTTGCAAGTAAATTTATATTTAAGGGAATCACACACAATTAAAAATGCAAATTTTAAAAAAGATATAACAGTTGACCTTGAGGTAGGAGAATCACTTGAATTCACTTGAATCACTCCAACTCGGGAGGTGGAGGTTGCAGTGAGCCGAGATCGCGCCACTACACTCCCACCTGGGCAACAGAACAAGACCCCGTCTCAAAAAAAAGTAAAAAGCAAAGGAGGCCAGGCACAGTGGCTCACGCCTGTAATTCCAACACTTTGGGAGGCCAGGGTAGGTGATCACCTGAAGTCAGGAGTTTGAGATCAGCCTGGACAACATGGTGAAACCCCGTCTCTACTAAAAATATAAAAATTAGCCAGGTGTGGTGGCACGCACCTGTAATCCCAGCTACTCGGGAGCCTGAGGCAGGAGAATTGCTTGAACCCAGGAGGCGGAAGTTGCAGTGAGCCAAGATCATGCCACTGTACTCCAGTCTGGGTGACAGAGCGAGATTCCATCTCAAAAAAAGAAAAAAAAATAAAAGAGAGAGAAAAAAGAAAAAGCAGAGGAAAAGACAAATTTGCCACGGTTTTAAAAATCAATTTATGTAAAAAGCACACTATAAGTGACATCTGAAGGACCTATAACAAGCTGAGAAATAAAAGTCTGCCGCACAACAAAGGATACTTTCTCTTTTTTTTTTTTTTTTTTTTTTTGAGATGGAGTTTTGCTCTTGTCGCCCAGGCTGGAGTGCAATGGCACGATCTCGGCTCACTGCAACCTCCACCTCCCAGGTTCAAGCAATTCTCCTGCCTCAGCCTCCCAAGTAGCTGGGATTACAGGCATGCACCATGACGCCCGGCTAATTTTTTGTATTTTTAGTAGAGAAGGGGTTTCTCCATGTTGATCAGGCTGGTCTCGAACTCCCGACCTTGGGTGATCCACACGCCTCAGCCTCCCAAAGTGCTGGGATTACAGGCTTGAGTCACCAGACCTGGCTAGGATACATTCTTAATAAAGAGTTCTTAAGATCAAGAAAAAGATCAACAATCTAATATTAAAAATGGGCAAAAAATTCAAAATTACAACAAGGTATTTTATAGATTACCAGATTTGGCAAGATTTTTCAAGTAATATTACCTAGTTCTGGTGGCTTCACAGGAGATACAAGAACACTCCCATTTCCACTGCTTTGCCTAGAGCAGTCCTCTTCCAAGTCTTTGTTCAAATGTCACCTTTTCAGTGTGGCCTCCATCACCCTATTTAAAACTGTAACCTTATCTCCATTTCTCAACCCCCACTTATCTTTCTCTTTTTTCTCCACCTATCACCTAATATACTATTTAATTTACTTATTTATGTCTATTGTTTATTCTGTCTTTCCTCCCACTATAATAATATAGTAGCCAACGGGACAGGAATGTTTTTCTTTCACTGCTGAATCCCGAATATGGAAAACAATGCTTGGGACAGGGTGGGAGATCAAAAACTATTTGTTTAATGAATAAGAGTTAAACTAGTTAAATCCTTTTTTTTTTTTGAAACGGAACTTTGCTTTGTTGCCCAGGCTAGAGTGCAGTGGTACGATGTTGGCTCACTACAATCTCCACCTCCCGGGTTCAAGCGATTCTCCTGCCTCAGCCTCCTGTGTGGCTGGGATTACAGGCACCTGCCACCACACCTGGCTAATTTTTGTATTTCCAGAAGCAGGGTTTCACTGTATTGACCAGGCTGGTCTTGAACTCCTGACCTCAAGTGATCCCCCTGCCTCAGCCTCCCAAAGTGCCAGGATTACAGGCTTGAGCCACTGTGCCCGGCCAAACCTGTTAAATCTTGCTGGAGGAAGGCCGGGTATGGCGGCTTACATCTGTAATCCTGGCACTTTGGGAGGCTGAGGCGGGCAGAACGCGACGTCAGGAGATCGAGACCATCTCGGCTAACACAGTTAAACCTCGTCTCTACTAAAAATGCAAAAACAAAATTAGCCAGGCATGGTGGCGGGCGCCTGTAGTCCCGGCTACTCGGGAGGCTGAGGCAGGAGAATGGCATGAACCCGGGAGGGGGAGCTTGCAGTGAGCCGAGATCACGCCACTGCACTCCAGCCTGGACGACAGAGCAAGACACCGTCTCAAAAAAAAAAAAAAAAAAGAAAAATCTTGCTGGACAAAATTTTGACAAAATGAACTAAAAATATTTTAAATGTATATACCATTCGAAGTATTTATCCTAAGGAAATAATCACTGATGTAAGCAATGATTTGTCCAAAAGATTATTCACTATAGCTGTGAATTAATTGTGAAAAACTGGAAACAGCCCATAGTGGAATATTTAATACACGAAAAATACTCATGATAATGTTAACTAGGGAAAAGTATGCCCAGTGATTCCATTTTTGTCTTTAAAGGTATATACAGGCCAGGTGCGGTGGCTCACGCCTGTAAGCCTAGCACTTTGGGAGGCCGAGGTGGGCGGATCATGAGGTCAGGAGATGGAGACCATTCTGGCTAACACGGTGAAATCCCGTCTCTACTAAAAATACAAAAAATTAGTGGGGCGTGGTGGCACACACCTGTAGTCCCAGCTACTCTGGAGGCTGAGGCAGGAGAATCACTTGAACCCAGGAGGCGGAGGTTGCAGAGAGCCGAGATTGCACCACTGAACTCCAGCCTGGGCGACAGAACGAGACTCTGTCTCAAAAACAAAAAAAAAAAAAAATATATACACACACACACACACACACACACACACACACACACACACACACACGTTTATTAATAAAAATTAAAATAAATTATGGTTGGCTGGACACAGTGGTATGTGCCTGTAATCCCAGCTACTCGAGAAACTGAGACAGGAGAATCGCTTGAACCCAGGAGGCTGAGGTTGCAGTGAGCTGAGATCTCACCACTGCACTCCAGACTGGATGACAAGAGCGAAGACTCTGCCTCAAATAAATAAATAAATAAATTAATTAATTAATTAATTAAATTATGGCATATCAACTTAATGGAATGCTAGATGAGGTTCTCTTTCTGTCCTGACATGGAACTATTTCTAAGACTCAGTGAAAAAGGCAGACCCTAAAAAAAATAGTAAGGCTGCACTATATGGAATATAGAACCAATTTCCAAGGTGCACTGCTAAGTGTAAAAAGCATCAAATACTATTTCATTTTTTAAATTGTTTCAAATTTACTGGCTCTACTTCCTACTGAATAAAAATGTTAGATATTTAAGTATTTTCTCTTGTAAATTTTTTTTTTAATTTGTGGCCAAATTCAAGTAAATTTTCAATATATCTCCCAAATGACTCCACAAATCAGTGTTAGAGCTGAATTAATTTTACTACCAAATGTATACTAAATCCATAATTATTTAACTGCAAATAAAGTGAAAATTACTGTCCAAACCAGCTTCCTAAGGTAAGTAATAAAATCAGTAAGTATGAAATCCATTCTGGAATTATGTTCCATAGAAACAACTTCAAAAACAGACATATAGGTCAGGCACGGTAGCTCACACCTGTAATACCAGCACTATGAGAGGCCAAGGCAGGTGGATCACTCGAGGTCGAGTTTGAGACCAGCCTGGCCAACATGGTGAAACCCTGTCTCTACCCCGAAAAATACAAAAATTAGCCGGGCGTGGTGGCAGGTGCTTGTAATCTCAGCTACTTGGGAGGCTGAGGCAGGAGAATGGCTTGAGCCCGGGAGGCAGAGGTTGCAGTGAGCTGAGAATGCGCCACTGCACTCCAGCCCGGGTGACAGAGTGAGACTCTGTCTCAAAAAACAAAACAAAACAAAACAAAAACAGACACACACTGTTAAATTATAAAAGCTTATGACAAACAAATAAAGGCTCACAGCTATTGGTATAAACACTGAAAACAAATGTTCAGAGGGAGATAGATGATTGTGCTGTTTCATAGACACAGGACAGTATGTCATGAAAGGGCACCCAAACCCCCAAGCATCCAGAGGTCTCTCATTCAGAAGCCTCTTTCAACTCAGCTTCTACCTTACCTGTTGTAAGACACACCAAAAGCACTGTCACTTAGAAACACATGATTGGTAGCCAGGGCTTTGGGTATGTCAGACCTGGGTTCAAATCCCAGCTTTGCAATTTTCTAGGGGAGTAATCTGACAAACCTCAATTCTCTTATCTGTAAAGTAAAATGGAGATCATCACCAACTAGTTAATGTTAGTAAATAAAAGCACAGCGTCCACAAAAGTAAAATGAAGAATTGTCTAAATAAGAAAATTTAAAATCCCAAAGTCAAATACTCCAGCACAGTGAAAAGAACCCAAAGGAAATCCACTCTAACAAACACAGAGCTGGAAAGGGACCCTGAATTCCAAGTTTTGGTTCTTCTGTCACCAGCTTCAAGACCCTGGGTTTAAGATCTGCAGTACCAGGGGACTGAAAATCCCTTCTGCCTGTGACACAACACGACTAAATTACTAAGGATGCTATTTACTGTAACAGTTCCAAAACTTTCTAAAATTTTCATTTAAACGCTTTGTTTTTATATCTTTAGGTCCTGATCAGTTTTCACTATGACTGAACTGCCAGTCAGGATATATACATAAGACTGTTTCCTTAACTAACTTGTCTAAGGTCAGATTGCTAAAAAGTAGCAAAATCAGAATTCAAAACCACATCTATCTCCAAAGACCAAACTCTATGGCATGCTTCTTCCTCAAATCTTCTTCCTGACTCACCTCCTGTAACTAGCAGCTTGCCTTAGCAAAGTAAATGGAAGTCATCAGGAGTGCAGTCAGAAGTCATGGAACAGAGTCAAGTTACCTTAGTTGAGGCTTGAACTTCTAACACAGTACTCTAACCAACTTAATTAGACATTTCAGCTACTTAAAAGGAGGCTGGGATACAAACAAAAGAAAAGAAAGACAGAAAGAAAGACAAAAAGGAAGAAAGAAAAAGAGCAAGGTGCAGTGGCTCATGCCTGTAATCCCAGCACTTTGGGAGGCTGAGGCAGGCGGATTACCTGAGCTCAGGAGTTCGAGACCAGCCTGGGCAACATGGCGAAACTCTCTCTCTACAAAAAATACAAAAATTAACCAGGCGTAGTGGCACACGCCTGTAGTCCCAGCTACTTGGGGGGCTGAGGCAAGAGAATTGCTTGAATCTGGTAGGTGGAGGTTGCAGTGAGCCGAGATCGCACCATTGCACTGCAGCCTGGGCAACAGGCTTTCTTTTTGCCTCAAAAAGAAAAAGAAAAAAAAGGTAGGTAAATTCAAAAACAAACAAACAAAAAAAACTTATTAATTGGAAACAAATCCAAAAATAAAACACCTCTGAAGTTACAAGGAAATGGGGGCAGTTCATTCACGCATATTTTCAGGATTCAAAGTTGTTCAAGATGAAATATTCAGTAAAATGACTGCTAGATTATCTATAATCCATACTTGCAAACAATTAACACAAATAACTCTAAGTTATCCATAGTAGTGAATGGGGTAACAGATACACATCTGACTTTAGAAATAAAGCATATGGTCTAAATAGATAATCGAAAGTAACAGATTTCTGGTGCTTAAAGTATATCATCTATATACATTTACCCCTCAAATTACAGCTTGATTTGGGCTAATCTCAAATTAATTTCTAAGTGGTAAGAGAGATCTGGACAAATAGTCTGAGAGACCAGGATTTCTAAAAAATACAGAGTAATATAATAAAAACTGCAACTTCCTTGTATCAATAGAAAAGAACGTTTTAACACATTCTCATCAATTCCACAAAGAATAACTAAACTAGGCACAGAAAAGTAACATTTCAAGTCCTACTGCACACTAGAACCAAGTTAGCACCTTGCTGTTTCTATTAAACGATCTAGGATTAAAAACTGGTTTTGAATAATCCCATATATGGATAATCCAAAGGTAAACAGACACACACAAACTCTCATTTACAAGACTTCGTCACCAAGCACTTACAAAATACATTTCATAAGACAGAAGAGAAAATGGAGCAAGAGGTGAGGTCACCTACCACTTTAGTTCTATTGAAAGAGAGAAGTCATTATGTGCTCTCCCCAAACAGTAGGTAGCCTCCAAAAACAACACACACCCCTACACCCCCCTAATCTGGTATTGTCATTCAGTGGGGTGACCTAGGAAGGCCTTTGAAATGTGTTGTATCAGCTCAGAGGGAATTAGACCGCATACGATGCCACAAAACATCAAATAAATGTAAAACTATAAAGATAATACATCTAAAATTAAGATGTATTAATAACTAGGCATACAAGCTCTCTCTGAATACAAAGTGTGTAAGAGCTGATTTCCAAGATCCTTTGCAATTAAACGTTAGTACATGATGAAAGTTCTTAAGGCTTAGCCTCACTTGCTGCTAAGCCTGCTACCTGAGTTTCTACTAGGCTGTGACCAACTTTTGAACTTGCCACGATAGCACTAAACTACTGTTATGCATCCTACTGATAAAACTGGACATGTGGCGCTTAATACGCCAAACCAGAATCATCAATGTTTGTTAAAGAACTCTCCCGTTACTATTGTGATGTCCACTCCGGAAGATTATCTGCATCTGGTTGAGGTTTAGACAGAAGAGAAGCAGTTAACAGACACCGACTGTATACACAGCGGTCTGCCGGCACACTGCAAAAAAGCCGATACGCCTTACAGGCTCAGGAAGTTGACTAACCCAGGGAAAAGCCCCATGCCCTCCTCTATGAAAGGGAGTGTGTGGTTGGTAGAACCCAAAGTAAACACGGAAAAATTCATTCAAGAATTTCCTTAAGGCCTACCGTGAAGACGTCGGAGGCAAGTTAAGACGTTGGGGAGCAGGTAAGAGAGACCAGAGTTCAGAAACAGACCGATAATGATCTACCAGCTCCGGTGGGGAGGTCCAAGCTAGGGGAGTTTGTGCCTCCTCTGTGGAGTTGGGGAGGAAAGGTACCGGGCGGGCTCTGGTCCTCCTCCGACAGCCCTTTCCAGCAGGCCCGGGGCTGCTAAGACCCAGGCCTGGCGTTGAGCAACAGCAGCTCTCTTCCACATGGTTGCTGGAGAGCGACCCTCCGAGCTGCCCCGAGGCCATGTGGCTGCAGCCACAGGGTGCCCAAACCCGGTGCACGTTCAAGACGTGAAACCAGAGCAGAGAAGGTGCCGGAGGAAAATCCAAAGAATGGGATGTTGGGGTACAAGACTCACTTCCTTTGGGCTTTGTCCTTCTTGGCCTTGGTCCTTTTCTTTCGGGCCTGGAGCGCAAGCACTGCAGGAGAGAGGGATGGATGAAGGGCGAATGTGGAGGAAAGGAGGCGACCAAGGTGAGGGTGGAGACCCAGCAGGGGCGCCAGGCCCGGCTGCGGGGCCTGCCTCGGGGGCGGCTGCGGGCTCCGGCGAGGCGGCCGGCCGTGGGGCTGGCGGCCCACGGGGCGCAGAGCAGCGCCCGGGCGGGATGCGCCGGAGGGGTCTCAGGCCGGGTCAGGGGGCGGGCGGGTGGGGGTCTGCGTCGCCCGCCAAGGGCCGGGCCCTGGAGTGGCCCCAAGGCGCGAGCCGGCCTGGCGGGGAACAAGGGGCGGCTACGGCCGGCGCCAGAGGACGCCCGGACTGAGGGGCGCGGACCCGCAGCCCAGAGGCAGGGGGTGTGGGGCGGCGCCACCTCAGTGGAGGGGCGCCGCACGTCCGGGAACCGAACCGCGGCAGTTAAGCGAAGCTCCCGGCGCTGACCCGGGCCTCGCCCCGGCGACCATTGCCCCTCGTGGCGGAGGCCGCTCCACCGCTCACCTTTCCGCTCCATGGTGAGACCGGTAATCGCCAGGCGCCTGCGCACTCGAGTGGCGGCGACTCCCGCTCCCGCCGCGGCCCAAAACCGAGCCCGCTCACACTCCGCCCTCAGTCCCGCCCCACCCCCGCCCCACGATGCCGCGCGCTTGCGCGTTGGGCGCGGAGCCTACCACCTGCTCCCGAGGAGGGGGCGGCAAGGAGAGGGAGGGGGCGCAGCGGGGAGGAACGCCGGGGTGAACGTTGAAGGAGTGTTAGAGATCCAAGCTTGGAAACCTGGCAAGGTTAGTTTTGTTCTATTTGTTTAGAAAAGGCGCAGAGAGCGGCAGGGCTCTCTGCATGCTGCTGAGTCAGAGCTTCGGAGGCAACTGGGATCTGCCTCAGTTTCCTGGCCTGTAAAATGGATTAATCAGGCATGTCCCAGTTTCTCCTTCCCTGAGCTATTGTGAGCCCAGTTGAGATACTATTTAAAGAAAATGGAAAAAAATTACATGTGAGAAAGAAAAGGGAGTGGGAGCAACACAAAAAGACTGGAAGGAAAGAACCTGTGACCCTATTATCACTTGAAAAGTAAAAACTTCAAAAGTGAATTTTCTCTTGAAATTTCAAGTTTAAGTGAAAGCTGTAAAGGAAAGAAGGGGAAATGAGAATAAAAACGTTTAATGTTTTCTTATTCTACCACCTTCAATACATGATAAAGCTGTCTTGTTTATAAGTTTTTTTTGTTTTTATTTTCTAAGTGCATTATCTCATTTGATGTTTATGGCAACTTAAAGGCAAAATAGTTATTACTTCCATTACACAAAGACACTAAACTTAAGAGGGCCTGCCTATATGTTCAGAATCTTGGTGTACGACCCAGTTATTTAATCATGAAGCCCTTATTGTATAGCAGGCTCAGCAAAGTTTTTCTTTGGGCCGTACAGTAAATATTTAGGCTTTGTGGACCATAAGATCTCTTTCTCAGCTACTCAACTCTGCCATTGGAGCTCAAAAGCAGTCATAGAAAATATGGGCTGTGTTCCTATAAAGATTTATGTATGGACACTGAAATTTGAATTTCATATAATTTTCACGTCATAAAATGTTCTTCTATTGATTTAAACATGGTCTTTGTTAGGTTTTGAAGGGAAGGTGAGGGTTAAAGAAAGACAGAGAGAGCAGTCTTGCTCTGCTGCCTAGGCCGGAGTACAGTGGCATGATCTCGGCTCACTGCAGCCTGGACATCCAGGGCTCAAGTGATCCTCCCACCTCAGCCTCCCAAGGTGCTGGAATTACAGGTGTGAGCCACTGAGCCAGGCCCTTTTGATCTTTTTTCAACCGTTTCAACGGTTATTCTTATTTCAGATCTTAGTTTACCAACCCATGTTGTAAAGTACCGCAGCTGGACAGAGTGGAAGCTCTGAAGACCTTTGCTCTGAACAAGTAATTGAGAAGGGAAGATGAGAGGGCAATAGTACAGCACAAGTCAAGCATGGGGGCTTTGGCAGAACTTATTGAGCAAAGTAAGTAATTAAGCCCATCCAGAGAAGGCAGTTTTTGAGCTGGGTATTAGGAAATATGTAAGATTTCTATAGGTGGAGAAGGAGATGTCAGGCATTCCTGAATGAGAAAATACATTGAGCAAAAAGGCACAGACGTGGACACCTGTAGGTGGGGGCTAGGATTGGGGCTGGTAACAACTGAAGGGATGAAATGGAAGGTGAGGCTGGAAAGGCAGGTTAGCCAAATTTGAAATTTAGATAATTGATATATGTTGCATGGAACCTGAATGATAGCATGTCTGAGTATATTGCAAAAGAAGACAGTACCTGTTGGCCAAGGAAGGATGCAGCCCAGTCTATTCCCTGCTGTAAAGTTGAAAACAAAAGGAAGGTTAGGACAGACAGGGAAGCCCTAGACTCTGAGGGTTGTGTGAGTTCAGGATAACCGCGTGTGGTTTAGAAAAGACAGGGAGAGAGCTGATAGCTAGGAAAAATCCCAGAATTGGGAAAGTACTGCCCACCCCAAAGTAAACTGTTTGAGTGTAGAGACCCTGCTTAGGTTTTCCTTGATGTAAACTCAGTGCCTACACAGTGTTAGGCACTTAGTAGGTGCTCATATATTTGTCTAATAAAAGAATAAATGGGCCAGGCACAGTGGCTTATGCCTGTAATCCCAGCACTTTGGGAGGCCGAGGCGGGCAGATCACAAGGTTAAGAGATCGAGACCATCCTGGCCAACATGGTGAAACCTCATCTCTACTAAAAATACAAAAGTAGCCGGGCATGGTGGCACATGCCTGTAATCCCAGCTACTTGGGAGGCTGAGGCAGGAGAATCGCTTGAACCCGGGAGGCGGAGGTTGCAGTGAGCCGAGATTGCACCACTGCACTCCAGCCTGGGCAACAAGAGCAAAACTCCGTCTCAAAAGAAAAAAAAAAGAATAAATGATCTGCAGTTTATGAGAAATGTCAGGATGAAAGAGAGAGAAAACACTGAGAGGGACAATATTAGAGCTGTATTAAATCTGAATTGGTTATTGCAGACCCATCAAAAAGGAAATATGTTCAGCTTGGCATGATACAGTCGTACCTATCCTGACTCTGAGTAGGCTATTGCTTCTCTAAGAGCTTACTAACCATCTGTTTAATAACTCGTTTTCAGAATTTTTCCAGAGTCAATGTGAAGTTCACTGGACTGAGTTCCCAGAATTGACCATTTCTCTTTTTTTTCCATCTGTTTTTCTCTATTCCTCCATCATGCTTTGGCTCTCCACTTTTTCTAAGACCTCTATAACTGTTCATGTAAGCACGTTTGTTCATTTCCCCTATTCTACAACCATCCCCTTTTTGTGCATTTTGCTTGAAATGTAACTTTAAAAATAGTTTCTTCTCCCAAGTTTGCAGAGCTTGGCCTATTCTGGACTTTTAACTTTCCAGAATTTTTTTTTTTCTTTGACAGGGTCTCACTCTGTCACCCAGGCAGGAGCGCAGTGGCGAAATCTTTCCTCACTGCAACCCGGGCTCAAGCAATTTTTTCACCTCAGCCTCCCCAGTAGCTGGAACTACTACAGGCACATGCCACCATATCCACTTGATTTTTGTGTTTTTTATAGAGATGGGGTTTTGCCACATTGCCCAGGCTGGTTTGGAACTCCTGGGCTCAAACAATCTGCCCCCCTTAGGCTCCCCAGAAACTATTCTTAAAAGTGTTAGCAAAAAAAAAAAAAAAAAGTGTAGGCCAAGCACAGTGGCTCATGCCTGTAATCCCAACACTTAGGGAGGCAGAGGCAGGAGGATACCTTGAGCCTAAGAGTTAGAGACCTGCCTGGGCAATACAGCAAGACCCTTTTCTGCACAAAAAGGAAAAAAGAAAGACACAAAAAAAGTGGTAGCTATTCATTCTTACATGCATACCCCTTCTCCATCAGCTATTTTTTTCCTGCAAGTCCCTTTAAAAGTAGAGGTATTCGGAAACCATAACCCATCATATTTTTGGCTGCTCATGGTAGTCTCAGAATTTAATTTCTGAAAAGATCCTATCCCTTTTGAGCTAACTTACTTATTAAGACTCCCTGGAATCTTCTCTAATACTTCTTTGACATTTTAGAAATCTGAACGTCTAAAGTTGAGTTCACACGTTTCTTCATACCCAACATTGTCTGCCTTGATTATCACAAATTATTATGCTTTGTCTAAAGTTTTGATCTGACTTAAATCCAAAGCAACACATCCCTTTATGGCCTCCCCTACGTCTTGCGAGATGAAATGGACAACAGGAGAAAGTGAAAATACATGAGATGATTTATTTTGAATGAGTTAAGATTTCCAATAGCTGTCTGCATAATTGGAAAACCCCAAAAAAACTTTCTCTTACCTTTTGGATACATGGTTTTGTGAATTATATTGGGAAAATCTACATATTATAGGCCTGGGTATCAGGAAACACATGGCACATTTAAAGGCTAATTGAAGAGAATTTAATGAAGGAATAAAGGTGTTAAGGAAAACAAACAAGGGATAGTTAGACATCCAGGGACTAGCAACAGCTGGAGTTTTTACCATCTCTAGGCCTGAAGGGAGAAGAGGATGGAGGTGTTATCAGAACCCAGGGAGAGGTTTATTATTAACAATTTGCCAGGGGCCGGACGCGGTGGCTCACGCCTGTAATCCCAGCACTTTGGGAGGCCAAGACGGGTGGATCACCTGAGGTCAGGAGTTCAAGACCAGCCTGTTCAACATGATGAAACCCCGTCTCTACTAAAAATACAAAAAAAAAAAAAAAAAAATTAGCTGGGCATGGTGGCGGGCGCTTGTAATCCCAGCTACTTGGGAGACTGAGGCAGGAGAATCGCTTGAACCTGGGAGGCAGAGGTTGCAGTAAGCCGAGATTGCGCCACTGCACTCCAGCCTGGGCAACAAAAACAAAACTCTGTCTCAAAAAAAAAAAAAAAAAAGTTTTCCAGGGGCTGCCATAACAAAGTACCACAAACTGGGTAGCTTAAACAATAGAAAATTCTTGTCTCACAGGCTTAGAAGTCTGAAATCAAGGTATTGGCAGGGTTGGTTCCTTCTGAGGTCTGTGAGAGAGAATGTGTTTCAGGCCCTTCTCCTTGCCTTCTGGGTAACCATCATCTCCCTCGCCACATGCTCTTCCCTGTGCATCTGTCTCTCATTGTGTTGGGATTTCCCCTTTTTATACGGACACCAGTCATACTGCATTGGGCTTCATCCTAAAAACCTCATTTTAATTTGATTACCTCTGGAAAGACCCTGTTTCCAAGTAAGGACACATTCTGAGGTACTGGAGATTAGGACTCCAACATATCTTTTGTTGGGTGGGGGGCAAAATTCAACCCATAACAGAGCTGTAGTAAGAGAGGCCCGCCTGGCAGCAGCTGTGCCCTTTAATGAGCCCTGCAGGGAGAGGGCAGGGAAATAAAGACCCACATCTTCTCAAACGAGTGCCTCACCATTGACAAAACCCAGCTGGAAGTTAAATGGCAAGGAAGCCTGGGTGATGCAGTCCATACATGCCAGCCTCCCAGGGCATAAAGCAGGGTGGAGAAAGGTGGAGAGTGGATCTGGAGGGCCAAACAGAGAATATCCAGCATAGCCTGTCTGGGCAGTCAGACACCCAAAGCAGCTGGCATTTTCCAAGCAGGTAAATCTGCCTCTTGGGCACCCTGACCCCTGGAGAACCAATGCCACCTGGAGATGACCCCATTTCTGGCTTCATTCTATAAAAGCTTAAGTTTCACAAAGAAATTGTGCTGGGGTGAAAGATCCGGGGGCGTAGGTGGAGAAGATGAAAGAATAAAGGCCTTGGCTTGTTGGGGTGGGAATAAAGGCAGTAGCTAGGAGGGGAAGGGGATTCTCTAAGAATGAGGAGGTTAGAGATTGGTGATTCCTGAGCAGGTAGGGCCCTTGCTCTGCTCCCTGGAAGTGTTCTGGGTGGGAGCAAGGTGTTGCAAACTGACCTTAGCTGATCATGCCCAACTCTTAGCTTTTTTTGGTTGGGAGTGATGCCTGCCAGAGAAGCTTGACATGGTGAGGGTTTGCCTCCCTGGCAGGCCTACTCCCAGGACATAAAGAAAAGTTTCAGACTAAAATCTGCCACATGTAGGTTTGTTGCACACCCATTAGCAGGCAGGCACAAAACAGGTCCTATAACCTGTCCTGTAAGTTCTTTGAGGTCCCAGCTCTCTGTCCTTTTAGGTGCTCTGGCCACAGCATGAATGAAAGGTTTACTCACGGCAGGGACAACAATATCCCAGAGTCAGGACTCTCACCCTCACAGTCGGGATCAGGCAACTAGAGATGGAGTCTCCCTTATGTTTGTTATGCTGTTCCAAACCTGATTCACATCACAGGAGTTATCAGAAATGGGTTTTCACTGGTGAAAAGAGTTGCTTGTTAATTTGTGTAATGGATTTTAGAAAAGGGCTGTCATTGTCAAAATTTATGGCAGTCAATGACTCTGAATTACTTTGTTGTAGTCACTTTCTGAGTAGAATATTTACTAACCACTCTTGGAATGGAAATTGCTGATTAAAACACAAGCTGCACCTAGGTGTGTAAATAACTGGTGCCTACAAATGTCATCCTGTCTTTCCCAAAAGATTTAATATGCCCAAGTATTTTTTTTTTTTTTTTGAGATGGAGTCTTGCTCTGTCACCTAGGCTGGAGTGCAGTGGCACAATCTTGACTCACTGCAAGCTCCGCCTCCCGGGTTCATGCCATTCTCCTGCCTCAGCCTCCCGAGTAGCTGGGACTACAGGCGCCCACCACGACGCCCGGCTAATTTTTTGTATTTTTAGTAAAGACGGGGTTTCACTGTGTTAGCCAGGATCTCCTGACCTCGTGATCCACCCACCTTGGCCTCCCAAAGTGCTGGGATTACAGGCATGAGCCACGGTGCCCGGCCCCCAGGTATTTTTTTTAAGAAGTAGATTTATTTCTTTAAAATGCCAATTTAAAAAAAAAGCAATCTGGGAGTCCAAGACGAGGGGAATGTAAGAAAGTCTTACCGCACATCCCCTCTATGTGAGTTGCCAAAACAGAAACATGCTGGATCCTATCTAAGGTTCTAGAAGTCCCAGAAGAGCTTTCTTAAATATCCTTACCTAGAATATGCTTTCCTTGCCTTGATTCCAAGGATAGATGCCAAAGTATTTTAAGGTAAATTATAAATATAAGATTGGGGGCCCCTAAGAGGCTCCCAAGCCAGACAAAGATGCTCTGCTATACTTAGCATGTTCCAGGGGTCATGCAGACTTAGACAATAAAAATAATGAACTTAAGATCAAAAGTCTGACTAGGCACGGTGGCTCATGCCTGTAATCCCAGCACTTTGGAAGGCCAAGGCGGGCAGATCACCTGAGGTCAGGAGTTTGAGACCAGCCTGGCCAACATGGCAAAACCCTCTCTCTACTAAAAATACAAAAATTAGCCGGGCATGGTGGCTCATGTCTGTAATCCAAGCTACTTGGGAGGCTAAGGCAGGAGAACTGCTTGAACCTGGGAGACAGAGGTTTCAGGGAGCAGATGTCATACCACTGAACTCCAGCCTGGGTGACAGAGCGAGAATCCATCAAGATCAAAAGTCTTTACTGTTTCCTGAGCAGTGTGTAAACCTCCCAGACTCTTACGTGACCCTTGAGAGACAAGCTCTATAAGGACTGTGATTTAACTTCTCCATCATGGCAGGCTTGGGGGCACACTGAAGTCAATTTAGGAAATACATAGAAATGGACAACATGGCTTACACATTTGAGATCTGATTTCTACTGGCTATGCAATGTTAAATCCATTTTTTTGTTTCCTTCTTTCAAATACTTTCCACCATACTTACCCTCATGACAGACATTTACACTTCAGCCCTTAGGCTGTGAGAAGCAAAGAAGGAAAAAAATAGGCCTTGCTCTGTAGGATTTAATAGCTAACTCTTATATAACAATTACTGGCTGGGTGCGATGGCTCATGCCTGTAATCCCAACACTTTGGGAGGCCGAGGTGAGCAGATCACGAGGTCAGGAGTTGGAGACCAGCCTGACTAACATGGTGAAACCCCGTCTCTACTAAAAAAACAAAAATTAGCCAGGCATGGTGGCGCCCACCTGTAATCCCAGCTATACAGGAGGCTGAGGCAGGAGAATCGCTAGAACCCGGGAGGCGGAGGTTGCAGTGAGCTGAGGTCATGCCACTGCACTCGAACCTGGGTGACAGAGCGAGACTCCGTCTCAAACAAACAACAACAACAAAATTACTATTTACTAGTCACTGTTGTCCCACAACCCTGAAACCCTACAAGATAGGTACTATTCTTTTAATCTCTGACAGGAAAAAACTAAGGCACAACCAAGATCATGCAAGGTAATAAGAGGCAAGGTTTTGAATCTGGGAAGTCAGACTCTGGAATTCATACTCTCAGCCACACACTATATTACCTACCCAGTGTAGTGGGGGATGGATAGATAAGTAAGTAATTAAATACAATGTACAATGGTAGATGCAGAAGCTACCCTGGAAGCACAAGAAAAGAGGCCCCGTCAGCTCAGGATTTATAGAGAGGCAAGGAAAGAGGCATCTCTTGGATGAGTGACACCTGGACAGAGTTGGAAAGCATGAGTAGGTATCAGCTGCACACAAAAGGGAGGAAAGAAAACTCCAGTCAGAGAAAACAGCATGGTATCACAGAGGTATAAAATGTAAGGGGGCCAGGCACAGTGGCTCATGCCTGTAATCCCAGCACTTTGGGAGGCTGAGACGGGAGGATTGCTTGAGGTCAGGAGTTCAGGACCAGCCTGCGCAACAAACTGAGACCTTGTCTCTACAAAAAAAAAAAAAAAAAAAAAAAAATTTAAATAGCTGTGCATACTGGCAGGCACCTGGGGGCCCAGCTACTTGGGAGGCTGAGGCAGGAGGATTGCTTGAGCCCAGGAGGTTGTTGCAGTGACCCATAATTATGCCACTGTACTTCAGCTTGGGCGATAGAGTGAGACCCTCTCTCAAAACAAACAAAACATGTATATATATATACACACACACACACACACATATAATGCAAGCGGGGAGTGGTGAGAGATAGCTTGCCCACAAATATTTATGGGCCCCCTTCTTTTTTAGGCAGGTACTGTGTTTGGTGCTGGGGTAACAAATAGCAGGGATAGCACATCTAAGGAACTTGAACTTTCAAGCATTATGCTCCCTTACCCACTAAAATAATCTTAAAAACTAGCCCTAGGCAAAACACTCAACAAACCAGGAATGGAAAGGAATTTTCTCAACCTGATCAAGGTCATCTATGAAACACCCACAGCTAACATCATATTTAATGATGAAAGGCTGAATGCCCTCCCCCTAAGATCAGGAACCAGAGGAGGATGTCCACTCTCGCCATTCCTGTTCAGTACTGTGCTGGAGGTTCTAGCCAGAAACAATAGGCAAGAAAATTAAATAAAAGGCATACAGATTGGAAGGGAATTTGAAATTTTAAAATAAAGCTGTTATATCACAGTTTTGAATGTCATCCAATGGAATTTAAATATATATAGCAATTTGTTATGTACCATCATCCATTTATATAGAGAGATATATAAAGCAAAAGCACTCTTGGTACTATAATAAATTCTACATTACTCGTTTTTCTCCTTGAACTTGTCTTTCTATTCCATTTTGTTCTCACAGAAGTTTATCCTCTGCTAATTTTATGCTTGAAAGTCTTTTATCGATCATCCTTTCATACTTCTCTGCCACACAAATGTGCATTTATGTGGAAATTTAATTTGTAAAAACATTTCCTCGGACCATAATCCTTCGAAAAGTTCCTTACCTATTATTACAAGTATTATTATTGCATGATTAATCAAAGTAACATATAGCATCATTTTTCAATAAATGAAATTTTATTGCAAATGCATTTCAGTGTGATGGTATGTGATTTTTCTCAATGAGTCCTGCATCATTCTATTCCTTTTTTTTTTTTATTAAGAAAACTTACATAAAACAAGTAGATGGGAATGAAAAGGGGTTTGCTATAGCAATAGCATTCAGTTCTTTTGGAACTGTTTCCAAATAATGTGCCAAAAATCACACAACAATCATAGTCCAAACTCATTTTAATGACCCATCAGCTGACAATTCCAGGAGGTCCTTATTCAATTTTGTTGGAAACAAATAATTGGAAGCTACCTAACTTACAAAAAGATGTGTTACTTGGTCATTAAAGTTCCTTACTTTTTTAATCCAGACACCAGTATTTCAGTATATTCCTTCGAGTGGACCCCTGGGAGATTTATACACCCACTGGCAATGCACCTGAGATTCACTGGGGGAGGGAGAGAGGCGTTTGTTTTTGGTTGTTTGTTTGCTTGCTACTTTTGTCTGCTCCACCACACCTTGGAATGATAGCTCCATAAAGGCTGAGATGTTTGATTTTTGTTCACTGCTGTATCTCCAGGACATAGAAAGCTGTTGGATACCCTACCTACTTGATGCTTGATGAATGTATGTGGAATGTTATGAAAGAATGTAAAAACTACCTGTTTCTGGCTGTATGCTTTTGAGAGGTGACAGCGTGCTGGCAGTCCTCACAGCCCTCGCTTGCTCTCGGCGCTTCCTCTGCCTGGGCTCCCATTTTGGCGGCACTTGAGAAGCCCTTCAGCCCACCGCTGCACTGCGGGAGCCCCTTTGTGGGCCGGCCAAGACCGGAGCCGGCTCCCTCAGCTTGCAGGGAGGTGTGGAGGGAGAGGAGCGAGGGGGAACCGGGGCTGCACGCGGCGCTTTCGGGCCAGCTGGAGTTCCAGGTGGGCGTGGGCTTGGCGGGCCCTGCACTCGGAGCAGCCAGCCGGCCCTGCTGGCCCCGGACAATGAGGAGGGGCTTAGCACCCAGGCCAGCGGCTTCGGAGGGTGTACTGGTTCCCCCAGCAGTGCCAGCCCGCCGGCGCTGTGCTCGATTTCTCACCATGCCTTAGCTGTCTTCCTGCGGGGCAGGTCTCGGGACCAGCAGCCCGCCATGCCTGAGCCTCCCACCCCGTCCATGAGCTCCTGTGCCGCCCGAGCCTCCCCGATGAGTGCCGCCCCCTGCTCCAGGGCGCCCAGTCCCATCGACCACCCAAGGGCTGAGGAGTGTGGGCACACGGCACCAGACTGGCAGGCAGCTCCACCTGCAGCCCCAGTGCGGGATCCACTGGGTGAAGCCAGCTGGGCTCCTGAGTCTGGTGGGGACGTGGAGAATCTTTATATCTAGCTCAGGGATTGTAAATACACCAATTGGCACTCTGTATCTAGCTCAAGGTTTGTAAACACACCAATCAGCACCCTGTGTCTAGCTCAGGGTTTGTAAATGCACCAATCGACACTCTGTATCTAGCTACTCTGGTGGGGCCTTGGAGAACCTTTGTGTCCACACTCTGTATCTAGCTAATCTAAGTGGGGACATGGAGAACCTTTGTGTCTAGCTCAGGGATTGTAAACGCACCAATCAGCGCCCTGTCAAAACAGACCACTCGGCTCTACCAATCAGCAGGATGTGGGTGGAGCCTGATAAGAGAATAAAAGCAGGCTGCCGGAGCCAACAGTGGTAACGTGGTCGGGTCCCCTTCTGTACTGTGGAAGCTTTGTTCTTTCGCTCTTTGCAATAAATCTTGCTACTGCTCACTCTTTGGGTCCACACTGTTTTTATGAGCTGTAACACTCACCGCAAAGGTCTGCAGCTTCACTCCTGAAGCCAGCGAGACCACAAGCCCACTGGGAGGAATGAACAACTCCAGATGCGCCGCCTTAAGAGCTGCAACACTCACCGCGAAGGTCTGCAGCTTCACTCCTGAGCCAGTGAGACCACGAACCCACCAGAAGGAAGAAACTCCAAACACATCTGAACATCAGAAGGAACAAACTCCAGACGCGCCACCTTAAGAGCTGTAACACTCACGGCGAGGGTTGGCGGCTTCATTCCGGACGCACTTTGAGCGGGCAAAGAGACAGAGGCACCCAGTGCTGCACTGATTTGGGTTTCTCCGTCCAAAGGCACCAAAAGGTCACCTTTCTCCAAATCAAAGATGCAGCGTGGAGCAGAGAAAAGGCCTAATCTTTGGAATCCAACCTGGGTTTGAAGTCTGACAGTGACATTGAATAGCTGTAATTTTGGGGCAAACTCCTGGTCTTAGATTCTTCCCATGTGTAAAAAGAATAATTGGCCCTCCTTCCAGGAGAGGCAGAGGAGGAAGTGACCATGAAATATGATAATGCCCGTCAGGTATCTGCACCATTTCATGCACTCATTGGTGTGAGTTGTCCTTCATTCCAACTCTGCCTCTTTCCTCCTTGGTGGCACCACCCTTGCCTCTAACCAGCCCAGAAATTTATACTACTGGGTTCATCCTAAACCCTTGCTGCTGTAGATGCTAAGCAGCAGACAAAATGTTAGATTTAGCGGTTTTGGTGGAATCTAGGGCAGAGGGAAAATGTACCTTCATCTCCTCATTTAGAAAATGGGGGTAATAGGCTGGGTGTGGTGGCTCATGCCTGTAATCCAAGCACTTTGGGAGGCGGAGGCAGGTGGATCATCTGAGGTCAAGAGTTCGAGACCAGCCTGGCCAACATGGTGAAACCCCGTCTCTACTAAAAATACAAAAATTAGGCCCAGTGCTGTGGCTCACTCCTGTAATCCCAGAACTTTGGGAGGTTGAGGTGGGTGGATCACCTGAGGTCAGGAGTTCAAGACCAACCTGGCCAACATAATGAAACCCCGTCTCCACTAAAAATACAAAAATTAGCCAGGCATGGTGGTGCACGCCTATAATCCCAGCTACTCGGGAGGCTAAGGCAGAAGAATTGCTTGAATCAGGAGGCAGAGCTTGCAGTGAGCCGAGATCGCACCATTGCGCTCCTGCCTGGGTGACAGAGCAAGACTCCCTCTCAAAAAAAAAAAAAAAAATGGGGTAATAACAGCCCTACCTCAGGATTTTTGTGCAGGTTAATGTGTTGACTTTCATGAAGTGCTTTGAACAGAGCTTAACACACAGCCAAGGGTTGATAAATGGGTGTTATTCTATTTTGGCCTGCCTGTAGGCCGCTAATAAAAACACATGTGTTATCTAGAAGAGAGGGGGCAGCCCAGCATAATTGTGGAGTGAGAGAGTAGGAATTTTCTCAGATGCTCTGTCTCCTATGCATCCTTTATAACATGCATTGAGATCTCACAGAGGCAGATACTACAGGTGGAATGAAAACCAGTGGTCAAGTTTCAGGGGATGTAGCAGGTTAAGGGCACCGTGGGTATCTGTGACCAGAAGAGCCACATGCTTCCCTCAAGCCCCCTATCCACAGGACTTCCCCAATGCCCCCAGCAGAGGGTGAGGTAAAGTCCTGTCCTGCCTCCTCCATATCCTCACAGCCCTCTTCTCTGAAACAACTTGGTCAGTGCACCCAGCGTTATAGTCCCTGAGTTGCATGCACTCTCCCCCTCAGCCTGTGACTTCTTCCAGAGAAGGAACTCATGCTGTAAAACCCCAGACAGGCATAAGGCTGAGTACAAAGCAAGCACTCAAATATTCCTTAAGTGAAGAAATCTGGAGGTAAACTGCTGATGTCACAGGTTGGCCAAGGACAGCCTTCCCTGGGACTGGAGAGGCAGCTTCCTAAAACAATTGGAGAGGGTAAGGGAATGGCCATAGTTTCTGTCGACTCCCCTGGCAGTTTCTCAAGTTTATTAAACCTAAGGAAAGGATGCTGGAAACAAACATGTAGGTCTGGAGCTGCCTAGAGGGCTGTGTCCAGGTATGGGGAGCTGGCCCCACTTCCCAAGTTGTTTATCTTAATTTCCTTGAGAACAAGAAATGCATGTTAGGATGGGTTATTTTTCTTTTAGATTTAAACAAGGCACCTCATGATTTGCTGGATTTTTTTTAAAGTTCTATAAGACTGGGAAGGGGGAAAGGGGAATTCCTCCACTATTATGGCAAAGTCTATGCTTTACAGTAAAGCAAAAACCCCTGAATGTTAACAGAGTTTATCTGTAGGCAGGAGAGTTTATCTGTACAGGAGATTCGCTTTTCCCCTACTTTTCTGTATCTCAGAATATTTGCTCTTCAGAGAAATCTATAAGATACAGAAAAGGAGGAGAATAATACTTGCTCTTTAAGGAAATTATAGATGAGAGCCACCATTCCTGGCCACTGTAGCTTTTCTTTCTTAATTAATTTTTGAGTTGTACATATCACATTATATTGTAGTGTATTCTGTCCATCTATCTTGTTCAGATTATGGAGATCTTCAGGGTAAGTACTATCTTGAATATTTGATCCAAACATGCATGGATGAATAAGAGAATAAATGCATGGGTAGGTAAATGAATGAATGAATAAAAAGATTCAGGTATATAAAAAACTGTTTTTTAGGCCATATTCAGATAGAGAGGAGTGAGCAGTAAGTCAAAATTAATTTGTCAAGGCTTTTTTTTTCTTTGATGATACACACAAACCACTTTTTGGAGTTATCAGTCTGAAGCTGAGAGACCTCAGAACTCAGCAATATGCATTTCATCCTCAAGCTCATTCATCTCTCAGCAATTTTAGGTCGCCATCTTTTCTCTTTTCTTTTCTCTTCTCTTTTCTTTTGACCAAGTCTTGCTCTGTCGCCTAGGCTGGAGTGCCATAGTGTGAACTCAGCTCACTGCAACCTCTGCCTCTGGGGTTCAAGCGATTCTCCTACTTTAGCCTCCCGAGTAGCTGGAACTACAGGTGCGTACGTACCACCATGCCTGAGTAACTTTTAAAAGTTTTTAGTAGAGATGGAGTTTTGCCATGATGGCCAGGCTGGTCTCAAACTCCTGGCTTCAAGTGATCCATCCTCCGACCTCAGCCTTCCAAAGTGCTGGGATTACAGGCATGAGCCAACACACGCAGCCCATATTTTTTTTCTTTCAGAACTTAAAAGATGTCATCCTAAAAGAGTCTTCTGGCTTTCATGGGAAAGTTTAGCAATCAGTGTTCTTGCTGTTCTCCTGTAAGTATGGGTCTTCTTTCTCGGCTTTGTGTAAGATTTACTGTTTATCTTTGGTTTTCAGCAACTTGGCTATTATATGCCTACACTTGGTTTCTACTTTATCCTGCTTTTCAGCCGTCTTGAATCTTTGAACGATCTTTCCTGTTTTGGCAAATTGCCAGTCACTATAGTTTCAGAAATTGCTTTCCCTATTCTTTTCTCTGTTTCTGGAACTCCTATAAGATATATATTAGGGGGCCAGGCACGATGGCTCACACCTATAATCCCAGCATTTTGGGAGGCTGAGGTGGGCGGATCACAAGGTCAGGAGTTTGAGACCAGCCTGGCCAACATGGTGAAACCCTGTCTCTACTAACAATACAAAAATTAGCCGGGCATGATGGTGTGCACCTGTAGTCCCAGCTGCTCGGGAGGCTGAGGCAGGAGAATTCCTTGAACCCAGGAGGCGGAGGTTGCAGTGAGCTGAGATCGTGCCACTGCACTCCAGCCTGGGTGACAGAGTGAGACTTTGTCTCAAAAAAAAAAAAAAAAGATATATATTAGGCCATTTGACTTTGTCCTACATGTCTTGAATGCTCTCTTCTGTTTTGTTTTTTTTTTCATTTTTTTCTCTATGTGCTTCATTTAGAATATTTTCTGTTTACTGTCTCAGTTATCTAATCCTATGTTTTGCTGTGTTCAGTCTGTTAAATTCATCTGATAAGTTTTTATTTTCTAATACTTCATATTTCAGTTCTAGAATGCCCATTTGATTCTTTTTCTATAGGTTACAATTCTCTTTTGAAATTATCTATCTTCATTTTGCCCATCTTTTACTCTACTTTAACATCCTTATAATCATTATTTTGAAGTCCTTGACTGCTAATTCTAACACCTGGATCATCTGTGGGACTGCTTATATTATATAATTTTTTCTTAATTATCAGATACTTTTCCTGCCTCTTCATGTGCCTTGTGATTGTTTCTAACTATATGCTGGATGTTGTTTAAAAACATAAACTGAAGTCAATGTTACTGCCCCCAAGATAAGATATACTCTTTTTTTCTATTTGCCTAATAAGGCAAATAAGGTGAGGCAGTTATCATCTCAATTCAATCAGGAATTGAGCTATGCTCTGGCATTGGTTAGACTCAGCCCACCTCTGATTTTAAATGTTTCAAGGGGAAGACTCTTTGTGTGCTTATGTCCTGTTTCCATAGTGGTACCTTGTCTCCTAAGCATTTTCGGACTGTAGGAAACTTCATTTTGCCTTTGCAGGCCAATCTCTAGTCTCCTGAGTGGCCCTGGCACTCAGCAGATGTCTTGAGTAGAACAGCAGTCAGTTGGTTGTGACAGCCCATGTGCTATCAGAAGCTTCACTGTGCCTAAGGAAAGCCTGATCTTTAGCACTTACCCAAACTCAGCAAATAACCCTGATATGGTTTGGCTCTGTGTCCCCACCCAAATCTTATCTTGTAGCTCCCATAATTCCCACATGTTGTGGGAGGGACCTGGTGGAAGATGATTGAATTGGGGGGGTGGGTCTTTCCTGTACTATTCTTGTGATAGTGAATGGGTCTCATGAGATCTGATGGTTTTAGAAAATGGGAGTTGCCCTGCACAAACTCTCTCTTTACCTGCTGCCATCCATGTAAGATGTGGTTTGCTCCTCCTTGCCCTTTGTCATAATCTTGAGGCTTCTCTAGCTATGTGGAACTGTGAGTTCTCCATTAAACCTCTTTCCTTTGTAAATGGTCCAGTCTCAGGTATGTCTTTTGCAGTGTAAAAACAGACTAATACAAACCCCTAAGAAAGAAAATGGCCAATAATCTCAACTTCCCTGGGAAGGAATCTTTTCTCTCTTAACTTTTAGTTCTTTTAATCTTCTTTGCTTCTACAGCTCTCCAATATCTTTCAAAATATGATTTTTATAATTCATTCATTTTTTTTCACTTTTTTTTTTTTTTTAAAGAGACAGGGTCTCACCATGTTGCCCAGGCTGGTCTCGAGTTCCTGAGCTCAAGTGATCCTCCTGCCTAAACCTACCAAAGTTTTGGGATTACATGCATGAGCCATGATGCCCAGCTCATGTTTTTCCTCTTGATGTAAAGTGATAAACTGTAACATCCTACTACATTTTACTCAAAAGTAGAAGTTTTCTTATGTTCTTTTCCAGTTAATTAGTTCACATAGGATTCAAACAAGGTCCATGCATTGCACGTAGTTGATATAACACTTAAGTCTCCTGGTTTATAGGTTCCTCCTCCCTCTGTTTTTGTTGTTGTTATGTTTGTTTTTCATCTTTTTTTTTTTTTTAAATATGTGGTCTTTCTATGTTGCCCAGGCTGGTCTCTAACTCCTGGGCTCAAGCGATCCTCCTGTGTCAGCCTCCCAAGTTGCTGGGACTATAGGCACATACCACCATGCCCAGCTGTTTTTCATCTTAGTTGTTAAAGAAACTGGTTCATTTGTTCCGTTGAATTTTCTGGATTCTACTAATTAGATTCTCCTAGTGTTATTTAACATGTTCCTCTGCTCCTTGTATTTACTACAATCTACCAGATCTAGAGGACTGATAATATTCGGGTTCAATTTTTTGGCATAATTACGTTATAGGTGGTACTATGTCGAGTCGGCCCTCCATATTCATGAGTTCCACATCTGCAGATTCAACCAAGCAGGTATAAAAAATATTTGGGGGTGGGTTGTGGTGGCTCACACCTGTAATCCCAACACTTTGGGAGGCTGACGTGGGAAGATCACTTGAGGCCAGGAGTTCAAGACTGGCCTGGGCAACATAGCAAGACCCTGTCTTTACAAAAATAAAAGAACAGGCCCAGCTGCAAAACTAAAAAATTATTTAAAAAATAGGCCCAGCTAAACCCAACCTAAATTGCAGAATTATTAGCAAATGCATGATTATTGTTTTAAGCTACTAAATTTTGGGGTGGTTTGTTACGCAGCAATAGATTACTAAAACACATAGTATCTAGGATATGGTGAGCATTCCAATAAATGTTTAATTAAATTGTAAGAGATTAGATGGGTAATTTGACTAGTCAGCCCTCGTGGTCCTTCCAACCACTGAAATTCTATGGCCCTAATAATACCTTGGATTATGCCATTATTCTCTACCTCTGCTAATGAGTCACATCTGGATGCAATATAGTTGAGTCCTTGGACTTTGTGACACTTAACACATATAGAGACAGCTACCTGGGGTCACTTTATTTTTTGACAGTCTCTTTCAAACCTACTTTTTTGCAGTACTGTGGAATCCACTTAGATATTCACATATGAAAATCATACCTCAACCGCCATTTACTGTAGAACACAAGCTGTTTTGAGGGAAAGTAATGGAAGTATTTGTGCTTCCAAGACATTTATACTTTCCAACTTATTCTTTACCCATTTTGCAGCCTTTAGAATTTTTCTCCAGTTTCTTATTAGAGAGAGAAAGCCATGATGACCATGCTGCAAAAAGTGAGCTAACTAATCCAAACTATACCATTTGGTAAAGTTTGAAATGGCTTAGAATTTCGAGTGATCTGCATGTTGGAAGACTTAGCCTTTGAATTGTTAATCACTTTACCCTTTCTTTAGTGCTGTACTATTTACGATGAGTTAATCAATTTTCCTTATTTGATTACTTTGGGAGGGGCTCAATGCTATGGGTTTATACCAGAATATTTTTAAAAGACGGAGTATAGTCCAAGCATCTGGTTGGTCTTTCTGAGGTCATGCATGAAAGCCAATATTTTACCATTAATATGGTTTGGCTCTGTGTCTCCATCCAAATCTCATCTTGAATTGTAATCCGAATTGCAGTCGCCACATGGGAGGGACTTGGTGGGAGGTGATTGGATCATGGGGGCAGTTTCCCCCATGCTGTTCTCGTGATAGTGAGTTCTCACGAGAGCTGGTGGTTTTAAAAGTGTTTGGCAGCTCCCCTTTTGCTCTCTCCTGCCACCTTGTGAAGAAGGTGCCTGCTTCCCCTTTGCCTTCCACCATGATTGTAAGTATCCTGAGGCCTCCCCAGTCATGTGGAACTGTGAGTCAATTAAACCTCCTGATATGGTTTAGCTGTGTCCCCACCAAATCTCAACTTTAATTGTATCTCCCAGAATTCCCTCGTGTTGTGGGAGGGTCCCAGGGGGAGGTAATTGAATCATGGGGGCCAGTCTTTCCTGTGCTATTCTCGTGATAGTGAATAAGTCTCACAGGATCTGATGGTTTTATCAGGGATTTCTGTTTTTGCTTCCTCTTCATTTTGTCTTGCCACCGCCATGTAAGAAGTGCCTTTTACCTCCTTCCATGATTCTGAAGCCTCCCAAGCCATGTGGAACTGTAAATTCAGTTAAACCTCTTTTTCTTCTCAGTCTCAGATATGTCTTTACCAGCAGCATGAAAACGGACTAATACAGTAAATTGGTACCAGTAGAGTGGGTTGCTGCTGAAAAGATACCTGAATATGCAGAAGCAACTTTGGAACTGGGTAACAGGCAGAGGTTAGAACAGTTTGGAGGGCTCAGAAGAAGACAAGAAAATGTGGGAAAATTTGGAACTCCCTAGAGACTTGTTGAATGGCTTTGCCCAAAATGCTGATAGTGATATGAACAATAAGGTCCAGGCTGAGGTGGTCTCAGATGGAGATGAGGAACTTGTTGGGAATTGGAACAAAGGTGACTCTTGTTATGTTTTAACAAAGAGACTGGTGGCATTTTGCCCCCGCCCTGGAGATTTGTGGAACTTTGAACTTGACAGAGATGATTTAGGGTATCCGGCAGAAGAAATTTCTAAGCAGCAAAGCATTCAAGAGGTGACTTGAGTACTGTTAAAGGCATTCAGTTTTATAAAAGAAGCAGAGCATAAAAGTTCAGAAAATTTGCAGCCTGACAATGTGATAGAAAAGAAAAACCAATTTTCTGGAGAGAAATTCAAGCTGGCAGCAGAAGTAGCAAGGAGCCTAATGTTAATCCCCAAGACCATGGGGAAAATGTCTCCAGGCCACGTCAGAGACCTTCACAGCAGCCCCTCCAATCACAGGCCTGGAGGCCCAGGAAGAAAATGTGGTTTCATGGGTCGGGCCCAGGTCCCTGTGCTGTGCGCAGCCTAGGGACTTGGTGCTCTGTGTCCCAGCTGCCCTGGTCATGGCCGAAAGGGGCCAACATAGAGCTCGGGCTGTGGCTTCAGAGGGTGGAAGCCCCAAACCTTGGCAGCTTCCACATGGTGTTGAGCCTGTGGGTGCACAGAAGTCAAGAATGGAGGTTTGGGAACCTCTGCCTAGGTTTCAGAAGATGTGTGGAAATGCCTGGATGCCTAGGCAAAAGATTGCTGTAGGGGCGGGGCCCTCATGGAAAATCTCTGCTAGGGCAGTGCAGAAGGGAAATGTGGGGTTGGAGCCCCCACACAGAGTCCCTACTGGGGCACTGTCTAGTGGAGCTGTGAGAAGAGGGCCACCATCCCCCAGACCCCAGAATGGTAGATCCACTGACAGCTTGCACCGTGCACCTGGAAAAGCTACAGACACTCAACACTAGCCCATGAATGCAGCCAGGAGGGAGGCTGTACCCTGCAAAGCCACAGGGGTGGGGCTGCCCAAGACCATGGGAACCCACCTCTTACATAACCTGGATGTGAGACCTTGAGTCAAAGGAGATCATTTTGGAGCTTTGAAATTTGACTGCCCCACCGGATTTTGGGCTTGCATGGGCCCTGTACACCCTTTGTTTTGGCCAATTTCTCCCATTTGGAATGGCTGTATTTACCCAATACCTGTACTCCCATTGTATCTAGGAAGTAACTAGCTTGCTTTCGATTTTATAGGCTCATAGGCGGAAGGGACTTGCCTTGTCTCAGATGAGACTTTGGACTGTGGACTTTTGTGTTAATGCTGAAATGCGTTAAGACTTTGGGGGACTGTTGGTAAGCCATGATTTGTTTTGAAACTTGAGGACATGAGATTTAGAGGGGTCGGGGTGGAATGATTTGTTTGGGAGCTGTGTCCCGACCAAATCTCAACTTTAATTATATCTCCCAGAATTCCCACGTGTTGTGGGAGGGACCCAGGGGAGGTAATTGAATCATGGGGGCTGATCTTTCCCATGCTATTCTCATGATAGTGAATAGTCTCACGAGATCTGACGGTTTTATCAGGGGTTTCTGCTTTTGCTTCTTCCTCATTTTCTCTTGCCGCCACCATGTAAGAAGTGCCTTTCACCTCCCACCATGATTCTGAGGCCTCCCAAGCCATGTGGAACTGTAAGTTCAATTAAACCTCTTTTTCTTCCCAGTCTCAGATATGTCTTTATCAGCAGCATGAAAATGATCTAATACACCTCCTTTCTTTATAAATTACCTGGTTTCAGGTAGTATCTTTATAGCAGAGTGAAAACAGACTAATACAGCCTTGTTGCAGTTGTGGCAGAAAGGACCCAAGTCTAGACTCTATGACTTAATGGTGCAAGTGTCAGAAGCCATTGATTCTGTGTTTACAGACTTTACTCTAATGGATACATGGGACTAGAAGGGAACTGGAGTGAGAAGGCAGCAGCCCGCAGAAACTGGGCTCTCTGTGCACTTCTTAGTCTCCTGTTATAAATGTGAAATGTTTCCTTGGCTTTGGCAGATTTCTGTGCCTGTCCCTGCCATCCTGACAACTTATTCCTGGTTTGACATTTCTAGTTGAGCCCTTGGTATCATAGCCTCCATCTAGTTGTGCCCCAGGATATTCAGCTTCTGTTCTCATCCATGGCCACCGCTCTTGGTTTCCCATTTGGTCCTGCTCTTCTAGTAGTCATTGGAACTTGCTTTAAGCCTATCTCCTACTCATCCTTCAGGATCTCAAGTCATATGTCATTGCCTTGGGAAGAACTTCCTTGAGACTCAAGACTAGGTCAGGTCTCTTGATACATGCCCCAAGAGTTTCTTGTGTTTCACCTTCACAATTTGTAATTTATTGCTTTTCACAATTTGTAATTATTTTTGTCATCTGTTCTATACTCATCCTATATCTTCAGCACCTGGGACAGTGCTTAGCACAGAGTAGGTGTTCAATAAATGTGTTCAGTAAACATGAAACAATGAAGCTTGTGACTTTGGCCCCTACCTCTTTTTGTATTTACAAGGTCATATTGCACATTATATCTCAGTTTATGCATGTATAAATTAGGATAATATTATTTTACCTACCTCACAGTTCAAGGTGCTATGCATGTAGCAGATGCATGTAACAAAATGCTTGTAGAATGAGTGAATGCATGTGCTATCTCTATGATAAAAGAAATCTATATTTTAACTAAGATTTATTTCACTTAACAAGAGAAATGGAGTACCCAAACAGGAGGAGTCATGTTTTTTGAGCTGGAAATAAAATTCAGGATTTCATATACCTTTGCCCAGGGGTCTATATTTTTCTTCTGGTCATACTTTAATACTAGACATATTTTAAATGGGGAAGGGGGAAATTTTTTGAATGGATTTGGACAAAACTAGTAATGATTGACTTTTCCAACTTCTAGGCTGGTTGTGGCTGTCACAGATTTTAACTCCTCGGTGCACCAAGAGTACAGATTCCAAATTGCCTATATCTTAAAAACTTGTAAGAAAGAAGCAATGGTGAATGTGAATCTGAACACCAGGGAGAGTTCCAGAAAGGGAATTCCCATCAGTTGGTACTACTAATTGGCCTTATGAAACGAGTGGCAGGATAAGATCTTGACCTCTGAGAATGACAGCAAAAGTGCTCTCAGCTTAGCAGGACCTGGTACTACAAGTCTCACAGGCTGGCTTACCTTTGGCCTGGATTAACCTGCCTGTTTTCCCCATTTCCCCTATCAGTACAGGGAAAATACCTTGCATATAAAATACAAATGCTACTTAATTTTTCTTTTTCTTGTTCATCTCTTCTCCATGATGTCCACTCCCTTCCAGGATCCCTCCTATTTGACATTTCCTTCAGGATACAGAATACAGAGAAGGGAGAAGGTGCAGGAAGGATCCAAATGTTACTAGAGTTATACATTTTATTTGAGCTTCATCTCTTTGGAGAAAGGGGAACAGGGATGAGAGGATTAAGTTAGAGATGGTCTGGCACAAAGCCCAGAGATGTGGGGTGTGTGAAGAAGGAAATTCATGACTAGAATATATGCTGAAGGTGAAATGAGGGGAGCCTGGATAGGGAATTCAGAGATAATTGTTGGCATTTAGTAATGTGATTTGGGAGTATGATCCCAGCGCAGAGCAAGGAAGAAGGCTGGCAGGTAGTAGGAGTCACAGTCAGGAAGGAAGTACTGCTAGTTCGTATCCAGTCTAGGTCTCTGGACAATTGACCCCTTTTTGGGTAGGAGGATTTGCCAGCATTATCTGACCCCTTATTTCTAGTTCATCTCCTAGACATCTTCATTGCTGTTGCCCTCTGGTGAGTATGAATCCATAGGATGGCGTCTCCTCTCCACTGACCATGTCCGAGTCTGAGTCTGAGACTGGGTGGAAGCCATAGACGGATGATACATAGGCCAGTAACGCTGCTGAGGAAAAGTGTGAGCTCTTGGCCTAGATTTGGGGTTGGGCTCCATCTCAGGCTCAGTCTCAGGCTGGGGCTCCATCTCGGTCTGGGTCTTGGTCTCGGTCTCAGCCTTGGGCTCCATTTCAGGCTCCAGCTCCCGATCCAGGTCTAGGTCCAGACCCAGCCCAGCCTCTTGTTCTGATTCCAGCTCCAAATCCAACTCCGACTCCTCTTCTACAGGCTGTTGGATCTTGATGAAGCCTGGACTTACATTTTTTTGGCTTCCTAGAAAACTGCTGCTCATTTTATATCTTGAATTGTCATTCTGAAATACAATTAGGTGGGTTAAAATTTCTAATTAAATTTAACCTTCTGCTGAACGCAGTGGCTCATACCTGTAATCCCAGCACTTTGAGAGGCTGGGGCAGGAGAATCGCTTTAGACCAGGAGTTCAAGGCCAGCCTGGGCAACATAGTAAAACTTCTATCTTAACAAATAATAATAATAATTATAATTATTATATAATAATAATAATTATTATTATTTTAAAAACTAGTTGGGCATGATGGCACATGCCTGTAGTCCTAGCTACTCAGGAGGCTGAGGCAGGAGGATTGCTTGAGGCTGAGACTGCAGTGAGCTGTGTTTACACCGCTGCACTCCAGCCTGAGCAACACAGTGAGACTGTCTCAAAAAACAAACAAACAAAAAAACCCAGAATTTTAATTTTTGAGCAGTCAAGGAATTTCAGAATACAACAGGACTTAAGGTACCAGAACCATGGGTTCCTTGCAGAGTAGAAAATATTTCTTGCCTAAATCTACTTTTCTGTTTATTATTATTATTAATTTTGACACAGAGTCTTGCTCTGTTGCCCAGGCTGGAGTGCAGTGGCATGATCTTGGCTCACTGCAACCTCTACTTCCCGAATTCAAGTGATTCTCTTGCCTCAGCCTCCCAAGTAGTTGGGACTACAGATATGCACCACCACGACTGGCTAATTTTTATATTTTTAGTAGAGACAGGGTTTCACCATGTTGGCCAGGCTGGTCTCAAACTCCTGAGCTCAAGTGATCCACCTGCCTCAGCCTCCCAAAGTGCTGGGATTACAGGCATGAGCCACTGTGCCCAACCTTTATTTATTTTTCATTAAAATTTTTTTTAATTTTCTTTAAAATGCCAATGACATCATCCATAAATCTGCTTTTCATCTTCTTTCTACCTTCTGGTTTCTCAGTTACTCACTATTCTTCAGACTCAATCAATTTCCAACTTAGAATTTCTCTGGCTTTTCTAGCTAGACCGGATTTCATGACCAACCATTTAAAACAGCAATGGACTTAACAACATTCTGAAACATCTTGTCTTCTTGATCTTACTTGTCTTGCCAACCCCCAGTGCAATCCTTGACAGGGCCTATAAGGCTGTGTGTGACCTGGCCTCTTGCCATTCTTCTTTAGCTTTATTCCAGCTGTGGTCCCCGCCCTTTGCTCTCACCATAAAGTTACCCAGAGTTGCCTGACTACTGCTCAGCTTTGTGCGTGCCATTCCCTTTGCCTACCTTGTCCTCCTCCATCTTGTCCACATCCACTTAGTCATCACCCCAGATTCAGAGCCAAGATGACCAGGCAGGACCACAGCTTCTTTTGTGTTCCAACTACATCTCATTCACACTTCCATCATAGTACCAGTAACATATTCTTTATTTATTTACAAACCTACTCCTTACTAGACTCTAAGCTCCTTGTGGTATATGACAGGGCCTGGTTCTTGATATCCCCAGTACCAGACACTGAGCTTGTCACATAGCAGGTGCCCACAGGCCTTGCATCAGCCTTGAATCAGCCTGTAACAGCATTCCTCAAAATTAATCACTTCAACTTTCCTGAAACATTTTCTTCTCGACCACCATATGACACTCTTCTGCTTTTCCTCCTTCCTTCCTGGTTGCTGCTCCTTGGTCTTTTTGCTATCTCCTCTCCTTCTACTGGACTTCTAGATGTTGGTATGCCCCAGGGCTTGATCCTGGGACCTTTCTCTTGTCTATCTATGCTCTCTCCATAGGGACTTTTATTTTGGGCCCATAATTTTCATTACCATCTATATGCTGATGCTGATGATTCTTTGGTTATAACCCTTCCCCTGATCTGCAGGTTCATAAATTCACTTCCATTCTTGACATCTCCATTTGAATGTTTAATAGGCCACTTGAATTTTTTTGTTTTGTTTTGTTTTGTTTTAGACAGAGTATCACTCTGTTGCCCAGGCTGGAGTACAGTGGCATGATCTTGGCTCACTGCAACTTCCGCCTCCCAGGTTCAAGTGATTCTCCTGCCTCAGGCTCCCAAGTAGCTGGAATGACAGGCATGCGCCACCACACCCGACTAATTTTCGTATTTTTAGTTGAGAATAGGATTCACCATGTTGGCCAGGCTAGTCTCGAACTCCTGGCCTCAAGTGATCCACCTGCCTCACCTCCCAAAGTGCTAGGATTACAGGCGTGAGGCCACACCTGGCCCAGGCATTTTGAATTCAATACACATGAAATAGAACTTGCTCCTCTCCTAGTCTTCCCTGTCTTAAATAGTAGAAAACAATTGACATATTCAATACCAAGTCTTAATATAAGAATGTTAGTACGTTAGGAAAATATTTTTTAAAAACATAGTAGATAATGTCCATCTTTTTTTTTGACCGGGTCTTACTCTGTCATCCAGGCCAGAGTGCAGTGGCACAATCAAAGCTCACTGTGACCTCAAACTACTGGGCTCAAGCAATCCTCCTGCCTCAAGCTCCCGAGTAGCTAGGATTACAGGTATGCACCATCATACCTGGCTGATTTTTAGTTTTTTTTTTCAAGATAAGAGTCTCACTATGTTGTCCAGGTTGCTCTGAAATTCCTGGCCTCAAGTGATTCTTCTGCCTCAGTCTCCCAAAGTGCTGACATTACAGGCATGAGTTACTACGGCTGGCTGATATGTCCATCTTAAACCAGCATCACCACTAGTCTTTTATTTTTTAATTTTTTTTTGAAACAGGGTCTCGCTCTGTTGCCCAGGCTGGAGTGCAGTGGCAGGATCTCAGCCCACTGCAACCTCCGCTTCCTGGGTTAAAGTGATTCTCATGCCTTGGCCTCCTGAGTAGCTGGGGTTATAGGCACGCGCCAGCATGCCCAGCTAATTTTTTTGTATTTTTTGTAGAGACAGGGTTTTGTCATGTTGGCCAGGCTGGTCTCAAACTCCTGGCCTCAAGTGATCCGCCTTCCTTGGCCTCCCGAAGTGCTAGGATTGCAGGCATGAGCCACCACACTTGGCCACCACTAGTCTTAATAGAGACACACAGGATCCTTCTCATTAAATTCAGGAGTAAGACAAGATTCATCATTATTACTTGTTCTGAGAGGTTTAGTTAATGCAATAATATATGATATTGAAATAAGAATTCTAACAATTGGAACATAAGAGATTAGTATTATTTTTAGAAAATATTTTCCTATTTGGAAAACCCAAAGGAATTAACAGTGAAACCTCTTAGGAATAGTAAAGTGATTCACAAAGGTAGCCAAATAATTTAATAAAAACCAATGAGTTTCCTATATGTTAGCAATTGCCAGTTAGAAAATATAATGGAAATGGCCAGGTGTGGTGGCTCATGCCTGTAATCCCAGCACTTTGGGAGGTGGAGGTGGGTGGATTGCTGGAGCCCAGGAGTTTAAGACTAGCCTGGGCAACATGGCAAAACCCCGTCTCTGTGAAAGATACAAATATTAGCTGGGCATAGTGGTGTGCGTCTGTACTCCCAAATACTCAGGAGGCTGAGGTTGGAGGATTGCTTGAGCCTGAGAGGCCGAGGCTGTGGTGCACTGTGATCATGCCACTGCACTTCAGCCTGGGTGACAGAGTGAGACCCTGTCTCAAAAAAACAAAAAAGTAAAACATATAAAGTATCTAAGATTTTCCCATGTGAAGAAAGTCACAAAACCTTACTATGAATGAAACATTTAAGAAGACAATAAATGTAGAGACAGTTCATGTTTCTGGATAAGAAGAATGAATACTATAAAGATATAAATTCTCAAGGGATTTTATATTTTTAATACAACTCTAATGATTATTTCAATAAGATTTGTTTTTGTGGGGTGGGGACCTGACAAAAGATTCAAAAGTTGGTTTGGAAGAATAAATTGGTGAGAATGACTTAGCAAATTTTGAAATAGAACACTGATGACATAGGACTTCTTAACCAAATGTTAAAGTGTATTATACAGCAATACTAATAAAAACAGTGTGATGGCTAGGCACGATGGCTCACATCTGTAATCCCAGCATTTTGGGAGGCTAAGGTGGGCAGATCACCTGAGGTCAGGAGTTCGAGACCAGCCTGGGCAACATGGTGAAACCTCGTCTCAAATAAAAATACAAAAATAAGCCAGGTGTGGTGGCGCATGCCTGTAAGCCCAGCTACTCAGGACGCTGAGGCAGGACAATCACGTGAACCTGGGAGGCGGAGGTTGCAGTGAGCCGAGATTGTGCCACTGCACTCCAGACTGGGCGACAAAGTGAGACTCTGTCTCAAAAAACAAAAACAAAAACAAAAAACACTGTGATACTGAAGCTATACAGAAAAATGACATCCACAACTAAACTAGAAATACACTTTAGTTTTCATAAGAATATAATATTTTATGAAAATAACATATCAGTAGGGGAAAGAAGGCTTATTCAATAGATGGTTGGATGGTGGTATGATTTGCATGAGTGGCTTCCAAAATCCATCCACATTGTGGTGGTATTAAGAGGTGAGGCCTTTGGGGAGTGATTAAGTCATAAGGGCTCTGCCCTTGTGAATGGATTAGTGCCTTATAAAAGGGCTGGAGGGCTAGCATAAACCCTTTTGTCCTTCCACCTTCTGCCATGTGGGGATGCTGCTGAGAGAAGATGGAAGAAGCCCTCAGCAGACACTGAAACTGCCAGGACCTTGATCTTGGACTTCTCGCATTCAGAACTGTGAGAAATAAATATCTATTATTTACAAATTACCCAGTCTCAGATATTTTGTTATAGTAGCACTAATGAACTAAGATAGATGGCATATAGCCCAAAATAGTTAGCTACATAGATAAAAAATAAAGATTAAGCCTGAGTGCAGTGGCTCATGCCTGTAATCCCAGCACTTTGGGAGGCTGGGGCGGGTAGATCATGAGGTCAGGAGTTCAAGACCAGCCTGGCCTACATAGTGAAACCCTGTCTCTACTAAAAATATAAAAATTATCCAGGTGTGGTGGCGGGCGCCTGTAGTCCCAGCTACCTGGAAGGCTGAGGCAGGAGAATCGCTTGAACCCAGGAGGCAGAGGTTGCAGTGAGCCGAGACCATGCCATTGCACTCCAGCCTGGGTGACAGAATGAGACTGTCTCAAAAATAAAAAAAAAATAAAGATTACCCTTCAATACCTGTATACTGAAATACATTCTATTTACATTAAAGAGTATAACATATAAAAAATAAAAACATAAAAATCTAGAAAATGTGTCTTATTTACCTTCTAAGAGGGAATGACTTTCTAAATAAAAAGTAAATATAATAAGAAAAGGAAACATTAATAGATATGACTAAATATGTAAAAACAAATATATCGAGTATCATAATTATAAATTAAAAAATAGAGAAACTTCCATTTATAGTAAAAGCAGACTGCATAATTCAAACCAATTAGTTAGTCATTACTAATTATTAACTACTAGTTAACTAGTTGTTTTTTTATTAACTACCAGTTAACTAGTTGTGTGTGTGTGTGTTTTTTTGTTTTTTTTTTTAGAGTCTCACTCCGTCGCCCAGTCTGGAGTGCAGTGGCGCGATCTCGGCTCACTGCAACCTCTGCCTCCTGGGTTCAAGCGATTCTCCTGCCTCAGCCTCCCAAGTAGCTGGGACTACAGGCGCGTGCCACCACGCCCGGCTAATTTTTTTGTATTTTTAGTAGAGATGGGGTTTCACCAGGATGGTCTCGATCTCCTGACCTAGTGATTCGCCTGCCTTGGCCTCCCAAAGTGCTGGGATTACAGGCGTGAGCCATCTCGCCCGCCCGTTGTACGGTCTTAACTGTTTCAGATGTGGTGTCTCATTTCATCAACTAGGCTTTGTTTAATAATGATTTCTAGTCATTAGATAATATTAGATAATATTTTAGTGCCCATCTGTTTTAATTTCCTTTTTTTGTTTTTGGAAACCTTTAACCTACACAGGTACTGATTTGAAAATGCTAAAGTAGGCCCAGGTCTCAGTATTTTTTTTTTTTTAGACAGAGTCTCACTCTGTCGCCCAGGCTGGAGTGCAGTGGCGTGATCTCAGCTCACTGCAACCTCTGCCTCCCGGGTTCAAGCAATTCTGCCTCAGCCTCCCAAGCAACTGGGACTACAGGTGCCCGCCACCATGCCTGGCTAATTTTTGTAGTTCTAGTAGAGAAGGAGTTTCACCATGTTGGCTAGGATGGTCTCGAACTCCTGATCTCATGATCTACCTGCCTCGGCCTCCCAAGGTGCTAGGATTACAGGCGTGAGCCATCGCACTCAGCCAGGTCTCAGTATTAATAAAAGGCTGAAAATTCAGACTTATATATTATTCTCCTTTGCATTTGGTCAGCTTGAGTAAATCTCATACCACAACAATGTAAAGGTAATAAAGCTGAGGTATTAGACAAGATTATAGATCTGAATCTCTGCTAGTTCATTAGTATTATTATTCATCCCAAGAGTGGGTGGGGTGGGGAGGAATTCTAAAGGTATAGCTAGGGGAGACATTTAGAATATTTAGCAACTGGTAATAGACACTAACCAAGAATGCTGTAGAAGGATCCTTGAGGTCTGTGCTGGGTTGGGCAAACCCTCTCTTCAGTTAGGGAAATTTCTTGAATGGAACCCTGATGCCATGACAGTGAGGGCACTTGGCTGCTCAGATCCACTGCTATTTACCAAGTGGTAAGGGTGCATTTCAACATCCCAGATTCTGGTACAGCCATACTAAATACCTTTCCTGGACATTATTCCTCTATCTGATCAGGAATCCTGACTCCCAGCCCCCAACCACCCCTCACCCATCCCCCCACTGCCCTCAATCCCTTCCCCCAACCTCATGCTTTGTCGGTTTGTCTGACCTTGTCTGTTTCTGAGTAGGTTTCCCGTATCACTGTCTCGGATTCATCGATGCTTAACTCAGAGGAGCCTATGACCTTCCTTGACAAGGCAAACAGCACGGCGTCGTGAACGCTGAGGAACAGCTGGGTCTTGGTGATGCCAGCGTCAAAGAAATCATTCCTCTCAAATGCCCTGACTATGGAAGCTAAAAACCAAACCCAGAACACACACAATGTCAGATACTTGGGGAGCAGAGGACCCAGGGTGCAAAACAGCCCTCTCATAGGGTGAAGGATACTCACAGTGACACCCTGCAATGAGTATCAAAATGTTGGCGTTTTGAAAGGCATTGCATATCTGTGGGGGGAGAGAAAACCAGTATCAGAAGGCTTTATACTTGCTAGGAAAGGCCTTCTAATTAGCTAAGTTTTTGTCTTGTTTTGTTTTGGTTTTTTGTGACAGAGTCTCACTCTGTCACCCAGATGGAGTGCAGTGGCATGATCTCGGCTCACTGCAACCTCCGCCTCCCAGGTTCAAGTGATTTGTCCACCTCAGCCTCCCAAGTAGCTGAGACTACAGGTGCATACCACACGCCTGGCTAATTTTTGTATTTTTAATAGAGACAGGGTTTCACCATATTGGCCAGGCTGGTCTCAAACTCCTGACTTCGTGATCTGCCTGCCTCGACGTCCCAAAATGCTGGGATTACAGGCGTGGGCCACTGCACCCAGCCAATTAGCCGAGTTTTAAAACCCCTTTGGCCCTTCACTTGTCTGGGGGTATATGTACCTTGCATCCCAATTCAGCTCTACAAACATTTGATGAGTGGAGTTCTCTATGCCGGAAAACATCTACAGTGCTGGGAATGCAAAAGAGAATCAGACCGTGTCATGTGAGGGTGGGGAGCAGGAGGGAGAGCTGCCCATAGTCTCAAGGGGATAAACAGTATATATCAAGACAGGACGTCTGCAGGAGGAAAGCCCTAGCATAGAGACAGGCACAGGTGTGAGGCAAACACTCTGGAGAATCATCTCAAACAACCATATTTTGGCATGATGGCCTAGTGTTTGCATGAGACCCCCACTTCCCCCTGGAGTTTACTGAGCAGAGGAAGCAAGATGTGGCTCAGAGACGCTCAAGTGATGCAGTAGGGAACGGAATTCAGAAACCCTGAGGGTCACATTCAGAGCTGCCTTGCAAAGTTGCATTTGATTTTAGTAAAACATCAGATGTTTACTATCAGATAAGTAAACATCAGCTACTGTCCTCAAGTTTGCTTCAGCCAATATATACACTGTGGGGCAATAAATCTTGAAGTTCACTTCAAAGCAAATCAATATCGACTTTAATACTTAAGACTAAGTAGACACCAACCCTGAGCACTAAGTTAAAGTGTCAAAAGAAACGAACTCTGCTTCTTTCACTACCAAGAGGAAATGAAGTCATTCTTGATCATATGGCAAATCACAAAGTCATTTGGCAAAGGGCCACAACAGACTCTAAATGACAAGTGCTGGAAAAGGAAAGTCCCATGAATTAGGAAGAAGTTTAATCTGAGTGGCTGTCTCCAATAAGAATGGACTGATGGGTAGGCTGAGCGCGGTGGCTCATGCCTGTAATCCCAGCACTTTGGGAGGCTGAGGCAAGCAGATCACGAGGTCAGAAGTTCGAGACAAGCCTGGCCAATATGGTGAAACCCCGTCTCTACTAAAAATACAAAAATTATGCGGGTGTGGTGGTGTGCGCCTGTAGTCCCAGCTACTCAGGAGACTGAGGCAGAAGAATCACTTGAACCCGGGAGGTGGAGATTGCAGTGAGCCGAGATCATGCCACTGCACTCCAGCCTGGGCGACACAGCAAGATGCTGTCTCAAAAAAAAAAAAAAAAAAAAAAAATGGACTGATGGATTTTTCTTAGGTTCCAGTTTTCAATTATAAAGTAAATAGAATGATTTCTTCCAATAAGGAGGCAGTATACACAACTACAAAGGAAATGAAGAAACCTGTATTTTTAGAGTGCAAAAGTACACCATGAATCTCTGAAGGCTGAAAGTGAAAGGCGTCTGACATTGTCTCCATGTTGGGGATGGAACAGAAAGTCATCAACATGGGCCAGGTGTGGGTGGGTGCTGCCAAGGACCAGAACATATGGTGCCTCTACAAAAAGAGGAGGAGCAAGGGAGACAATGGCACAACTATACCATGGAACAGAGAGAAAGTATGATATAAAGTCAGATACTTAAAAGTTTCAATGCTGGACAGGCCACTTATGAGCTGTGAGCCTCAGACTCTTAGGGGAAAGTATGGCCTGTCTCTCAAGGCAGTTGTGAAAATTACATGAGATAGTGTATATACATGTGCCCAGCTCAGTCTGGCACGTAGTAGACACTCAGCAACGTGGGCTGAATAAAATCTAAAGTAACAACTACAGCCCAGGACCAGGAGGGGAGAACATAGCCCAGTAGAATAAGATGGAAAAGCCCAAATAACAACAGATTTTCAAAGTATAATTGAGTCAGAAAGTGGTGTTGAAAAATAAAAGGATCTCATGGATGGGAAAGCTCTTAATCTCTTCCAAACCTCTCATTTTGTAGATTAGGAAACGGAGACCCAGTTCAATTTAGTAACTTGCCTCGGGTCAGAAGGACAGTGAGCCAAGACAGAGCATACATCCCAGACTGCAAACCAGAGTTCTTTCTGCTATGAAAAGCTTCCTTTTGCCCCAGACCAAAGAGAAGCTGGACTCACTTAAGAGGCAGTCGTATTCCCTTAGGAGTAAGAAAATATGACAAAATAGGTTCTGAGGATAAAAGAAGGAAAACCATCCAAAGGCACAAATCTCAAAAGAGGTGTGCAAATCTCAAAAGAAGCACTCAAACACCATGAGTGTTCAGGATGTTCAAACCTGAGCCATCACCAAGAGGGAGACAGAGTGCTGTAAACTGGGATAAGCTGGCTAAAAAGGAATATTATACTTATGAGGCATTAAACAATGACATCAATATGGTTAGCTGTGCACTTAAACTGTCTGTACCATATAGGAGGAAGACAAAAGAGAACTGTTAGAGAAACCCAAGAGTAGAAAAGAAGTCAGGACCCGGGGACACAGCTTTTGAAGGGAAAATCATCCTTGTCCTTTTCACCTGATGATGTGTCAGTGAGGAAGGAAGTGGGGAAGACCCTGCAGGTACTGGACAGCCAGCCCCAAGTTTGAGGTGTCATTTCATCCCAACGTCTTCAAACTGGAGTACAAGACAGCCCAGTGCCTTTTACAGTGCTGGCTCAGATCAGCTGAACTGTGGAGAATTCCTGGTGAGCTGCTTTTTTTCTGAAGCATTCAGACCTATTCCTTGAAGAGATTTGCAGCTGACTCCCAGGATGTTCTGGGAGTTACTGGGCGTGGCACAGATTGCTGTTTCAGTGAAGTTCAGAGTGTCCTGTTTTTCATTTCTTGAGAAATAATAATGTTTTATGCTTACCAAACCAACCGCAGCTCAATACATCAGAATTGGTTCATTTTAGGCTGGGCATGGTGGCTCACGCCTGTAATCCCAGAGCTTTGGTAGGCCGAGGTGCGCGGATCACTTGAGGTTAGCAGTTTGAGACCAACCTGGCCAACATGGTGAAACCCCGTCTCTACCAAAAATACAAAAATTAGCAGGGCGTAGTGACACATGCCTGTAGTTCCAGCTATTCAGGAGGCTGAGGCAGGAGAATCTCTTGAACCTGGGAGGTGGAGGTTGCAGTGAGCCAAGATTGTGCCACTGCACTCCAGCCTGGGCAACAGAGTGAGGCTCCATCTCAAAAAAGAAAAAAGAAAAAAGAATTGGTTCATTCTCTTTTTATTTTGATTGACCTTATATTGTACTGCCTTTGGTGTCCAAGGCTCTGGTGGCCTAGCAGTCTCATAGCAGCTGATCAGTGACTAACAGAATTCAATCAGGATCAGGGTGGGGTTGGGATGGTAGGAGGGGGATCAGAGCTCCTGCCAAGGCCTCCTCAGTACTTACCTGTCTTAATACGACTAACCCCCGTGAATCCACGTAGTGTACCATGGAGAAATCCAGGATGATGGTGTGGACACTGGGCAGTAGAGACGCATCTGAGTAAGGGATGAGTGATCTCCTCCCCTGGCTTTCCGCCACATCAGGCAGTCCTGGTGAGCTGTTTCTTGATGAGTTATTAGGAAGCCAAACTTCCTCCACCTCCTCATACTGTTGCCCTTGATTTTTCTGAGACACGGACGATACTGTGTATGGCACTTGGTCTTCGGATGCAGTTTGGCTTGTGTTCATGCTCTCAAAATGTGAGCAGTGAATCAGGTTAATGGAGGATGCTTCGGGATCCAGTTTATTTTCAAATCGCTCTGTGTAAAGAATCTGGGACGACAGAGTTAAGGGAGGGCTGTGGTAAGACACCAACAAGGGCCGGAAGGACTTGCAACGATGCTATTTCTTGTCTCTGCCAGCTCATGTCCCTCTCTCATGAAACTTCTCCCGAGAGTAGGTACTGTGCATTTTTTACTTGGATATCTGTCACTTCAAGCTCACAACTGAAGCCCCCACAGTCATCTTTCCTCATCTTCACCACCCACGACACCCCCCTCCCAACTTCTGATGTTCATCACTGTCCCAGTGAGCCAGACTTAAAACATCTTTTACTCCTTTTCCTCATGCTTGGGTCCTAGTTAGTCTCCAGTGCCTACTAATACTTTGTGTGAAGTATTTTTTTCCCATCAGTCCCTTGTCTCAGCACCCTCTTCCTTCATCAGTGCAACAGTCTCCTTTCAGACTTCCTTAAGACAAAAAGCACTTGAAGGCTGGGTGCAGTGGCTCATGCCTATAATTCTAGCACTTTGGAAGGTCAAAGCAGGTGGATCCCTTGAGCTCAGCAGTTTGAAACCAGCCTGGGCAACATGGCAAAAATCTGTCTCTACAAAAAATACAAAACAATAAAAAATAAATAAGAATAAAAATAGCTGGGCGTGTCAGTGAGCCTGTAGCCCCACCTACTGGGGAGGCTGAGGTGGGAGGATTGCTTGAGCCTGGGAGATGAAGGTTGCAGTGAGCCAAGATTGCACCAGTGCACACTCCAGCCTGGGTGACACAGTGAGACCCTGTCGTGCCCCCCTGCCCCCTCCCCAAAAAAAGCTGGCACACGCCTATTGTCCCAGGTACTCAGGAGGCTGAGGTGAGAGGATCGCTTGAAGCTGGGAGGTTGAGGCTGCAGTGAGCTGTGACCACACCACCACACTCCAGATTGAGCAACAGAGCAAGACCTTATGTCCAAAAAAAAAAAAAAAAAAAAAATTACATGAGCAAGGCTGTCTTTACCACTGCTGTCAACCTCCTAAAGGCCCAGACTGCCTGCTATAGCTTAAGGACAGTAACAAGGACCAGGAACACAATGATGTGCAGGATGCAAATGTGGACTCTGCATTTACAGGAACCAGACTCTACCTGGCAGTGTGCACACGTTCATTGAAGGGATAAGTAAGGCCAGGCATGGTGGCTCACACCTGTAATCCCAGAACTTTGGGAGGCTGAGGTGGGTGGATCATCTGAGGTCAGGAGTTCGAGACCAGCCTGACCAACATGGCGAAATTCCATCTCTACTAAAAATACAAAGTTAGCCAGGTGTGGTGGTGCATGCCTGTAATCCCAGCTACTTAGGAGGCTGAGGCAGGAGAATCGCTTGAACCCAGAAGGCAGAAGTTGCAGGGAGTTGAAATTGTGCCATTGCACTCCAGCCTGGGCAATAAGAGCAAAACTCCATCTCAAAAGAAAAAAAAAAAAACAAAAGCTGGGGGTGTGCCTCACGCCTGTAATCCTAGCACTGTGGGAGGCCGAGACAGGCAGATCACCTGAGGTTGGGAGTTCAAGACCAGCCTGACCAACATGGAGAAACCACGTCTCTACTAAAAATACAAAATTAGCCAGACAGGGTGGTAAATGCCTGTAATCTCAGCTACTCGGGAGGCTGAGGCAGGAAAATTGCTTGAACCCAGGAAGCAGAGTTTGTGGTGAGCCAAGGTCGCACCATCCCACTCCAGCCCCGGTAACAAGAGTGAAACTCCGTCTCAAAATAAAAAGGATAAGTAAGAATATATATGGATGAGAACTATAAAGCACAAGGAATAATGAGAAGAATTCCTTTGCTAGAGTGGTGTAATTCTGGGTGATGTTTCTATTTTTTTTTTTAATGTTATTCTAACAATGTTGCTTGTGAAATAAATTTTAAAAATTTAAAGCTAAAAACAATATGAGGTAGTATATATTGTATAGCAGAAAAGAAAAGAAAAGTGGTGTGGATAGATGATAATGCTGCAGTTTGCAGTTCAAAGGAGAGAGCTGTTCCCAAGGCTTGAGGTCACTGGGGCCAGGCATTTGGGGAACAGGCCAGGGTTGGCTCAGTGGCAGGGAGATGTGAGCTCCTCTAGGCAGAGGGAATTCTCTGAGAGCCACCTTTTTTTTTTTTTTTTTGAGATGGAGTTTTGCTCTTGTTGCCCAGGCTAGAGTGCAGTGGCACAGATTCTGGCTCACTGAACTTCCGCCTCCTGGGTTCAAGCGATTCTCCTGCCTCAGCCTCCCGAGTAGCTGGGATTACAGGCATGAGCCACTATGCTGGGCTAATTTTGTATTTTTAGTAGAGACAGGGTTTCACCATGTTGGCCAGGCTAGTTTCGAACTCCTGACCCCAGGTGATCCGCCTGCCTCGGCCTCCCAAAGTTTTGGGATTACGGGCGTAAGCCACTGCGCCTGGCCATCCGAGATCCTTCTTTTCTCTCCTCCATCTACTCTACGTTCTTATCTTTCTTACAATCCCCTCATGTGTTATCTGCCTGACCTTACTTCCCAGGCTAAGCCTCTATCCTAAGAGCCCCACGTTTATTTCTACCTTGGTGTCTTTGTCGAAGCCTGTCCATGGACTGGGAATCCTCTTTTTTCCTACCCAACTTCAATCTAAAATTCTCTCATAAATTTCCCAGCACAGGCTGATGCTACCACAAAGTTTTTCTGACTTTTGAGCTCATGCCAATCTCCCCTTACTTGATGTCTTAAGAGCTGTTAGAATCTAGCTGGGTGTGGTGGCTCACGCCTGTAATCCCAGCACTTTGGGAGGCTAAGGCAGGTGGATCACCTGAGGTCTTGAGTTCGAGACCAGCCTGACCAATATGGTGAAACCCCGATCTCTACTAAAAATACAAAATTAGCCAGGCATGGTGGCATGTACCTGTAATCCCAGCTACTTGGGGCTGTTAGAATCTAAACATACAATTTAAAAGACAGCTATATGCTATATTGCATGATTCACTATGCTATTTTGTCAATCTTAAGATATACCACTATTATGAAAGAAAAAAACAAGCCAGGTATGGTGCTCACCCCTGTAATCCCAGCACTTTGGGAGACTGAGGCAGGTGGATTGCCTGAGGTCAGGAGTTCGAGACTAGCCTGGCCAACATGGTGAAACCCCTTCTCAGTAGCTCAGTGGAACCTATGCTCCATTAGAATGTATGGGAACAAGAGTGGATGCTCAGGGTTTTGCAAGCACCTGCATGGCGGGTGGAGGCATTTGTGTGTGTGTGTTGCGGGGGAGGATGTAAATCTTTGTGTATAGAGAGAGCTGCCCCTCCAGAGTGAGTGCTGTAGACTAGGTGATTGCCGAAAGACCCAAAAGCTAGAAATGAGCAATCCTGCTCTGGGGGAAGGGACTACTTAGATCAAGTCCAGTTTGGAAATAATGAACACTTTGTAATTCTCATCAGTAAAAATAACCTCCAAATGCTGTAAAATTCCCATCTGAAATAGCGGCCTGTGCTCATCCTCCCCGCTCCTTTCCCCCATCTCCCATCATCATTTTCTTGGCCATAGGAAGACATCAGGAGACCCTGGCAGATCCTTGAGAAGCCCAGCAACCTTGACCTTGCCCTAGTTGGAATCAGAAAACAATCTTTAAGTCACTTATTTTCAGAAATCTAAAGCTTGGCCGCTAAGAGCCAGGGAAATAGGTGCAACTACAGAATTACAGTCTCAACAGGCAAACTGTTCTCTGGTCACTGTTCAACCAGTAGAAGTCAGAACACTTCCCACCTACTTTCTTGTGAAAACCTGAACCTCAAGGGGGAATCTTGTGCCTTTTTTTTTTCAGTCAAGCCTCCAAGGTGAGAGGAACCTTGTATCTTAATTTCTGAATTCTTCATGGTCCATCTAAAAGTCAAAATCCCTTAGAGGTTTTGATTTTTTTTTTAAGAAATGACTAGTGTACTTGTTTATAAAATATGGAGAAAAACATAGGAAAGAAAAGGCATTTCTAACCCTGGGCAGCGGCTCCAGATCATCACAGTTGCAGAAACACCTGCAAATCTTTCCTCCTTGTAGATTGGTGTCACTTGAATTAAACAAGCTGAAAATTTCTTCTTCTTTAAGAGGCACCTTTACCATATCAACCTGAAAGACATGAGAGGTCTCATCCAGAGGAAGAATGGTGGAACAGAAGGTGAAAGAGTGGGAGAGAGATGCCAGTGGCGGGGAGTGGGCAGGTTGAGAAAGGCGGGCAGGAGGGCAGATACCTCTTTTAACAGCTTATGCTTTAGGTAGTAAACATTTACAAATGTAATTGAGCTGCAGCACTGGAAGATTTTCACCCCAGGAATGGTGATGATCTGCAAGACAAAATGTGAAGTTGAGGGAAATTTCTCAGTTATTTTATGGAATAAGAATAATATATCCTTAGAAGCTCCTAGAGAGTCTGTATTCTTCTTTTTTATTTTTTTATTTTTTTTGAGACAGAGTCTCACTCTGTTGCCCAGGCTGGAGTGCAATGGCGCGATCTTGGCTCACTGCAACCTCCGCCTCTCGGGTTCAAGCAATTCTCCTGCCTCAGCCTCTTGAGTAGCTGGGATTACAGGCACCTGCCATCACGCCCTGCTAATTTTTGTATTTTTAGTAGATACGGGGTTTCACCATGTTGGCCACGCTGGTCTCAAATGCCTGGCCTCCCAAAGTGCTGGAATTACAGGTGTGAGCCAACACACCCAGCCTGTATTCTTCTTTATTAGAGACAAGAACTAGAAAATTATTTCCTCCCATTTTCACCCTCTGCTTTTCCTGCTGTCTTCTTTCTCCCTTCATTTCCTTTTTCTTGGCCAAACTCTCCTTAAAGTACATTTACAAATGATCTTTAACTGGCTGCAATACTATAAGAATTTAGCTACTTAAGAACCCGTCTTGGCTGGGTGTGTTGAGTCATGCCTGTAATCCTAGCACTCTAGAAGGCTGAGGCAAGCAGATTGACTGAGCTCAGGAGTCCAAGACCAGCCTGGGCAACATGGTGAGACCCTGTCTTTACTAAAATACAAAAAATTAGCCAGGTATGATGGGGCACGCCTGTAATCCCAGCTACTGGGGAGGCTGAGGCAGGAGAATTGCTTGAACCTGGCAGGTGGAGGTTGCAGTAAGCCAAGATCAAGCCACTGCACTGTACTGTCCAGCTTGGGTGACAGAGCAAGACTCTGTCTCCAAAAAAAAAAATAAAAACAAAGAACCCATCTCTACCAGTGTACATCACATCCCCCTCCTTTGTAAATGTGTATCTGCAGTGCAGGAAACAATGGCAAGGGATTTTGTAGAAAAACTAAGCATGAGGTGGGGCCCACTCTATCCCTTAGGCAGAGAAATGGGACCCATTTGGATTCTTACCTCCCGATAATCATTGATGCTTCTATAAATGTTGGTGTTAGGGATTTGACCCAGGAGAAGAATCTTAGCTCTGAAAGGAAATGCACTTGCCTTTAGGTCAGAGTTGGCTTACCTTGCCTTGTTAACCTCCTATTACCTGAGACAAAGTACCTGTGTGAACGAACAGTGGTGATGAAGAAAGCAGAAACTACTGAGATAATTAGTCCAATGTCCAGTCCCAGGAAAATTGAAGATGAGAATGTCATCATCCAAAGAGCCTTATGGAAAAGGGAATGAGGGGAAAATGATCATGAAAACAAGTTCAACTGAGAAAATGATCAGTCCTGTTTCTCAACTCACCTTCACCCTCTCCCTTACTACACCTGGGCTTTAGGGAAATATTCCATAGCCACATGGACTGGTGCCATGACAAACAATGGGGCCCTCCAGGATGCCTAGCAATTCTTTTATGCATCCCTGGTCGCCTCTGTCTTCAAATCTCTCTCAAAACTTCAATTTCCTCATGTGCAAAATAGTAATAATGTCTACCTTATAGGCTTTGTTGAGATTAGGAATACCATTTGCAAAGCCAACTAGAATACTCACCAAATGGTAGTTGCTATTTTAAGATGTATAAGAGTTGTTGCAAATCTTTACCATCCTTTTCAGGCCCCTACCCCAGCACCTTCTCCATTACTTCATCTTCACAGAAGAAAAGTCAGCTGAAATTCCTTAAATATATATTTTCCTCACCACCTGCCACTTGTCAGTGTCTATACTCAATGTTTCCTCATTCTCTTCCGTCCCTTTGGAAGTGTTATGCCTCCTCCTGGAATAGAAACTATCTGTGCAGTGGACCCGTCCCCTCTTAGCTCCTCAGGGATCTGGCTCCAAAAGTTATCCCCTTTCATATTTCTTTGCCTCTCCTGGGTCCTCCTCTCATCACATTCTATCCTCCACCTTTTATTTCTTGCTGTTTCCCCTTTCTGACCTCCGGTTTTGTGCTCCAGAGAGGAGTGTGCTCCAGCAGTTATTCTGCCTGACAAGACACCACCTTCCCTTATTGGGATTGGAGACTCCTATCCTGAAATGTATTTACATTAACTGGATTAAAAGTCATTCAAGGCTGGGTGCAGTGGCTCACGCCTGTAATCCCAGCACTTTGGGAGGCTGAGGCACGTGGATCACAAGGTTAGGAGTTTGAGACCAGCCTGGTCAATATAGTGAAACCCTGTCTCTACTAAAAATACAAAAATTAGCCGGGCATGGTGGTGGGCTCCTGCAGTCCCAGCTACTCGGGAGGCTGAGGCAGGAGAATCACTTGAACCCGGGAGGCGGAGGTTGCAGTGGGCTGAGATCACGCCACTGCACTCCAGCCTGGGCAACAGAGTGAGACTCCGTCTCAAAAAAAAAAAAAAAAAGTTATCCAAATATGCGATGAATGACAAACCCTTTTTGCTAGATTTGGATGTAACTGTAGCCACTTAATCCTTTTCATTTAATTTTGCATAGTTGGAATGAGGTCTTCGTGTTTTCATGTACCAACAACCTTGACTCTCCTTTTTAAAGCAAAACTGGAGTACTAGGCATCAAAGAGTTGTTTGTGTTCTTTAGGTCCATGGCAGATCTCTTTTGTTTGTTCTTTCTCCCTCTCTCCAACCTCCCTCTGCCCTCCCCTTCCTCAGCCAGGGCATCTACACTCACACAGTCATATTGGTCCTGCCTCCACAGGCTGGGTAGGTTAGAAATGGTTTCAAGGTAGGGAATGACGTTGCTCAGAATAATACCAGCCAGCACAGCCTGTGGGGAAAAGATAAATCATGGTTCATTTTCCCTTTGGGGTGTAAAACTCACAAATCCCCACCAAGGAATCACAAAAAGTTAGCCTTGCCACTTTGAGATATTTTGCATTGATATTTTATATGAATACCATGTCTATGTTCCAACTCATTGTCCAATCAAATAAATTTTCTCTACGTTTCTCTTTTCTCTTCCTTTCTGAGGCAGGGTCTCGCTCTTGCCCAGGCTGGAGTACTGTGGCGTGCTATCATAGCTCATTGCAGCCTTGAACTCCTGGGCTCAAGACGTCCTCCCCACTCAGCCTCCCAAGTAGCTGGGACTACGTGCCATCACTCACGGCTAATTTTGTCTCTACATTTTTCTTTGCCCTCCTCCTTAATTTGCCAAAAACACAAGGCAAGGTCAGGCCAACGTCAAGGCCTGACTGATTCAGCCAGGAAAGCTGACAATAGCCCCTTTTAGATTCAGGTAGTTCATTACTCACATAGACAGTGAGAGGAAGAGTAACTTGAGGAAAGTGAAAATCACCTCCTTACCATTGAGCAGGCCCCGGAGACAAAAACTTCTTATCTGAGCAATTTAAAAGGGAGCAAAGACCACCTGATGACCATCTGACAGGCCATCCGGAGGCAAAACTCCTTATCTAGGAATTTAGAAGTAAACAAACTTCCCTAATATCTCAAACTGGCATGTGATTCCAGGCCTCTTTCAACTTTTATAAGTAACAAAATTTTCTATACATCTCTGGAATGCTGTGCTGAAACTCGTTTTACAACCCTAAGCTCCCGCCTTAAGGTCTATGAATGCTCCTAAGGAAAACCCACCATAGCGCACTCAGTCCTCTTGCTGAGGCGCCTCACTGCATCCTTTCGCAGTGTTCTTCCCTTCTAATAAACTTTCCTTTTTCAAACCTATACTATTGTCAGTAAATTCTTTTTCCCAACCCACAAGTCGACCACTCACAGGTGCCAGGGCTCTGACATCTCGCCAGGCATAGCTAAAGGTTATACTCATCTATCCCCTTCTGCTTCTGTTACTTTTGGTGTGTGGAACAAGACCCATGGGAGCTGGTGCCTTTGGCTACTTGGCCTTGCCTTGTCTGGTTTGCTTGACATATCTGTTACCTACCTTATCTAGAAACCATTCTCAGATGGGATGATAAATTAAGAGAACTTACACTCACAGAAACTCCAAAACAATTCCAACTGGGCTTTTCTTCATGTTGAATCATAATATACTGTAATGATTTACTAATGAAATACCATTTTGTTTATCAAATTAAATGAGCAAATTTAAAATACTGATAGCCAAGTGTGGTGGCTCATGCCTGTAATCCCCAGCACTTTGTGAAGGTGAGGCAGGAGGATCACTTGAGCCCAGGAGTTCGAGACCAGCCTGGGTGACATAGTGAGACACCATCTCTACAAAAAACATAAAATTAGCCAGGTGTGGTAGCATGCAACTACAGTCCCAGCTACTCAGGAGACTGAGGTAGGAGGACCACTTAAGCCTGGGAGATGGAGGCTGCAGTGAGGTGTGATCATGCCACTGCACTCCAGCCCAGTGAAAGAGCAAGACCCTGTCTCACAAAAATAAAATAAAATAATTGATATTACCCTTTATACATGGTTGTTGAAATAGGGTGGTGCCCTTTTGGAAAATCACTTGACAGTATATCCAGAAATGCTGATATGTTTTCACACAAAAACTTTGTTTTACTTTCAGAAATTTATCCTAAATCTTGGCCAGACGCAGTGGCTCATGTCTGTAATCCCAGAACTTTGGGAGGCTGAGGCAGGCGAATCTCTTGAAGCCAGGAGTTCCAGACAAATTTAGCCCATGTGGCAAAAACCTGTCTCTACTACAAATACAAAAATTAGCCGGGCATGGTGGTACATGCCTGTAATCTCAGCCACTCGGGAGGCTGAGGCATGAGAATCGCTTGAACCTGGGAGGCAGAGGTTTCAGTGAGCCAAGATCACACCACTGTACTTCAGACTGGGTGACAGAGTGAGACTCTGTCTCAAAAAAAAAAAATCTTAAATCTAGAAAACTGTAGATGTGCCAGGCATGGTGGATCACGCCTGTAATCCCAGCACTTTGGGAAGCTGAGGTGAGTGGATCATTTGAGGTCAGGAGCTCAAGACCAGCCTGGCCAACATAGTGAAACCTTGTCTCTACTAAAAATACAAAAATTAGCCAGGCAGTAGTGGCGTGCACCTGTAATCCCAGCTACTCAGGAGGCTGAGGTGGGAGAACTCCTTGAACCTGGGAGGCAGAGGTTGCAGTGAGCCGAGATTGGGCCACCGCTCTCCAGTCTGGGCAAGAGAGTGAGACCATGTCTCAAAAAAAAAAAAAAGAAAATGGTAGATGTACAAAATTACTCATTGTTATTTATAACAAAAATGTAGACAACCTAATTTTCCAAAAATGTCAAATGTTATAGAATGAAGTTTCATGCTATATATTAAATAACAAGAATATAAAATTGTACAGTTAGGTTACAACTATGCAAAGTGATATCCATTTTTAGAAAATAATATTGGTTGGATAGATGCCAAAATGTGAATAGTTTTTTATTTGTGATGGTGAATGACATTTTTATCTATTTTGCATTTTCTAAAGTTTTGAAAATGAGCATGTTTACTTTTATAATGGAAAGAAAGTTTCCTAAATATGAGAAAATGAGGATTTATACGCACAAGCATATAAAAATCGTTCAGGGCTTCAAAGTAGAATTTAACCTACTTTTAAGAAGCATTTTTGCTCACACCTGGCTGGGCGTGGTGGCTCACACCTGTAATCCCAGCACTTTGGGAGGCCGAGGCAGATGGAATCACCTGAGGTTGGGGGTTCGAGACCAGCCTGACCAACATGGAGAAACCCCGTCTCTACTAAAAATACAAAAAAGTTAGCCGGGTGTGGTGACGCATGCCTGTAATCCCAGCTACTTGGGAGGCTGAGGCAGGAGAATCGCTTGAACCTGGGAGGCGGAGGTTGCCATGAGCCGAGATTGCGCCATTGCACTCCAGCCTGGGCAACAAGAGCGAAACTCCATCTCAAAAAAAAAAAAAAAAAGAAAGAAAGAAAGAAACATTTTTGTTCACACCTGTAATCCCAGCACTTTGGGAGGCTGAGGTGGGTGGATCACCTGAGGTCAGGAGTTCAAGACCAGCCTGGCCCACATGGCGAAACTCCATCTCTACTAAAAATGCAAAAATTAGCCAGGCGTGGTGGCAGGTGCCTGTAATCCCAGCTACTCAGGAGGCTGAGGCAGGAAAATTGCTTGAACCTGGGAGGCAGAGGTTGAAGTGAGCTGAGCTGAGCTGAGATCATGCCACTGCACTCCAGCCTGGGCAATAGAGGGAGACTCTCATCTCAAAAAAAAAAAAAAAAAAGATTTTCTTGTGGTCATGAAATTCCTGTATTGGTTTAATTTCTTAGCCCTTTCCTAGCTGTCCATTCCTCCATATTCTCTGCCTGGGAATTAGAACTAATCTTACCACGAGGAATGGCTGAGTCCACGCTTACTCTGGCTTTCTGAGGGTACCCAGTGACCCGTTAGACACAACAGGTCAGTAGAGGAGCGAAAAGCAAAGATGAAGTTGGCAGAAATTACTTCTTTCCCACCATACCATCTTTTCCACTATGCTATCTTCTTTCCAGTCAAGAATTTCCAAACTTCCTTCAATTTGAAGAAATACGGTGGGAAGGAAAATAAACTCAACCTCATAGGGTTTTTGAAAGGTTTTTGACTTGAGGCAGGGAGTATGGAGAGGAAACAAATCTTTTCATAAAACAATATGCAACAACATTTTTATCCTTCTAAATATTAAGGTGAAACATGCTCATGGTGTAAAAACAAGTTAAACTCATACATAATTTCCATTATCCCAGAGATAACCACTGGTATGTTCTACATTTTTCTTCCTCACAAAATTGGAATAATATTGAATATATTATTTTATATCATGTTTTTCAAAATTTGTGTTGGTCCTCTTGTAACTAGTTGAGATCCTAGCCTGAATGCTCTACTAGGGACTCTAACAAGGGTTTTGCAACTGTTCACAGTTTTTCAAGAAAGGAAGAAGTCATTTATAGCTTAGTACTCATAGAACCTTATTGTTACAGTAATTAATCTATTCCATTGATCTTATTATAATCACAACTGCTCACTCAGAAACATGCTAACTAGATGCTATAAAATTAATGTGATGTAATATGGCTAGCCAAAAGCAAGGGCTGTTCTGTCCCCAACGTGTTTATAATAAAGGAGTCCCAAATTTTATCACTACCCGTCAGTGAACTCTGATAATTTTTGTTTGTTTGGAATTTTAAAATTCTGCTTCATTTAGTTGTAAAGAAAAAATATCCATGTCCAAAGTAAATCAGTGAGTGGCCCTCCTAAAATAGATTCCAATAGTGATAGCAACAAAGGTGCTGTAGAAACTGAATTCTGGAGATTACCTCTACTGGGAATCAGAGGACCGCTTGCGTGTCAATTTTTACTAGTTCCACCCTCCTTGCATAGATTCCATGCCTTGGCTCCAAGGTCCTTGAATCATATGAGCAGAAGGCAGCAGCAGCCTTGTGGATGGTCCTGCTCTACTGACACCTGCTATTCACCAGGTGGAAAGGAAGCATTCAGAAGGAGGGAGATCACATTTACAACCACCCCAGCTTCAGGGACAGCCACCTCGGTGTGTAACCAAGCTGCTACATCCACAAATAAACCTTCTCTCACCTCCCTAAGTACGATATAAAAATGGCTAACAGGAACATGAAGAAAACTTAAAAGGAAATGATGGTCACTGAGTATAGACCTACTGTAACCTAAGAAGAGAAGGATTATAGCTAATAATTAACACACCTGGCATCTCTACAGGGTGCTCAGTTTCACACAAAGGGAAGAATGACACATTTGTATATAGAGGCATGCTGGCTGAATACTGAGTTAAGACACAACTTTCAGACCTGCCTTCTAGTGTTGTGAACTAACCAAGAGGCAGTGTAGCAGCAATGGGAGGACTGAGTTCACACAAATGCAGAACAAGGCCTTCTGGAAGCAGTGTAGGAAAACAGATGGCATGAATGCACAGTGAGTTTCCAAGCCCATGTTGGTGTGGCTTCTGAAGTCTATTTTGGTCATTTTTCACTGAATCCTTACTTACGAAGCTTGCTTTATAGCTTAAGCAATAAAAAGAAGATTCAATAATAATAATAACTTAATTTTATTTATTTATTTATTTTTTGAAACAGTCTCACTCGGTCACCCAGGCTGGAGTGCAATGGCGTGATCTCAGCTCACTTCAGCCTCCCAGGTTCAAGCGATTCTCCTGCCTCAGCCTCCAGAATGGCTGGGATTACAGGCACCTGTCACCACACCCAGCTAATTTTTATATTTTTAGTAGAGACGGGGTTTTGCCACGTTGGCCCGGCTGATCTTGAACTCCTGACCTCAAGTGATCTGCACACCTTGGCCTCCCAAAGTGCTGGGATTACACCACTCTTGGCCTATAACTAACGCTTTTTTTTCTTTTTTAGACGGAGTCTCACTCTGTAACCCAGGCTTGAGTGCAGTGGTGGGATCTCGGCTCACTGCAATCTCTACCTCCCAGGTTCAAGAGATTCTCCTGCCTCAGCCCCCAGAGTAGCTGGGATTACAGGCATGCACCACCATGACCAGCTAATTTTTGTATTTTTGGTAGAGATGAGGTTTCTCCATGTTGGCCAGGCGGGTCTTGAACTCCTGACTTCAGGTAATCTGCCCAGCTTGGCCTCCCAAAGTGCTGGGATTACAGGCGGTGCCCTGTATCCCAGTTATACGGTGTATAACTGTATAACCCAGTTATACGGTGCCCAGCCCTATAACTAATGTTTCTTGAGTGTTTACTATAGGCCCAATACTATTACATCTATCTATCTACACACCATATAAATCTTATATATAAATATACATATGTGTGTATGTGTGTGTGTGTGTGTGTGTATATATATATATATATATATATATATATATATATATATATATATCTCACATCATTTAACCCTCAACCCTGTGATCCAGATACTATTATCTTGAATGAAAGGGACTAGAGATAGGCTGGAGCAACCATTGGGGATAATCCGAATGCAATTCTCCTCGGAGATGCCCGCCCCCCCGCCCCCAGCCCCTTACCCCCCGCACACACACACCAAGGAGCAATCCAGAGCCCTGGTCGTTGTTGACTTAGTTATTTGATCAGTTCTACTTACATTTGGCAGTGTGTAGAAAAAGTGTCCCATCTTCACCATCAGGAGCAGCATCACACCTGCGCCTACCAGAGATGCAAACTGAGGAGACAGAGCCAGTTGGAGAGAAACCATCAGGAACGTATTGGTCCCTGTCTGCAACTGAGGCCTTCTGCTTGGTGAGAAGCATGTCAATTTTTCTTAAAAGGAGTTGAGTTCAGTCCAAGTGTATTTTTGTTGAACTGACATTTTCAAGTCTTATCAAAGTGCTAAACACATACTAGGTACTCAATAAATACTCCCTAAATGAATGGAAAGATGCTCCCTGAAAAGCTCCACGTTGTCCTGGGCATTTGAATCTTTACTGCCACTGCTCTGTGCTATGAATCTGAATTCTCCTAAAATCTGATTTGCATCTCCTCCTAAGTTTAACCTCTCCTTGCACAATTTAGAAAAGCCGTAGTTGGCCGGGTGCGGTGGCTCACACCTGTAATCCTAGCACATTGGGAGGCTGAGGCCGGCAGATCACAAGGTCAAAAGATGGAGACCATCCTGGCCAACATGGTGAAACCCCGTCTCTACTAAAAATACAAAAATTAGCTGGGCTTGGTGGTGTGTGCCTGTAATTCCAGCTACTTGGGAGGCTGAGAGAGGAGAATCGCTTGAACCCGGGAGACGGAGATTGCAGTGAGCCAAGATCACGCCACTGCACTCCAGCCTGGCGACAGAGTGAGACTCCATCTCAAAAAAAAAATAAATATAAGGAAAGAAAAGCCCTAGTAGCTCCTCAGTGTCAGCCCTACTTCCCATGTAAGTAAATTTCCCACCCCTCACTCTCCTGTTTGCTGCTTGGGTAACTGCCCATCTAGCAGCTTCAGTGGAGCTTCATCTTAAAAAACACAAAGATAATCACTTCCCATTTTCCTGCTTTAGTTTCTCTCTGCTCCAGTGCCATCAAAAAGAAAGAAAGAAAGAAAAAGCTACAAACATGAGTCAAGGCTGTATATAGCAGCTCTGGATCCTATCCCAGTTGGGTTGACTACTTTGGGCTCAGTGTCTCTTGGTAAGCAGTGATTCTCACTTGTCAAAATAAAGGTGGAAAACTAAGAAGCATAGTTTCCTTGATAAGCCCAATGGTCTCTGGATAGTCTTGAACTCATTATATCCTCTATTGGTAAATTTCTATTTTGTAAGCCACTAGTAATAAAAATAATAGAAACCAGTGTCATTTTCACTGCGATGGGAATAGGGGATGGGGCAAAATTATAACCACAAATCAGAACAATGGCACAGAAAAGCAAGAACTGAGGGGGTCTCTCGATTCTAATCTACCAAAGGACCATTCAGCAATGATTCTCTAATTTTTCTCTGTATTTTTTACGTAGGGGGGGAAAACACACCTTCCCACTGGGTTCCCTCTCGCTACTCATTGCTATTTGCCTTATAAATGTATTGCCGAAAATAATAGCAATGCAATCAACGTCCTGCTTCTTTCTTTCCCCATCCCAGCTGACTCACAGCTAAAGTGAGTGGCCTGATATGGAAAGGCTGAATCACATGAGAGTAGTGTAGGAAGTACTCAGGAAAATGGATCACCATAACTGAAACTCAGAAAGCTCTGATGGCAAACATTTCAGACACTGTGGAACTGAGACAGGTAACCCCAAAGCCTCTCCAGCCAGGTGACATGTCAGCCTGTTGCTGGATCTAATTTCTGGCTCTAGCTTCAGTTGGCCTTTGCTGATGTTATAGAAAAAACTATTTTCATTAGCACAGGAAATCTATATCAGGCCTTTTCTTTTCTGCCACTTTTTTTCTCCAAAATTCTTCTGATTATTTTTAAGGAAACAAAGGCAGGCAGACACAAAATAAGTTGTATAAAACTAGGTTAGGCCAGGCGTGGTGGCTCGCACCTGTAATCCCAGCACTTTGGGAGGCCGAGCCAGGCAGATCACCTGAGGTCAGGAGTTCGACACCAGCCTGGCCAACATGGTGAAACCCCACCTCTACTAAAAATACAAAAAAATTAGCTGGGCGTAGTGGCAGGCGCCTGTAATCCCAGCTACTTGGGAGGCTGAGGCAGGAGAATCGTTTGCACCTGGGAGGCAGAGGTTGCAGAGCCAAGACCTCGCCAATGCACTCCAGCCAGGGCAACAAGAGCAAAACTCCATCTCAAAACAACAACAACAACAACAACAACAACAAAAATCCTAAGTCAAAATGAGCACAAACTAGACACCAAATCCCATAAAATTAGCTGCTCAGAGAGGGTTGGAGGCCTGCCAATAATTGTGTTCCCCTTGGCTGCACATTCATAGGAATGGGTTTTGGGATCAGAGGACCATCTTCTGTGGCATTGCGCCTCAGGAAGATGCTCGATGGCTCTCAGAGCTCAGCCTCAGTGCCTGAACAGGGTCTGATGACAGCAAGCACTGTCTGCATGTTTTACATCTCATGCATGCTTTGTTTTTCTGACCAGATTTTCCATCACTTTTCCAGGCTTTCTTGAGCAAAGACTGACTGTGCCTTCTCTCCAGAGAGTCAAAGCCATGTGAGTTTCCATAGCCACAGCCACAATCAACATGCAGACCCTCAGGCATCAATTGCTCCATGTACAGGGGGCTCCATGAAGTAGAATAGCAGATGATGAACACCTGCCCAGGCACTTGGGTCTTGGGGTAGAAGTGATGATTTTTGAACTCTTAAGTGACAGGCACCCATTAGCATCTAATTTAATTCTCACAATGGGCAAATTTGTCTTATCCCCACTTTCCAGATGAAGACTAGAACCTCAGAGAGCAAAATTAATTTGCCCAAGGTCACATACATCTAGGAAGCATGGAGTCAGGTTCAACCTCCCCTGACCATCTGACTCCAAAATCCAGGCTCTCTCCACGGCCCCATTGACTTCCTCTAAAAAGAATGCAATGCATTCATTTCTCTCTTTTACAATAACCCATTTTTAAAGCTGTTCGGGGAGCCTGGGCAAGGCAGGTCCTTAGAAAGCAGGGGGCAATGACAGAAACCTAATCTTGGAGAACACGGAAGCACAGTGGTACGAATAGGATGACCAGAAAGATGGAGTGGGGGACAGCCCAGCTGGCCACAGGCCTACTAGGGCTCATCACATCCCCTTTGCCATGGGTCAGGCCTGCCAATGCCTCAGGCTGAGGCTGTGGCCAGAAGGACCAGTAGGTTTTGCTGCAGCCACTGGAGGGAAATGAGTTCTAGACAGCAAGAAATTAAGTGAAATCTAAACACATATACACAGTTTGCATCTATGCCAGATAAAAAATAAAAACAAAGTGACCCTTGATGGCAGATTATTTTTGAGAGGTTCAGAGCCAGCCCCATATTTCTCTTTTCTGCAGTCCTAAGAAACTTTGAAGAAATAGGGACATTCTCAGGCAGAGTGAATCAAGAGCCCCCAGCGGGTTGGCGCACGGTGGCTCATGCCTGGAATCCTAGCACTCTGGGGGGCTGAAGTGAGAAGATCACTTGAGGCCTGGAGTTTGGACAACATAGTGAGACCCTGTCTCTGAAAAAAAAAAAAAAATCATAAGGCCTCCAGAGATAAGAGGTGGAGAGAAAACTCCACTCCCATGGAATGAAGAAGATGAATGAGTCTCATAGGTCTTTTCTGGTCCAGATTAGGAACTCAAGAGTATAGTCTGGGCAGCTGCCATGTGTAGGGCCAGGGGTCAGCAACATTCTCTGCTTGAGCCAGGGATTTGCAAGGGGCATGTCAAGGCCTCAGGGAGGGCTTCTCAGCATTCCTAGGGACATGCCTCCCTGTGGAGGGCCGCTGCACTGCATTGAGAGGTGTCACTGGCAGAACTGTGCTGCACAGATGAACAAGGTGGCAGCGGAAAACAAAATGAGTGCCATAGGCTACCTTTGAGGCAGACCTTCTGTTCAACAGGCTAAAATGCTAAAAATGGGCTTGCTCAGGGGTTGGAAATTCAATCGTCTGCCAAAACCCTCTCAAAACTTGGCCTTTCTATTCCCAGAATCAATGAGTGCATTTGGCACAGCCAGTCTTCCTCCAGTCTGCATTGCACGCACAAGTGGAATCCTGCTGTTAAGACAGCTCTGAGGCTGAACTGAAGCCCTTCTTCCTCCTTCCATCTACACATACCCTAAACCCTTTCAGTACTCCATGAAAGTCCCACTTCTGCCATCATTCTCCTTCTTGCAATATTTATGCCGCTTTTTAAAAATCGTCCTCATTCTGCACTCAATTTTCCTTGCACTGTGATTTAGTTTTTTTCTAGCCGTGCACATCTTGTCTCCCAAATTTACATTATGCTTATATACTGAATAAACAAAGTATGTCATAAAAAGTTAGTGGAACTAATCTCTGGAATCTCCATTTCCATTTCTTCTTCTAAAACTCTCCAAGTCTCTTTGGAGTCTCTTTGACTCCAAAGTTTTTGCATGCTTGTACAAAACACTCTTCTTCTGAACATAGCCCAAATTTCTCTGTCTATTAAGCAGTAGTGGAAAAGGCCAATGTGTCCGGAAGAAGCTCTGTGACAAACAAAACTTGGTCCACATAAAATGGTACAATGTAGTCTTATTCTAGACCAAACTTGTCCAACCTGAGGCCTGCGGGGCCACATGTGGCCCAGGACAGCTTTGGATGCAGCCCAACAAAAATTCGTAAACTTTCTTAAAACATTATAAAATATTTTAGCGATTTTTTTTTTTTTAGCTCATCAGCTATTGTTAGAATTAGTGCATTTTATGTGTGGCCCAAGACAATTCTCCTTCTTCCAGTGGGGCCAGGGAAGCCAAAAGATTGGACACCCCTGCTCTATACCCAGGCTCTCACCCCTGCCTAATCTTTCTGACTTGTATTACCTTTTACCTTATGCTTCACCACATATTTGCCCATGGACTATGACACTTTGTCTTTCCATGTGAAAGTTGACTGTTCATTCTGCTGACACATTCGTTTCTGACCATGGCTACACCTTTTACTATGTTTCTGCAGCAGAAGCTTGTCTTTGACCTCTGCCACTGTTTCTCTGGCGTCTGAATGCTGACTCATTCCCCGGGCAACCCCAGTTTCAATTCCGATAGCTCTCTGACATTTTGTCACTCTGCATAGTTGAGATGGGACACCTCTCAGGTTAGCCTGTTGTAATTTTATCTAGTCAGTTCAAAACTCATGAACATTGGGCCGGGCCCGGTGGTTCATGCCTGTAATCCCAGCACTTTGGGAGGCCAAGGCAGGCAGATCACTTGAGTTCAGGAGTTCAAGACCAGCCTGGCCAACATAGTAAAACCCCATCTCTGCTAAAAATACAAATGTTAGCTGGATGTCGTGGCGGATGCCTGTAATCCCAGCTACTCGGGAGGCTGAGGCAGGAAAATCACTTGAGCCTGGGAGGCGGAGGTTGCAGTGAGCCGAGATCGCGTCACTGCACTCCAGCCTGGGTGACAGAGCAAGACTGTGTCTCAAAACAAAAACAAAAACAAAAAACAAAACTCATGAACATTAGACTTATAAAATCTCATGCCTGCAATTAGACACTTTGCCTCTACAGTCTTTTCGACCACCATTCTCTCTATGTATGCTTAACACATGCCTAAACATTTAGTTTACTGACTCAGAATACCTGCAGAAAATCTGACCTAGATAATTTTCTCTTATACAAAAGTAGAACAATTATACATTCTCTAGGCTCTCCTAGACAAAGACCTGACACCCTGTCATGAAAGCCCCTTGCCATGCCCTTTTGAAGAAGCCAGGAAAATTTTTGCTTTGCTGCCAAGGTGTGTAGAGTTGTATTATTGCTTTTCCAGACTAGGTGTGAGAATGCATCTTCCCACAGGGGGAAAGCATTAGCAGATGATGGTAAGTTTACCAGAAATATTCTTTTTTGTTTGTTTGTTTGAGACGGAATCTCATTCTGCCACCCAGGCTGGAGTGCAGTGGCACCATCTCAACTCATTGCAACCTCTGTCTCCTAGGTTCAAGTGATTCTCCTGCGTCAGCCTCCTGGGTAGCTGGAATTACATGTGTGCGCCACAACACCCAGCTAATTGTTTTTTTTTTTTTCTTTTTTTTTGTATTTCTAGTAGAGATGGGGTTTTACCATGTTAGCCAGGCTGGTCTCAAACTCCTGACCTCAAGTGATCCACCCACTTCGGCCTTCTAAAGTGTTGGTATTACAGGCGTGAGCCACCACACTTGGCCAGTTTACCTAAAATATTCTTATCCTTTAGGTATGTTACATGGAAAGTGGGGTTTTGTGGGCTAATATACGGAAACCTCTCACATATTTCTGTAGAAAATGGCTTTCAAGTTCCACATTGACAAGTAACTTTTAAGACAAAATCTGAGCAAAAATTAAGGCAAGCATGGAATCCAAATTCATCCCAGAGGTCTTTCCCATTAAGCATAGCATTAAAACAGCAAGAAGATTAAACCCATTTAATTCCCTACTCTGAATATACATATGAATTGATATGAATATGTTTATGTATTAGAGATCAAATTGTATTTCAACATACCTGTTGTCTTCCTCCAGATTTATCCTGGATAATAGTCCTAGCAATAGCACCAGTAAACACACAAGATCTGAAAAATGAACTGACGACATTGCAAAGGCCGATGGCTATTAAATCCTGTAAAGAAACAGCAGATGCTTTAGGCCCCCGTTTTTGTTGAAGAATGCTGATTTTGAGTTGAAGGCATATGGTTTTTTTTTTTTATATGAAGATAGGGTTGTTTGCATCACTTGAAATAACAGATTGAAATATTATTAGAAGGCCGGATGAGGTGGCTCACACCTATAAGCTCAACACTTTAGGAGGCTGAGGCTGGTGGATCACCTGAGGTCGGGAGTTTGAGACAAGCCTGACCAACATGGAGAAACCCTGTCTCTACTAAAAATACAAAATTTGCCAGGCATAGTGGCGCATGCCTGTAATCCCAGCTACTCGGGAGTCTGAGGCAGGAGAATCGCTTGAACCTGAGAGACAGACGTTGTGGTGAGCCGAGATTGCACCATTGCACTCCAGCCTGGGCAGCAAGAGCGAAACTCCATCTCAAAAAAAAAAAAAAAAAAAAAATTAGAACAAAAGGATGGCACATCTGATTTTCTTGACTAAACCAAATCATCATTTTAGCTAGTCATCACAAGGAAAGTGCTTTTTCAAGGTGAGAAAATGAGACTCTGGCATTTTTATTCTCTTTCAAGTGATGACCAGGACTTAGGATGACAGGGAGAAGCACAATGCTATTCTCCCTGCCTTATGTGCTACCCTAAAGGTCAAATTGGGCTGGGTGCGGTGGCTCACACCTGTAATCCCAGCACTTTGGGAGGCTGAGGCAGGCAGATTGTGAGGTCAGGAGTTCGAGACCAGTCTGGCCAACGTGGTGAAACCCCATCTCTACTAAAAATACAAAAATTAGCTGGGCATGGTGGTGAGCATCTGTAATCCCAGCTACTCGGGTGGCTGAGGCAGGAGAATCGCTTGAACCTGGGAGGTGGAGGTTGTGGTGACCCAAGATCATGCCATTGCACTCCAGCATGGGTAACAAGAGCAAAACTCCGTCTCAAAAAAAAAAAAAGGTCAAATTGGAACACCTGTTGTTTCCATATTTCCCTCTTGAGTTCTAGGGAAAGGGCTAAAAGACAAAAACTATTTCTGGGAGGCCAACTGTATGGTATTAGAAGCCCTCGCTTTTTTTTTTTTTTTTTTGAGATGGAGTCGCCCAGACTGGAGTGCAGTGGCGCGGTCTCGGCTCGCTGCAAGTTCCGCCTCCCGGGTTCACGCCATTCTCCTGCCTCTGCCTCCCGAGTAGCTGGGAGCACAGGCGCCCGCCACCATGCCCGGCTAATTTTTTTTTTGTATTTTTGGTAGAGACAGGGTTTCACCGTGTTAGCCAGGATGGTCTTGATCTCCTGACCTCGTGATCCACCTGCCTTGGCCTCCCAAAGTGCTGGGATTACAGACGTGAGCCACTACTCCTGGCCCAACCCTGGCTTTTTATAAGACGTTCTGCAGCATTTCTTATTGCACCTCAGTATGTGGTTGGAGGACTTGGTAGAAAGAAAGCTAAAATTAAGAAAAGTGAAACTCTCCTAGCTTAACAACATGATGCCATAATTTTCTGGCCTCTCTGTATCATATCTGTTCTAGGGCAATAACACTCAGGTTAATTCAAGTGCCCTCAAAGTTAAGTATCCCTCACCTCTCAAAAATCCTTTGTGATTACTGTCCAAACCATGGTCCAAGTGGCTCTTCAGTTAAAAAAGACTCCTGCTTCATGTTGGCAGGAGGCTTTGATTAAAGAACAAAGAGTTAAGGATCAGAGGAAGTAGTAGTCCTCTCACCTGGTTGGAATTGACACTGTAATTGTGAAGACTGGCAATCTTCTTGCCCAGAAATATGAGCAGAAAGGAGCTCACCAAAGATAAGGAGAAGGCTTGTAAAATTATCTTGGGAAGAAGGCTGAAATCTGGTGTTACAGGAAGCAGAAAGCTGGAATAGAATAGTGGAATTATTTCTGGATAGCAGGAATCCTTTCTTGGTACCTCCGCCACTCTATTCTAACACTGGGCTGTCCTGATTCTTTTTTTTTTTTTTTTAATAACAATAGGGACAAGCGGAGTGATTGAGGCAGCAGCCTGCCAAAACTGCCAGCAAACCAAGCCAAGTTATGAAAGCCATTGAGAGAACATGTTGTTGTGTTTTGCAGTTCAATGTTTCTGCCAGGTAGCAATGGCAGTAAACAGAACAGGCCAAACATTAACGATTCACGAAAAATGGTTTCTTGATACTGTTTGAGGCCATACCAATAGGTGAACAATAGGTGGATATTTAAGGAAGAAATAATGCCTATTTTATAGAAACTCTTCCAGAAGTTGAAGATGAGGCAATACTTTCCAAATCTTTCTATAATGTCAACATACGGCTGGGTGCGGTGGCATATGGCTGGGTGCGGTGGCTCACGCCTGCAATCCCAGCACTTTGGGAGGCCGAGGTGGGTGGACCACTTGAGGTCAGGAGTTCGAGATCAGCCTGGCCAACATGGTGAAACCTTATCTCTACTAAAAATATAAAAAATTAGCCGGGTGTGGTGGCGTGCATCTGTAATCCCAGCTACTCTGGAGGCTGAGGCATGGGAATCTCTTGAACCCAGGAGGCAGAGGTTGCAGTGAGCAGAGATTGTGCCACTGCACTCTAGCCTGGGTGATAGAGTGAGACTCAGTCTCAAAAAAAAAAAAAAATTCAATATACTCTGACACCAAAACCAGACATAGACAGCACAAGAAGAAAAAAAAAAAAAAAAAGACACTCAGACCAACATCCTTCATAAACACAAATGCAAAAATTCTTATCATTTTAGAAAGTCAATATATAAAAGGATAATACACTATGGTCAAGTGGGGTTTATCCCAGAATGAAGCATTAGTTTAACAGTCAGAAATCAAGCACAATATCAACAGACTATAGAAGGAAAAAAAAATCTTGATGATTTGGGGAGAGTGGTGTTTTTCTATAGATCCATACTGGCATAATTCTTTAAGTCAAATCTGGAAGCACAAATATGCTTCCTTTTTTATTTCTCTAGATTACTTTCTAAGTCAGAAAAAAAAATCTAAGTGTTTTAGATAAGGTTTGCTATTTGAAACGCTTATTCATTCTTTTGATTATCTTTAATCATTTCATCAAAGACAAATATGTATGCCTCAACAGTTGATTTCCTTCTGATAAATTATATAAAAATCCAAATTCAATAAAATGAATCATGTAAATACCCTTGGGAAAATTATCTTAAAAGAAATTTTGTGATATATATTTCCACAAAGCAAATAATACCTTATCTAATTAAAATTTCTTATTAGTTCTTGCATTTAAAATTTTATTTTTGAGTAGAAAGAATTCACTTTTAGCACCTCAAAGAGCTAAATATCATTTTCTTCACCATCCAACTATGTCTTCTTCTTCTTCTTTCCTTCTTCTTCTTCTTCTTTTTTTTTTTTTATATTGAGACCAGGTCTTGCTGTGTCACCCAGGCTGGAGTGCAGTGGCGTGATCATGGCTCACTGCAGCCTCATCCTTCCTCAATAAATCCTCCCACCTCAGCCTCCCAAGTAGCTAGGATTTCAGATACATGCAACCACACCTGGCTAATTTTTTTTTTTTTTTTTTTTTTTTTTTAGAAACGGAGTCTCACCATGTTGCCCAGGTTGGTCTTGAAATCCTGAGCTCAAGCGATTCGCCTGCCTCAGCCTCCCACAGTGCTGGGATTACAGGCATGAGCCACTGTGTCTGGCCCTACTATGTATATTTTAATTTCTTATTTATAATTTATAACTTAAGGCCGGGCACGGTGGCTCACGCTTGTAATCCCAGCACTTTGGGAGGCCGAGGTGGGCAGATCACAAGGTCAGGAGATCGAGACCATCCTGGCTAACACGGTGAAACCCCATCGCTACTAAAAATACAAAAATTAGCCGGGCGTGGTGGCAGGTGCTTGTAGTCCCAGCTACTTGGGAGGCTGAGGCAGGAGAATGGCATGAACCCGGGAGGCGGAGGTTGCAGTGAGCCAAGATCGTGCCACTGCACTCCAGCCTGGGCGACAGAGCTAGACTCTGTCTCAAAAAAAATAATAAAATAATTTATAACTGACAAGCTCCTTTGCGTTTTCCAGGTAATGAGCTAAGTAGAAGCATAACTGAATGCTTACAGGTAGGTATTTAACTTATTATCAAATTCCACCTTTTTGTCTTTGTAAGAAGCTAGGTAAGAATGAGGCTGTCCCAAAGAGGTACACAGTAAATGTAATTTACTACCCCAATCTATATTAGTAAAGCTTGAATATTTAGTATGATAACAACATAAACTACTGTTTTTCCTTTCTGTTCTCTGTAACAGCCGATTCTTGTTAGCAAATGAGGTTAAAAGGGGACATGGACACAGCAGGAGCTAACTTAAATTGTCCAATCTTACTATTCTCTAGCAGCCCTGGATAAATACATAATAAAAGAGAAAGCTCAAAGCAACGCTTAAAATTAGACTTCTGAAATGCTCATTTGTCCATCTGTAACTTTGAATCTTATAAGAGATAAGCAAAACTTGGTTGTGTGGGTTTTTTCTTTTTTCTTTTTTACTTTTTGAGATAGTCTCCCTCTATTGCCCAGGCTGGAGTGCAGTGGCATGATCCTAGCTTATTGCAACCTCCAACTCCCGGGTTCAAGTGATTCTCTTGCCTTAGCCTCCCAAGTAGCTGGGATTGCAGGCACACACCACTATGCCCAGCTAGTTTTTGTATTTTTAGTAGAGATGGGGTTTCACCATGTTGGCCAGGCTGGTCTCAAACTCCTGGCCTCAAGTGATCCACCTGCCTCAGCTTCCCAAACTGCTGGGATTACAGGCATGAGGCACTGTGCCCAGCCTGGCTGTGTGGTTTTGAAGTCATTGATAACAGAAGCATATTGTGTAAGTATAACAGAGTGGTTATAATTATAGACTTTGGAATTAAGGAGAAATATGTTCAAATGGTAGCTCTGCCATGGAGGAGCAATGTGCTAAGTAATTTAAACATGGGAAGCCTTAGTTTCCTTAGCGTAAAAAAGAAGACAATATCTACCTCAAAGCATTACTGTGGGGAGCAAATGAAATAATACAAATATGTAAAGTGTCAATCCCACTGTTGTTCTTGTTATTATTTTTTTTCCTGAGGACAGAGATCGTGTCTTGCTTATCTTTGTACTCTCTAGTACCTAGGTGGTGTCTGCCCACATTTTTTAATTGACTGGAATTTCAAGTTGATTCAGCCATCGTCAGATTTCATTGAGAACTGGGTAGGTTATGAGACTAGTTCAAACTGATTGTGTCAAAATAGCCTACATTTGCCCGGGTGTGGTGACTCACGCCTGTAATCCCAGCACTTTGGGAGGTGGAGGTGGGAGGATCACCTGAGTCCAGGAGTTCGAGATCAGCCTGGCCAACATGGTGAAACCCTGTCTCTACAAAAAATACAAAAATTAGCCAGGCGTGGTGGCAGGCACCTGTAATTCCAGCTACTCAGGAGGCTGAGCAGGAGAATCACTTGAACCCGGGAGGTGGAGGTTGCAGTGAGCTGAGATGGCGCATTGCACTCCAGCCTGGGCGACAGAGCAAGACTTGTCTCAAAAAGAAAAAAAAAAGCCTACATTTTGTGATCCTGGAGTTTAGCAAGTATGCTTCACTCTTTACAGGATTCCTTATTATACAACGTGAGGAAATGGGCAATGCTCTTCAAAAGCCTCTCTGTGAGTCAAGAAACTGCAGTATATTGCCTTTCTTAGCTAATGTGATTCATCTGATTAAGGTTAAAAAAAATAATTTCCTAACAGAAGCAAGAGCCATGCCTCATAGTCACTGGTAGGAATTATAATGTAAATTGATTGTGAGTCCTTAAGAACTCCATATGCCAGGCTATTTGAAGATCACTTTCTACCCAGAGTAAGAAAACAATGTTGCTCAAGGGCACCAATTCTGACCGGGCACTGTGGCTCATGCCTGTAATCCCAGCACTATAGGAGGCCAAGGCAGGAGGAATGTTTGAGTCTGGGATTTTGAGACTAGCCTGAGCAACACAGCAAAATGCTGTCTCTACTAAAAATGCAAAAAATTAGCCAGGCGTGGCAGTGCACGGCGGTGTACACCTGTAGTCCCAACTACTCAGAGAGCTGAGGAGGGAGGATCACTTGAGCCTGAGAATTCAAGGCTGCAGTGAGCCATGATTGCGCCACTGCACTCCAGCCTAGGCAACAGAGTGAGAACCTGTCTCAAAAATAAATAAATAAATATATAAATAAATAAAACAGGGCATCTATTTAGTCTAAGTTTGTGAAGGCAAAAGGAACGTTCATCTTCTGAACACAGAGCCACAGGAGAGAGGCTAGAAAAACCGAGGCATCTCTTGTCCACCCCTTGAGAATTAATCAGAGAGGTATAGTAGTTGAGAAGGCCTATCATGTGCTATGAAAAAAAACATGAGATTCTCTGGTATTCAGTGCATATAACAGTTTTCCTGGATAAGGGGATGGGTTCAACTATGAGAAGAGAGACAGAGGCTGACCAGAGAAGACACAAGGAGTTGTCCCTAGCCCTTCTCCTTTCATGAACCTCTGTGTTCAAAAATGAATTTTGCTTTGGCCAGAGACTGCTAGTAGAAAATATCAATCAGGCTGTGTGGTCAGAGGCTAAGAGAGGGTATCAGAAAGAGAAAAGCAATCTTGAAAAGTGGAATTACTGACCTATAAGGAATCATGTCAATAAGCGTCTGGCTGGTTTCTGTGGCCATGCTTATCTTGTTTGCAATCACAGTGAAGCCAATAATCTGTAGGGGGTAAAAAAAGAAGGGATGGGGGCATATGAATACCTAAATATAGTGCATCGCTTCTAGAAGCAGAGTTGCCCATTGCCTCTGGCAGGACAGAAAATGAAACAGGCAGCAGTCCCTATGCATGCAAGTTGGAGAGAGAGGCATGGCTAGTTCAGCGGAGCAAGGCAGGCATTAGAGATCTTCCCTGTTTCTTTTGGTTCTCTAAGCCAGAGTGCAAAACAACTTGGTCTGTGAACATGATGGGAACAAATGGACGCCATGAACTTCTGTATCCCCATCATCTTCATTTATTTTTTCTTGTTTTAATATTTAATATATTTGAATCTCAATGGCTTTCAGTGAGATCGATCCATTTAAATACTGAATGACTTGGAAAATACCTCTTTGCTCCTCTTTAAATAAAGGGTATTTCAGAGTTTATCAGGAAGTGGGGAATCTCCCCACCAACTTTAAACATCTAGATTAATATAAACATGTTTTCAGATAATGGCTGTATCAAGTTTTCAGTTTCAAAAGTTTTTAGTTCCAGGTACATTGTAGTAATACAGATATGCCTTTTAGGGGCTTGTTGAGGTATACCAAAAGAGAAACATGATTAACCCTTAATAATATGGAGCAACATTTAATTGCACAAAGAAAAAGTTCTGTAGCAAAGCAACTACCTGCTTTTCCCCCCTTTCACTTACTTCTAAAAATGGCAATTCTCCCTCTAGTCCCTGACTTTTAATTAGAGGGAAAAGAGACAACCTAGCAGCTGTTATAGCTTATAAAGACTGCGTCAATGCAGATTAAACCAGAGACAAGAGACCTCAATTCCTATGTTTTAAAATAGCAATTATACAGTTGCTTTATCCCATTCTTCCTACTAACACATACTTCTTTCCCCAGCATCTACTGCAGGAGTTCAACCAGACGCTGAACAGAACAGCAGTTGACTAACCTGTGATACTGTTATCAGATGAAGACCCCTAGGAAGTCTACAGATTAGAATGGAAGGAAGAATCTGGATTACAGCTTGGATCAGAGAAGAAGAGTCTTGGTTTTTATATAATTAAGAGGCAAGAAGTATGGCAAGCATGGCAAGGAACTCTTATTTCCAGTTTAAAGGTAATACTTGTTCACAGAGAAAAATGAAAATATGAAACATTGAAAAACAGAAATAACTCATCCAAAGACAACTATTGTTACATTTTTTGTTTGCTATACAGCTTAAATATACATAAATTATGAACATATGTATAATTTCTTATAGCCAAGGGACCCTTGAATTATCAGTATAGTCTACCTGGATCTCAGTTGTTGCCTTGAAAATTTTCCTAAATATTGAGTCTGCTCTTTTGCTCTCTTTTTTTTTTTTTTGAAATGAAGTTTTGCTCTTGTTGCCCAGGCTGGAGTGCAGTGGCACAATCTCAGCTCACTGCAACCTCTGCCTCCTGGGTTCAAGCGATTCTCATGCCTCAGCTTCCTAAGTAGCTGGGATTACAGGCGTGTGCCACCACATCTGGCTAATTTTTTGTATTTTTTTAGTAGAGATGGGGTTTTGCCAAGTTGGCCCGGCTGTTCTTGAATTCCTGACCTCAGGTGATCCTCCTACCTCGGCCTCCCAAAGTGCTGGGATTACAGGCGTGAGCCACTGTGCCTGGCCGAGTCTGCTCTCTTAAGTACAGATTGATAGATGTGTGCAGTTTCCTCCAGCACATCTAAACATTAGTAATTTCTTTGTGGGTGCTGTAAAAGGCATTTTAGACCCTAGACCGTGGGCGCCTCCATCCTCCCTCTCTCATTTTCCTCACTGCTAAGGGAAACAGGGAGGTCTTTTTCTAGTTCTACCCTGCATCTCTAATCCCTGCTATGTGGCAGAAACTGTGTCCCCATCACTTGACATGACATGTGTATAGGTAGTGTGTTGCAGGCTTCAATAGCCTGTGAGCACAAATTATGTCACAAAAAAGGTTAATGCCTAAATTGCAATTATTGTAAGCCTTCACCTATTTTATTGCTGGACCTCTGTTTCCTCCCCTACCTCACCTCACCTCATGAAGCATTGTAATTATTTATAGCATTCTCCAAAGGAATATATTCTTCTTTTCTTTCTTTCTTCTTCTTCTTATTTTTTTTTTTTTTTTTTTTGAGACAGAGTCTTTGCTCTGCTAACCAGGCTGGAGTGCAGTGGCACAATCTTGGCTCACTGCAACCTCTACCTCCTGGGTTCAAGCAATTCTCCTGCCTCCACCTCCTGAGTAGCTAGGACTACAGGCGTGCACCACTATGCCCAGCTAATTTTTTTTATTTTTAGTAGAGATGGGGTTTCATCATGTTGGCTAGGCTGGTCTCAAACTCCTGACCTCGAGCAATCCACCTGCCTCTGCCTCCCAAAGTGCTGGGATTACAAGGGTGAGACACCGAGCTTGGCCCCCAGAGGAATATCTTGACTGTGGCTCACAAACCAATCTGTCAGCCATGGTCAAACCACAGCATTCTTTGCACTCTCACTTCTCTCCTTTCCTTATAACTCTGGTTCATGTTGATTGCTTTCAAGGCTGTGTAAACCAAAAACAATATTCTAAGGCCCCCAGTCATCTGAATGGATCCCATCTCTTGGCCAAGGGAATTCCGAAGTTAACCTGAAAAAACTAGTTCAGGCCATGATTGAAGCAGGGGTCAGACATACGTCATTATATCCCTCCACCCTTTTGGAATTCAGGAAAAGCCAACCAGCATTAACCTCAAAACAGACCCTTAAGTCTGACAAGAAACATTTACAACCCATTCTCTTTGAAGCCTGCTACTTGGAGGCTTCATTTGCATGACACAGCTTAGGTCTCCACAACCCCTTACCGTAACCCAGACATTCGTCTCTATTGATAATAACTCTTTCAATCAATTACCAATCAGAAAAATTTTAAATCTGCCTATGATATGGAAGCCCCCACCCCTTCAATTTGTCCCACCCTTCCAGATCAAGCCAGTGTAAATCTTACAGGTATTGATTGATATATTGTGTCTCCCTAATGTATAAAAGCAAGCTGTACCCTGAACATGTTGGTAGGACCTCCCTCCAGAGGCTATGTCATGGGGGCTTCCTTAACCTTGGCAAAATAAACTTTCTAAATTGATTGAGACCTGTGTCAGATACATCTGGGTTTACAGACTGCTTGAAGGAACATCACTATGATCCTTGGTGCTGATGTCTCTTAAGAGAGGGCTGGGCATGGTGGCTCATGCCTGTAATCCCAGCACTTTGGGAGGCCAAGGTGGGCAGATCACGAAGTCAGGAGATCGAGACCATCCTGGCCAACATGGTGAAACCCCATCTCTACTAAAAATAAAAAAATTAGCCAGGCATGGTGGTGTGTACCTGTAATCCCAGCTACTCGGGAGGCTGAGGCAGGAGAATCGTTTGAACCTGGGAGGCAGAGGCTGCAGTGAGCTGAGATTGCGCCACTGCACTCCAGCCTAGGAGACAGAGCAAGACTCCGTCTCAAAAAAAAAAAAAAAAAAAAAAAAAAAAAGAGGGCTGCTGTCTGTTCATGGCTGCTGTCTGCTGGTGACTACAAAGCTGCAGCCTCCTAAGGTGCCAGAGATGGGCTGGGAAAGGAGAGGCTGTCTCTGACTGCACCCTACAAACTCCATATACACATTGTTTCCCGAGCTCTAGAGCACCATTTGTATCCAGGGTTTTGTTTTTAAGAATTAACAAATAAAAATCATATATATTTGTCATATACAACATGTTGTTTTAAAATATATATATATACACATTGTGGCATGGCTGAATCGAGCTATTAATAGATGCATTACTTCACATATACATCTTTTTTTTTTTTTTTTTTTTTTTTTTTGAGACGGAGTTTTGCTCTTGTTGCCCAGGCTGGAGTGCAATGGCACAATCCCGGCTCACTGCAACCTTCACCTCCTGGGTTCAAGCAATTCTCCTGCCTCAGTCTCCCATGTAGCTGGGATTACAGGCATGTGCCATGATGCCCAGCTAATTTTGTGTTTTTAGTAGAAACAGAGTTTCTCCCTGTTGGCCAGGCTGGTATCGAACTCCTGACCTCAGGTGATCCACGCGCCTCGGCCTCCCAAAGTGCTGAAATTACAGGTGTGAGCTACCATGCCTACATATCTTTTTTGGTGTGGTGAAAACACTTAAAATCTAATCTCTTGGCAATTTTCAAGAATATGATACATTGTTACTAACTGTAGTTACTATATTGTACAAAAGATCTCTTGAAATTATTCCTCTTATCAAATTGAAATTTTGTATCCTTTGGCCAACATCTCCCCAAACCACTCTCCCGCAACTCTAGACCCTGGTAACCACCATTCTACTCTTCACTTCAATGAGTTCAACCTTTTTAGATTCCACATATCAATGAGATCATGCAGTACTTTTCTTTCTGTGCCTGGCTTATTTCACTTAACATGTCCTCTGGGTTCATCCATGTTGTCCCAAATGACAAGATTTCCTTCTTTTTATTTTTTATTTTATTTTAATTTTTTTAAACAAAATACCCAGGCTTTAAGGAGAAGGATTTCCTTTTTTTTTAAGGCTGAATAGTATTCCATTGTATATGTATACCACATTTTTTTAAAAATCATTTTTTGTTACATGTCTGTCAACTAATACCTGTATATACCACATGTATCCATTTATCTGTTGATGAACACTTGGGTTGATTCCGTATCTTAGGTCTTTTAAATAGTGCTGCAGCGAACATGAGAGTGCAGGTATCTACTCAACATATTGATTTCATTTCCTTTAGATATATACCCAATAGTGGGATTGCTGGATCTGCCTTCAGGGTTTTGTAAAATCTTTTGAAAAACAAGCCTTTCAGCTTCTGGGCTTTATGAATTAATAGCTTTTCAAACATTCAAAGGGAAAAGAATATGCACCTCTACAAGAACTAGGTAACAGTTATAAGAAAGTTTAGTCTAAAGTCCCAAGGCAGTATTTTTCAACCTTGAAGAGGATAGACCTGGATTAGTTAGTATAAGTGGGTTATGCTGTGGCAATGTACAAGCCATGAGATTGTAGCATTTTAACACATCGAAGTTATTTTTTTGCCCACACAAAGTCCATGGTGGGTTGGTATCTCTCAGGCAGCTTCTTTGCAAGCAGTGCCCCAGGGATTTGAGCTAATTTCACCTAGGGATTCCATTTCCTTTTCTTTTTTTTGAGACAGAGTCTTGCTGTCTCCCAGGCTGGAGTGCAGTGGCATGATCTCAGCTCACTGCAAGCTCCGCCTCTCGGGTTCATGCCATTCTCCTGCCTCAGCCTCCCGAGTAGCTGGGACTACAGGTGCACAACACCATGCCCAGCTAATTTTTTTGTCTTTTTAGTAGAAACAGGGTTTCACCATTTAGCCAGGATGGTCTCAATCTCCTGACCTCGTGATCCACCTGTCTCGGCCTCCCAAAGTGCTGGGATTACAGGCGTGAGCCACCGCTCCCAGTCTCCATTTTCTTAACATACTGCCCCTGTCATCATCACAGCAGGGGAGGAAAGAAGAGGGAACTTGCACCTATTCACCTCTACTTTGGCTCAAAAGTCACAGGGTCCTCCTAATTGCAAGAGAGACTGGGAGGTGCAGGGGACACATGATTATTTGGTTAACTTTAAGCATCTTTGCCACAGACCACCACTTAAAAAAGAAATAATTCTCATTGACACCCAAAAATTCAGCAACCTTTCTTTCTTTTTTTTTTTTTTTTTTTACATGGAGTCTTGCTCTGTCGTCCAGGCTGGAGGGCAGTGGCATGATCTTGGCTCACTGCGACCTCCGCCTCCCGGGTTAAGTGATTCTCCTGCCTTAGCCTCTGGAGTAGCTGGGATTACAGGCACACGCCACCATGCCCGGCTAATTTTTGTATTTTTAGTAGAGACAAGGTTTCACCATGTTGGCCAGGCTGGTCTTGAATTCCTGACCTCAGGTGGTCGGCCCACCTCGGCCTCCCAAAGTGCTGAGATTATAGGCGTGAGCCACCGTGCCCGGCCCCGAATTCAGCAATCTTAAAATGAAAAATGCTGACTTAGAAAATCTGAGCTTTATTGATGAAAATATCTTTATCATGGTAAAATGTTAATTATAACTGTAAAAGATAAATTTTATCAGCAGATTTTAGAAAAGAAACAAGAGGCCAGATGCATTGGCTCATGCCTGTAATCCTGGCACGTTGGGACACTGAGGCAGGCAGCTCACTTGAGGTCAGGAGTTTGAGGCCAGCCTGGCCAACATGGCGAAACCCCCATCTCTACTAAAAATATAAAAATCAGCTGGGCATGGTGGTGGGCACCTGTAATCCCAGCTACTCGGGAGGCTGAGGAAGGAGAATCGCTTGAATCTGGGAGGCGGAGGTTGCAGTGGGCCGAGATCATGCCACTGCACTCCAGACTGGGTGACAGAGCGAGATTCTGCCTCAAAGAAAAAAGAAAAGAAAAGAAAAGAAACAAGAAATATTATTATTAGACAGTGAGCCCTAGCTCTGCTACTTACTAATGACACAGATTAGAAAAAACATTTAACATCTCATTTGCCTCAATTTCTTTGTTATATATATTTATTTTTATTAAGGTATAATTTAGATACAATAAAGTGCACAGCTTTTAGATATACAGTTCTATACGGTTTTTTTTTTTTTTTTTGAGACGGAATCTCGCTCTGTTGCCCAGGCTGGAGTACAGTGGTGCAATCTCGGCTCACTGCAAGCTCTGCCTCCCAGGTTCATACCATTCTCCTGCCTCAGCCTCCCGAGTAGCTGGAACTATGGGCGCCTGCCACCTCGCCCGGCTAAGTTTTTGTATTTTTAGTAGAGATGGTGTTTCACCATGTTGGCCAGGATGGTCTCAATCTCCTAACCTCGTGATCCACCCACCTCGGCCTCCCAAAGTGCTGGGATTACAAGCGTGAGCCACCGCACCCGGCCAGTTCTATATGTTTTGAGGAATTTATACGCCAGGTAACTGCCACCCTAACTAACAGCTAATTAACACATGAAACATTTCCATCACCCTGATAAATTAGTTTTCTACCACTTACTATTTAATTTTTCCACATGGGCAGCCACTAATCTTTTTGTCATGACAGATTAGTTTTTCCTGCTCTAGGAATTCATGTAATGGAATTATACAGTATGTAGCCTTTTGTGTCTTTTTTCTTTCATGCTACATAATGTTTTTGAAATCCATCCATGTTGTACACACAATGTGTGTGTGTATCTCCGGGTTTGTTCCTTATTGATGAAAAGTACTCTCTTGTAGGAAATCATTACACACATTACAATATGTTACCTTTTGTGTCTAGTATCTCTCTCTACTTTGTAGAGGTGAACAGTCAAAAGAATTAGAATTGAAACATGGAGAATAAACTCAGGATTCCAAAAATGGGATAGAAGCAGAAGCAGTATGTTCTAGGATCTTGGCAGCAGTCAAAATGAAGTGTTTTGTGGACAACAAAGTCATCTGTAGGGACCTTAACATCGGAGCATAACGTGAGTCGCAACCAGGGTGCCCAGTGATCTGTATAAACTAGGACTACAAGATAGGCATCATTAGGAGATTTGGCTGGTATATCTGTATTTCTTAGGAAGGACTGGTCTTGACTCTATCCTCAGCTAATTGCTGTTGTTGAGATTGTGTTTGCTGAATAAGCTTGCATTTTGCTTTCTTGAGTTTTGTTCTGTTTTTTTTTTGTTTGTTTGTTTGTTTTCTTTTCTTTTTTTTTTTTTTTTTTTTTTTTTTTTGAGACGGAGTCTCGCTCTTTCACCCAAGCTGCAGTGCAGTGGCACTATCTCGGCTCACTGCAAGCTCTGCCTCCTGGATTCATGCCATTCTCCTGCCTCAGTCTCCTGAGTAGCTGGGATTACAGGCACATGCCACCGCACCCGGCTAGTTTTGTATTTTTATTAGAGACAGGGTTTCTCCATGTTGGTCAGGCTGGTCTCGAACTCCCGACCTCGGGTAATCTGCCTGCCTTGGCCTCCTAAAGTGCTGGGATTACAGGCATGAGCCACCGCACCTGGCCTCTGCTCTGTGGTTCTTGAGCCAAACCTGTACTGTTGGATACATGTCCATTTTTGAGGCCATTTCTTTCTGAAGGCTGAGGTTTGGGTATGGGTTCTTATTGAACAAGATGTTCAAATCTTCCAATTGTTTCTCCATGAACATCATATGTTCCCTTTGTGAATGCATCTGGTTCTAGCCATAGGAAAGGGCCGTTCATTTCCTCCTTGGTTCTTTGGCCCTTTGCCTGTTATCATTTAACATGAGATTGCTTGTGCCTCAACTCTTGGATTTTATTTTATTTTAATTTTTTAGGAAGGTCCTCTCAGTTTGACATCTTCTCATCTAGATGTGCTCCTATGTTCAAGTCCAGGGATGAGCTGCCTCAATTTCCTTATTGTAGCATAGTGAGAAGGAATGGAAGTTGAAAACAGTGTGATTTCAACTACATTAAAATAAAAATAAAACATTTATGTAGAAAAAGACGGAAATTCACCAACATTGAGGCTAGGCCTGTCATATGTTTGTCTGAGAGAAGAAAGGAGTGAATAACTGAAAATACTAAAGTATCAATAGTAGTTGACTTTGGATGGTGCAACTATAGGAATTTCTTTTCCTCAACCACTTTTTTAAACTTCCTTATGTTTTTCAAACTTAGAATGAGCCCGTATTTCTTTCATAAGGGGAAAAAAAAACCTTATCCTTGAAATCTTATGAGAACGAGGCAATAGATAAAAGTACTTGGAGAATAAGCATTGTGTGAGGGAGATCTATTGTGCTATTGTGACTATAGTTAATAATGTGTACTTGCAATTGCTAAGAGAGTAGATCTTAAATGTTCTCACAACAAAAATAATAACTGCTGCTAGGGCTGCAAGGCGAAAACAATTAAAAATGATAATTAGGCCAGGCGTGGTGGCTCACGCCTGTAATCCTAGCACTTTGGGAGGCCGAGACAGGTGGATCACCTGAGGTCAGGAGTTTGCGACCGGCCTGGCCAACATGGTGAAACCCTGTCTCTATTAAAAAAAATACAAAAATTAGCTCGCCATTGTGGCACACACCTGTAATTCCAGCTACTCAGGAGGCTGAGGCAAGAGAATTGCTTGAACCTGGGAGGCAGAGGTTGCAGTGAGCCAAGATTGCACCACTGCACTCCATCCTGGGCAGCAGAGCAAGACTCTGTCAAAAAAAAAAAAAAAAAAAACTTGATTTAAACATTTCACTATGTATATCAGAATATCACATCATAAACAATAGATTCAATTTTTAGTTGTCAACTGTAGTATTAAAATATTTTAGAAAAAGAAAACAAGCATGTTTTCACAAATATAAGCATATATTGAAAACTAAATGTATTCAGCTTTTACACAATTCAACTCAGCATTTTTTTAAAATACTAAAATTATGCAAACTATGAATTTGAGACATCAAAAACACCTACCAGAAATAATTCCATGGGAAACTCAATGGGATACTGATTGAAAGAAATTCTGATACATTTGTTGATTCGCAGAGCAACAACAACAGTTAGAAATACTAGAATGCTGGTGGAATTCGCTTTTGGGAGAGCTACACAGTAATTAATTATGTCCTGAAAGAAAATAAAATTACGGAGGCTTAGAAAGGGATGTAGTAATTGCCTAAGTCTAGAAATTGACACTGTAGATTAACCCAAAAAGAAGTCCCCAAGTAGAGTTTCTGGGTACAAAGGTCTTTATGGGTATTACTAGAACAGTGAGGGCAAGCATGGTGGGGGTGGCCAATTTTGTAAAAAGAGGGACAGTAATGCTCAATAAGAATAAGGAGAGAATACACTGTATGTTTTAGTATAATGAACAGGCCCTAGAAGTTCTGTTTATAAGCCAATAGTTATTAGTTTTCCCAAATAATATACTGTAGCTTAGCTCCTACCCTATTCTTACATTTAGGAACTACTTAGTCTTGTATATCCTTTAGATGTTTTAGGATACATGTCTGTTATAAGATAGGTAATGAGAAGAACTGTGATAGATACAATATCTTAAAGGCCAAATTTTAATGTATATCATGATAGTTTAAAAGGCTGAGCTGAAATGGTTAGTCAACTGAAAGCATGGTCTAACTGGCATCTGCAATTAATCAAGACCCTAATTCTCCAATAAAGGAAAATATTTCTAGTACCCTCTTGACTGAGCTGCCTATAGGCTGTGTCTCCTTTCAGAAGGGGCGGGAGTCTCCCTACTGAGCTCCACTTTTCTTTGGAGGCAAGAGGAGTGGCATTTGTAACTCTGGGTAAGAGTTGAAATTACTCACATAGAAGAAGGAGATGGGACCGGCATGGAAACTAATCATAATCCCAAAGATGAAAGTCAGCTGGGACAGCATGATATGAAGTGCCACAGCAGCCAGGTAAGCACTCATTGCAGACTCCGGAAGGTAAGTGGCAATGAAGCCCAAACCCAATACGCCCATTATTAGCTGCAGAGAAGAGAAAACCAGAGTGGGGTAGAATGTCTTCAATCCAGCAATGGCACCAATGGCACTCTCCAGGAAAAGAAGGGTTTCCAATAGAAAAGTTAAGATAGGCCCCTTTGGTAACTCTTGTAACTCTCTTTCCCTAATGAACAGAAGTTGATAACACGGGTCCTTGTATGTTGATCAGAGGCTCCCAACAAGTGCTAGCTCACACTACTCCTTTCCTTCTTTGTGAGCAGTCAGCTCACTTAAGTTCTTGCCCTAGAATCTACTGCTCTCTAGGTTGACTTGGGGAAAACAGGGACAAGGTGATCAGAACAAGCCTTTGCCTATTTATTTATTTATGAGACAGGATCTCACTCTGTTGCCCAGGCCGGAGTGCAGTGGTGCAATCATAGCTCACTGTAACCTCAAACTCCTGGGCACAAGGGATTCTCTGCTTCAACTTCCCAAATAGCTGGGACTACAGATGCTCACACTGGGCATTTTTTTTTTTTTTTTTTTTGATAGAGATTGGAGGGGGGGGTCTTGCTATATTACCTAGGCTGGTCTCGAACTCCTGACCTCAAGTGATTCTCCTGTTTTGGCCTCCCAAAACCCTGGGATTACAGGCATGAACGCACTGTGCCTGGCCTGCCTTTGCCTTTTTAAACCTCTTTCATTAGAAGCTTTGATAGCCCTTTTCAGGAGATGTTAACATTCCTCTGAGGAATGCAGCTTTTCACAAAGGAGAAGAGAATTTCAAAACAGTGGGATCGAGCTCAAACTTCTTGGCCTTTGACTCTTATCTTTACTGAGAATAATTAAATTGAATTTATTTATGTTTTCAGGATTATGCATATCCTGAAGGAAAATAAAAAAGGTATTTTACATGTCAATATGCATATGTAAAATTTATGTTATATAGTATATAATAAAATTTTATACACACAGGATCTAAAAGGATAGACCTCAAATGATTAACAGGAATTACCTTTGGGGAATGGGGTTAGATGTTGGGGACAATATTTGATAATTTATACACTTTTTTACTATTTGAGATGTTCGTCTTTTATAATAAAAACCACAATTAGGTTGGGTGTGGTGGCTCATGCCTGTAATCTCAGCACTTTGGGAGGCTCAAGTGGGAGGGTCGCTTGAGCTCAGGAATTTGAGATGAGCCTGGGCAACATGGCGACACTTTGTCTCTACAACAAGAAAAATAAAAAACAAAAAGAGGGTAGGTTAAGAAAACTGGCACAGCCCAATGAAGACTTTTCAGTAAGCAGGGTGGAAAGGAGCAAAACAGAAGTCTTAAAGCTTACAATCATCACTTCACTCTCCACTCCACTAAAAGCTCTCAGAAAACAAACAAATTTGGAACAATAAATCATTTTGCTTTAACAGGTTTTTGTTTCAAAGCTTTCAATCAGCCCGGCACTGTGTCTCCCTTTTTTTTTCTTTTCTTTTTTTTTTTTTTTTGAGACGGAGTCTTGCTCTGTCGCCCAGGCTGGAGTGCAGTGGCGTGATCTCGACTCACTGCAATCTCCACCTCCCAGGTTCACGCCATTCTCCTGCCTCAGTCTCCCGAGTAGCTGGGACTACAGGCGCCCGCCACCAAGCCCGGCTAATTTTTTGTATTTTTAGTAGAGACAGGGTTTCACCGTGTTAGCCAGGATGGTCTCGATCTCCTGACCTTGTGATCCGCCCGCCTCGGCCTCTCAAAGTGCTGGGATTACAGGCGTGAGCCACTGCGCCCTGCCAACTGTCTCTCCCTTAATCTCCTGTCATTGCCGCCCAATGTTCTATTTTACTCTAGTCAGGCCAGTCTGCTTCCTATTTCTTGCGTGACTGGCTGACTCCTACTTCTGTGCTTATGCATGAGCCCCTCTTTTTTCCATCTCTGCCAATCCATGTGCATCATCTCTTTTTTTTTTTTTTTTGAGACGGAGTCTTGCTCTGTCACCCAGGCTGGAGTGCAGTGGTACAATCTTGGCTCACTGCAACCTGTGCCTCCCAGGTTCAGGTGATTCTCCCACCTCAGCCTCCCGAGTAGCTGGGATTACAGGTGCCCAGCACCACGCCTGGCTAATTTTTGTATTTTTAAGTAGAGACAGGGTTTCGCCAAGTTGGCCAGGCTGGTCTTGAACTCCTGACCTCAAGTGATCCACCCGCTTTGGTCTCCCAAAGTGCCGGAATTACAGGCGTGAGCCACTGTGGCTGGCCTGCATCATCTTTCAAGAGCTCAGTAAAATTCCTCTCCTTTAAGGAGTGTGGTGAAAAAAGCATGGTTCCTGGGCTTGGAGAATCTGGCTTCAGTCCTGGCCCAGCCACTCATTGGCTGTGTAAGTGTGGGCAAGTTAACTCTTTGAACCTCAGTTTCCTCATCTATAAAATGTGAATAATATTCAATGTAAAGTGTTTTGAATAGATTAAATTTCATCACACATGTAAAATACCTAGCTCAGATGTGAAAATAGTGACAAATATGTATCACTCATATATGCAAATATATGTTACTCTTCTTCATACCATCCCTGCCTTCCATCTTGTAAATGGCAAAAATCTGCAATTGCCTTAGAACTCTTTCTTGCCCACTGTAATATGGCATCACGTTCAGTGTTAACATAATATTCTAGGCAGCCACTGTTAATCAGTCAGGGTTGGCCTGTGAGATGAAACCTATCTGCCATTCTTATAGGAAGCCAGTACTAAATGTTGAATGAATGAAAGGGAGGGCTCAATAAATAGTTGTTTCCTTCCCAGATAACTTCGACTCAACTAGAGGTTATTTTTTAACTTCATGTTCTTTTGGCACTAAACTCTTATATGAATATTATTTTATGCTTAAGATTTCCTAGAGCACAGATTCTACAATCAGACAACCCTAAAACTGAATCCCAGTTTGGTGTCTTAGCTATGTGACCTTGGGCAATTTTCTTAACCTCTCTATGCCCTTGTTTTCTTAAAATAAGGACCATAGTAGTGTGCTACAGGCGTGCACCACCACACCCAGCTATTTTTTTTTTTTATTTTGTTTTGTAGAGACAGAGTTTGCCTATGTTGCCCAGGCTGGTCTCAAACTCCTGGCCCCAAGCAATCCTCCTGCTTCAGTCTCCCAAAGTGCTGGGATTACAGATGTGAGCCACCATGCCCAGCCCTCTTCCTTTTTTAGATGAAAAAAGCTGAGGCTTGAAGGAGAAGAGAAAGCATGCATGAGGCCCCTTGATAATTAAAAGGTTGCTTGTGTATTTTGTCTTATCCCACAAGATTAAACTTTTTAACCACAGGAAACTATATATTGTTTTTTAAATTTTTGGTCTCTGTTAAAGTACCAAATTCATTTCTCTGTGCCCACTAATTATAACTTATTGATGCTTACTATGTGACAAGCTCTAGGCTAAATACTTTGCATGCATTTTTTTCACTAAATCCTCCTAAGAACCCTGCAAAACAAATATTATTCCTGCTTTATACATGAGGAAACTGAGGCCCACCAAGGTAAAATAATTTACCAAAATTCACACAGCTCATAGTGTCAGGGCTGGAGTCTGCCCACTTTGATAGCCTGCCTTTGTAGGTACCCAATAAATCTTTACTTAGTGAAAGACAGTCCCAGGGGAGATCAGTGAAAATCAACTAGAGACTGGGTTAGTTGAGAAAAAAGAGAAATAAGCCTGGAGGATGTGACTAGTTCAGTAGATGAACTTTTGGTGATAGACTCTCAGAGGAAATTAAAGACAGAGCCAAAATAAGTTTTGAGATTTTAATGAGTCATTCATATTATTGTCCTTTAGCTGTGGTCCTTGTCAATGCAGAAAAAGGATTCCAGATCTGGCTCTAAAGCTTACTAACCCAAAGATAGTGTGTGAGCCTGTGAGGCCATCATTATTTTTATTATTATTATTATTTTGGAGACAGGGTCTCGCTGTGCCACCCAGGCTGGAGTGCAGTGGCATGATCACAGCTTACTGCAGCCTCAACCTCCTGGGCTCAAGTGATCCTCCCACCTCAGCCTCCTGAGTAACTGGGACTACAGGCACATGCTACCATGCCCAGCTAAATGAGTCCATTCTTGTTGATAGAATATAAAGCAACTTTTGGCTGGGTGCAGTGGCTCACACCTATAATCCCAACAGTTTGGGAGGCCGAGGTGGGTGGATCACCCGAGGTCAGGAGTTCAAGACCAGCCTGGCTAACATGGTGAAACCCCTTCTCTACTAAAAATATAAAAATGTGCTGGGTGTGGTGGCATGCACCTGTAATCCCAGCTACTTGGGAGGCTGAGGCAGGAGAATCACTTGAACCTGGGAGGCGGAGATTGCAGTGAGCCACGATTGTCCCATTGCACTACAGCCTGGGCAACAAGAGCAAAACTCCATCTAAAAAAAAAAAAAGAATATGAAGCAATTTTTGAAAAGGTAAGATCAGGAGTGGAGCTCTGGACTAAGAGTCCCCAGACCCCTGGGGCCACCGACCAGTACTGGTACTGGTTTGTGGCCTGTTAGGAACCGGGTGCTGCACAGCAGGAGGTGAGCAGCAGGCAAGCAAGCATCACTGCCTGAGCTCTCCACCTTCTGTCAGATCAGCCACAGCATTAGATTCTCAGGGAAGCACAAACCCTATTGTGAACTGCACATGCGAGGAATCTAGGTTGCATGCTCCTTATGAGAATCAAATGCCAGGTCATCTGAGGTGGAACAGTTTCATCCCAAAACCACCACCCTCCCTGGCCCCGACCTGCCATTTGTGGAAAAATTGTCTTCTTTTGCAACTGGTCCCCGGTTTCAAAAAGGTTGGGGACCACTGCTCTGGACCATCATCCCTTAGACCCTTTGTCTTAGAGGTGAAAGGACTGAAGAGAATGTTTAATATCTCATCCTAAATCAGTGGTAGATGATTTCTGAGGAGAGAGAAGTTTTGTCACTAAGGAGACACGCTATTCACACAGCCTCTGATTTTTCAAAAAATAAATCACTGAAGTTCCAGGTATATCACAGTGGATCACAGGAGCAGTATAAGGAAGGGGTCTGTTTATAGCCCCTTTATTCAGTTCCTTTTCAGGGATTTGAAGACTCAGATCCTACCTGAATAATCCCAGTCAGAAAAGTTGTGGTTGCCACCACACTCAAGGATTTATTATAGCCCATAAGGTAGGAGGGGGCCGAAAACTCATTCTTGACGAAAGATCCCATGACCAGTTGACCGTTGTTGAATGGGCTCACTTTCAGAACGTTGATCAGCAGAGCACTCACCAGGAAGAAGGAACCTGTGGAAGAAGATGTTAGGTAGAAGGTGAAGTTTCAAGTCCAGGTAAACTGATATTGACAAAAGCAAGGTATGGTTGAATTCTGGATTGTCCTTCAACTGAATAACTTTTCTCATTTGAAAGTGGCCATTGAGAAGTAAGAAAAATCAAAAAAGAGAACTGTGTCTCCACATATTGTGACCAACTCATGGGATTTAGATGGTGGTGGTTTAGGTATTTAGTCTCTTTGTGTTATGGGTATGTTGAGTGGAATAGAGAAGTTGACTGAAATGGGTGTCAGGCTCAGCTGCTGTGTCTGCTCTTAGAGAAGGTTAAAAGTGAGATGGCAGTGAAAATATTAGAAAAGAAAGCAATCACCGGGCATGGTGGCTCACGCCTGTAATCCTAGCACTTTGGGAGGCTGAGGCAGGTGGATCACCTGAGATCAGGAGTTTGAGACGAGCCTGACCAACATGGAGAAACCCCGTCTCTACCAAAAATACAAAATTAGCTGGGCATGGTGGTGCATGCCTGTAATCCCACCTACTCAGGAGGCTGAGACAGGAGAATCACTTGAAGCCAGGAGGCAGAGGTTGCAGTGAGTCGAGATGGCACGATTGCACTCCAGCCTGGGCAACAAGAGCGAAACTCCATCTCAAAAAAAAAAAAAGAAAAGAAAAGAAAAGATAATGAAGCAATCAATAACAATAGGAAGAAAAATAATACTGACACTGAGGTAAATTAAACTTATTTCAAACATTGTTTTGTTTAGTCCTCATATTGTCATAACACATAAGAGAGCAAAGATATATCTTAACTTTAAATTTACCTAACATAAATAAATCTCTAACAACCCTTATTATAAGTATTTGGAAATGATTGTGAGGTTCCTCAGAAACTTGGAAATATAGGAATAAAATTGTTTTATTGGTGTTCAAATGTAAAATCAACACATAGCAGATTGAATAAAGACATGAGCTATTCTTTATTTTTATTATTTATTTATTTATTTTGAGACGGAGTTTCGCTCTTGTTGCCCAGGCTGGAGTGCAATGGTGTGATCTTGGCTCACTGCAACCTCCACCTCCCGGGTTCAGGCAATTCTCCTGCCTCAGCCTCCCAAGTAGCTGGGATTACAGACACCCGCCACCACGCCTAACTAATTTTTTGTATTTTTAGTAGAGGTGGGGTTTCACTATGTTAGCCAGGCTGGTCTCAAACTCCTGACCTCATGATCCACTTGCCTCGGCCTCCCAAAGTGCTGCGATTACAGGCATGAGCCACCGTACCTGGCCAAGCTATTCTTAAAAAAGGAAAAGTAGCACTTCACGTCTGGAAGGATGGGATGTTAATCAGACTGAACATAAAAACATATATAAAGAATGTGTCATTCAGAATGGTAAATGTTGGTGGATTGGTCAGTTCAGTGGAGAAATCCAGGAAAAGGCACATCACTGAGTAAATGTTGGCAATGACCTTCTAAACTTATGGGGGAATTTTGTGATTTGATTTCTATGCAGGCTCACCTAGGTGAAGTAAATGTGCTGATCATATGACCTTTAATTAGTCTGGCCTCTGTAATAGTTATTTCTAATTATAAATTAGTAGATGGACTTTTGACTCAGGGAAGGGAAGTACTTATCCTATGGATGTCAGTGTTTTGATTACTGTGATAACATTTTCTCACTGTAAATTAATAAGCTGGCATGCTGTATTACAAGTCAGCCCATGGAGTTTGGTTATTATGGTTCAGATGAAAGAAGTATCTGCTCTAGGAGTATTGACACAATCATTCCTGCATCTTCTGGGTTGAGGGAAGTCAGATTCCAATGTGTGATGATTTCTTAAGGAAAGTACCTCTGCCCTTTAATTTCTTTGGGAAACATCTTGCTGGCCTGTTTTCTGGTGTTGACAATAATGATACACTAGAAGTATTTATTTCTACAATCTGAACACTAACTGTATGGATAGAATGTCCACCTCCTGCCTCCTTTCTTTCTATCTTAAAGCTTTATGTTGGGTACCTTAGCAATAAGTATATGATCAAGATGGAAACTTCATCCACCGCATGTGTATTTCAGTGCTGAACTCACCAATGGACATTTGATGACACGATCCAAAAATTACATAGATTACCGAAGAACAGAAAGCTGCATAAGCGATGTTGAGAGGAGGAATCAGTTGCCTTGCCAGCAAACTAAGTGTCAGGCCTGAAAAACAAGATAATTTAAGAAAAAGCAGCTTGTCTTTAAAAGTCACCTTAAATAAAAACTGTAAAGAATATTTAAAATAAAAATCATCCATGTGTATAGCTGACTGAGTGTGGTAATAGTATTTCTGGACATACAATCCTTCATTAGCACTTTTTATTATCTTCTTTGATTCCTAGCTTCTCTTCCTATTTTGCCACATGCTTTTACACTTTAATTCAATATCATAGGCTGAAACATCATTCACTGCAAGGTCTTAATACTAAACATGTAAAGCAAATACCATAGCAATAAGACCCCTAATTCCAACAGCTCAAAAGCAGCCCCATCCTTATGCCTAGTCTAGCACAAGCAGGCCGTGGGAATTCTCCAGGGCTGAAGATAAAACTGGAGAGCAAGGCAAGAATCACACTTCACTGACTTGAAGTTGGTATGTGTTGGTTCTCTTCCATAGGCCAATCACTCCAGCCTCTTCCTTCAGCTGCTTCTCTAATACTTACTTTCTTTTCTAAGAAGCACCATGAGAATTTGGAAATTTTGAAGCAAATGGACTAACAGGCATAGTGTCATCCTTTTGATGTTTCAAGCCCCTATTTCCTTCCCTAAGAGTCTGTCCTCAATTTACATCATACTGATATACTCATCTAAATTCAGTTATGAATTTAGTGAGGTGGTTTATTGTCTTAGATAAGCAAGGCTCCTTTTTATAAGACATTTCAAACACATCCAAAAATAGAGTATAATGAATTCCATATACCCATCATCCACTTCAACAATGGTTAACCCATAACCAATCTATGCTTCTACTCCTCTCTCACCCTATATTACTTTGAGGCAAATCCAAGGCATTCGATTATTTAATCTGTAGATATTTTGGTATGTGTCTCTAAATGATAATACTCTTCTAATTTAAGTACAATATCATCATTATCCACTCAGTGTTCAAATTTCCCTGATTATCTTACAAATGATTGTTGTGGTAGAGGGTCTCTAATATGATCCACAATGGCCAGTTGGTATTCTTTTTCTTTTTTTTTTGAGACGGAGTCTTGCTCTGTTGCCCAGGCTGGAGTGCAGTGGCGCGATCTCGGCTCCCCGCGAGCTCCACCTTCTGGGTTCATGCCATTCTCCTGCCTCAGCCTCCCGAGTAGCTGGAACTACAGGCGCCCACCACCATGCCCGGCTAATTTTTTATATTTTTAGTAGAGATGGGGTTTCACCGTGTTAGCCAGGATGGTCTCGATCTCCTGACCTCGTGATCCACCCGCCTCGGCCTCCCAAAGTGCTGGGATTACAGGCGTGAGCCACCGCGCCCAGCCAGGCCAATTGTCTTCTTGCCCTTGTACAATTTCCTCCCCATTAAGTGTGGAATAGACTTAACCAATTTGTTTCTAAGGAGTAGACTATAACAAAAATGACAGGATGTCACTTCTGAGATTAGGTTGCAAAAAGACTTTGGTTTCCATCTTGGTTGCTCTCTCATTCAGGTCATTACCTGCCAGAGGTGGCTTCAAAGGTTTGTAATCTATGCAGTCAAGACAGAGTCCTGGGCTTAGAAGGACTTTGCACTTCGTTTAATGCTTTGCTGTCACTGTCTTGAAATTCTGAATAATTTTTGAACTAAGGGCCCTGTGTTTTTATTTTGTATTGGGCCCAACACATATAGTTGGTCCTGCCAGCTGCCATGTTGTGAATATGGAGAAGCCAGAATGGGGAGGAACTCAGGCCTGCCAACAGCTGCATGAGTGAGCCTGGAAGCAGATCCTCCAGCCTCAGTAGACCCTTGAGATAACTGCAATCTCACGAGAGACCTCGAACCAGAGGTATGATGAGTTTTGGGGTGATCTTTAAAAAATTATTTGCTGTTACATGTTGTGCTTTGCTTCACAATCTGTGTGTCTAAATCAGAACCCAAATATGGTCCTCACATTGGTTGATATGTCTCTTAAGTCTCTTGTAATCTATAGGATTTTTTCACCACATTTTTTCCCCTATGCAAGGCTCTATTGATTGCAAGTAACAGAAAATCTACTCAAATTAGCTTAAGCAAAATAGGAAATTTATTAAAAGGGTACAAAGGGCAGTTAGACCTCATCAGAGACTGGAACCGAACTAAAAAGCCATCAGAATCCAAGGTTGCTACCTTCCCATTCTCTTTGTTTCCAGGGTTCATGGTATCCTGTCTTTGTTTCCAGTTTGGGGCTATTATGAACAATATTGCTATGAATATTCTTGTACATGTCTCCTGGTACATGGATTTACAAGTTTCTTGAGAATATATAGCTTGAATTTCAACTTCTGGGGCATTTACTAAATAGTGCCAAACTGTTTTCCAAATGGTTGTGCAATTTATACTCCCACCAGTAATGTATGACAGTTCCCATTATCCACATCTATGCTAGCACTCGATACTGCTAGATTTTTAATTTTAGTGTGTATGGTGGTAACTCATTTCAATTTCATTTTCCATTTTATTACTAATAATGTTGAGCACCCTTGTCTAGTTATTTTTATGGATTTATAGGAGTATGTATATTATAAATAAAGCCTTTGTTGCGTATTGTTTTGCAAGTATCTCCCATTTTGTGATTTGCTTTTCAATCTTTTTTTTTTTTTGAGATGGCATCTCTCTCTGTCTCCCAGGCTGGAGTGCAGTGATGATCTTGGCTTGCTGCAACCTCCACCTCCTTGTTTGAGCGATTCTCCCACCTCAGCCTCCTGAGTAGCTGGGACTATAGGCGCACGCCACCATGCCCGGCTAATTTTTGTATTTTTAGTAGAGACGGGGTTTCACCATGTTGGCCAGGCTGGTCTCAAACTCCTGACCTCAAATGATTCACCCACCTCAGCCTTCCAAAGTGCTGGGATTACAGGCATAAATCAGTGTGACTGGCCGCTTTTCAAACTTTATAGCAGCTTTGAATAGATAGAAGTTCTTAAATTGTACTTACCTCAGATTTATCGGTCTTTTCCTTTGGGCTTTTCCTTTTGCTTTTGGTGTCTTACTTAAGAAACCTTTTTCTACCTCAGGATCATAAAGATATTCTCTTATGTTATTCCAAAATGTCTTTTTTGCTTTAACTTTTACATTTAGGTCTTTAATCAACCAGGAATAGATTTTTGTGTATGGTGTGAGGTAAAGGCCTGAAATGTTTTTCTTTATAGAGACCCAAGTGTTTTACATCATTTGTCATTAACAGCCTGTCTCTGTAGTGACATATCTGATACACATCATGTGATTCATATACGTGTGACTCTTTTTTCTGTTTCATTGGCCTAATTGTCTATCTCTGCAATATTGTACTGTGTTAATTGCTCTAATTACTTTAGTAATAGTTTTGGTAATTAATTTAGTAATCTCCATTTTTATTGTGAAATATAACATGCATGTAGAAAATGCATTAAAATAGATTAATAGATGTCAAGGTTACTTAATATTTATAAAACAAACACTTACGTAAGTACCACCCAGGTCTTTGATTACAACACCACCTCTCCCCACAGAAGGATTCCTTATTTTGGCGTTTATGATAATAATTTCTTTTCTTTTCTTTTTTTCTTTTTTTTTTTTGAGACAGAGTCTCACTCTGTTGCCCAGGCTGGAGTGCAGTGGCACAATCTTGGCTCACTGCAAGCTCCGCCTCCCGGGTTCACGCCATTCTCCTGCCTCAGCCTCCTGAGTAGCTGGGATTACAGGTGCCTGCCACCACGCCCAGCTAATTTTTTGTATTTTTAGTAGAGATGGGGTTTCACCATGTTAGCCAGGATGGTCTCGATCTCCTGACCTCATGATCTGCCTGCCTCGGCCTCCCAAAGTGCTGGGGTTACAGGCGTGAGCCACCATGCCCGGCCTATTTCTTTGCTTTTCTTTACCAGTAGTGTACGTATCCCTACACAATACAGTTTAATTTGCTCCCATTTTGAACTTTATATTAAGAGTTATACTGAACACAATTTTATTTCTGCTTTTTTTTTTTTTTTTTTTGAGACAGAGTCTCGCTCTGTTGCCCAGGCTAGAGTGCAGTGGTGTAATCACAGCTCGCTACAGCTTCAACCTCCCAGGCTCAGGGAATCGTCCCACTTCAGTCTCTCAAGTAGCTGGACTACAGGTATGCACCACCATGCCCATCTAGATTTTTTGTAGTTTTCATAGAGACAGGGTGTCACTGTGTTGCCAGGCTGGTCTTGAGCTCCTGGGCTCAAGCAGTCCACCCGCCACAACCTCCCAAAGTGCTAGGATTATAGGCATGAGCCATTGCACCTAAGCATAACTGATTGTTATATGCTGATTTAGTATCCAGCAACATTCATAAAATCTTACTATTTTCTTTGTTTTTCTTTTTTTATGCCTTTTTAAAATTTTTTTTGCTTTTAAAAAAGTCATATCAATTTTCTTTATATTCTTTTGAATTCTTTGCATAAAAATCATCTGTGAATAATGAAGCTTTATTCATTTATAATTCTTATACTTTGTACTTCTTTTTCTTGCTTTAATATACTGTGTATGCACTCCATTATAATGTTGTAATGTTGAATAGCCCCTATTTACTTTTTTTCTTTTTTTTGTGTGTGACTGTCTTGCTCTGTCACCCAGGCTGGAGTGCGATCTTGGCTCACTGCAGCCTCAACCTCCCAGGCTCAAGTGATCCTTCCACCTCAGCCTCCCAAAGTAGCTGGGACTACAGGCGCTTGCACCACCACACCTAGTTAAATTTTTTTTTTTTTTTTTTTTTTTTAGTAGAGACAAGGGTTTCACCATGTTGCCCAGTCTGGTCTTGAACTCCTGAGCTCAAGCGATCTGCCTGCCTTGGCCTCCCAAAGTGCTGGGATTACAGGCATGAGTCACCACACCTGGCCCCCATTTACTCTTGAAAAGCAGCGTGTAGCATGAAGAAAAAATCTTTTGTTAGTTTTAAATAACTAACCAATGCTGGGAAGGTAAGAGAATTACTGGGTTAACAATCTGAGAATTAAGTTATCTAGTCTCATTTAAGTTTAGGCCATAGTGAAATAGAGGGAATTAAAATTTCCAAACTTTCCAACACCTTAAAATTTTCAAAAATTTTAAACTAATTTTAGAATTACAGAAAAGTTACAAAAATAATGCAGTTTCCATATATCCCTTCCACAGCTTCTCCTAATGTTAATATTTTATATAGTCATAGTATATTGATCAGAGCTAGGAAATTAACATTAGAAATTAAAAACTTTATTTGAATCTCATCAGTTTTTTTACTAATGTCTTTCATTTTGTTCTAGGATTCTATCCAGAGTCTCACATTTCATTTAGTTGTTATTTCCCCTTATTCCTGCAATCTATAACAGTTCCTTAATTTTTACCTGTCTTTCATGACTTTGACAAATTAAGAGTATTAATAGATCAGTTATTTTGTCAAACACTCCTCAATTTCGGTTTGTCTTATATTTCCTTATGATTGTACTAAGGTTATACACTTTTGGCAAGAATACTACAGAAATGATGTTGTATCTTTCTCATTGTATCATATCACAGGATTCATGATATCCATATATTTTACTACTGGTGATGCTCACATTAATCACTTAGTTAAGCTATTTTCTCCTAGGTTTTCTATTGTAAAGTGGTGGGGTAGTTAATAAATATCTCGAGGGAGATACTTTGAAAATATGCAAATCCTGTTTCTTAGTTTGCAAATTTTCACCCACTGGTTTTAGCATCCACTGGGTAGATTTTATGTACAATTATTACTGTAGTGTTTTCATGAAGGTGATTTTGTATTTTCTTCTTTAATTCTACATTTATAAATTGGAATTCTACTGTAAGGAAGATCCAGCACCTTTTTAATAAGGTCTTCATCATATAGTATTTTTGTTTCATTTGAATAAAATTATTGTCATCAGGTATTCAAATGTAAGTACAATTTTTGAATTATTCACACTACAAATTATCTTATTATTCACATCAATTAAACTAATGTTCAATCCCTTAATCAAGTATTAAGAGCTGGTTGGATTCATTCATTCATATAGCTATGAAATCTTTTTTTTTTCCAATGGAGTCTCGCTCTGTTACCCAGGCTGGAATGCAGTGGTGTGATCTCAGTTTACTGCAGCCTCTGCCTTCCAGGTTTAAGCAATTCTCCTGCCTTAGCCTCCCGAGTAGCTGGGATTACAGGCACATACCACTACACCTGGCTAATTTTTGTATTTTTAGTAGAGACAGGGTTTTGCCATATTGGCTAGGCTGGTCTCGACCTCCTGACCTCAAGTGATTCACCTCCCTCAGCCTCCCAAAGTGTTGGGATTACAGGTGTGAGCTACCATAACCAGTTATGCAATCATTTTTATTCAACAAACATCTTTTGAGTACCTACTATGTGCTAGGTGTTGTGGTGAATGCTAGATATTACTCTAATGCCATTCTTATTTTGATACAAGATTATACTGATGACTTTTTAATTTAGCAATGGGATATCCTCCAACTTTGGTCTTTATTTAAATATAAGTAGAAACTGGCAGGGGGCTCATAGTTAAAGCATCAATTCCAAGAGTTTAGCTGTCTCATTGCAGCACCATAGGAATATGCTAGAAATTTTATTCATAGAAATAAAGTGACTATGTTAATACAAATGGGCCATTTTGGTTGTAGCTGCCACATGAAAATTTCTTTTTGCAGGAATGCAACTAGCACATATGGTAACTTAGTGTGAATACTCTCATTCTGAGAATGCAAGGCTGGTTCAATATTCAAAAAAATCAATTAATGTAACCTGCCATATTAATCATCTAAAGAGAAAAACCACATGGGCCTTATCAATAGATGCAAAAAAAATTTCACAAAATACAACATTGATTCATGATAAATTTCTCAGCAAACTGGAGTAGATGAAAACTTCCCTAACCTAATAAAGGACATCAACAAAAATCCTACAGCTAACATCATACTTAGTGGTAAAAGACTGAATGCTTTCCCCCTATGTTCAGGAAGAAGGCAAGAATGTCTATTCTCACCACCCTTATTCAACATAGTATTGGAAGTCTTAGCTAGTATAACAAGCAATAAAAAGTCATTAAGGCCATTCATATTAAAAAGATAAACATAACTGTCCCTATTAACAGATGACATGATTGTCAATGTAGTTAATTCCAGGGAATCTACAAAAAATTCTTAGAACTAATAAAGGAGTTTCAGGATACAAGAAAAACACACAAATATCAATTGTATTTTTATATGCAAACAATGAATAATTGGAGACTGAACCATCATTTAAACCCCTAAAATGAAATACTTTGGCACAAATCTAACAAAACACGTAGGATCTCTATGCTGAAAACTACAAAAGGCTGATGAAGGAAATCAAGGGACCTAAATAAATGGAGAGACACCATAATCATGGATTGGAAGACAGCATAATAAAGATGCCAATTCTTCCTGAAATAATCTATAGATTTAATGGAATACCTATCAAAATCTAAACAAAAACCTTTTTTGGTAAATTTAGATAAGCTGATTATAAAATGAATACGGAAGAATAGCTAAAACAATTTTGGAAAAAAAATTAGCTGGAGGAAGCATATCACTCAACCTTAAAACTCACTGTCAAGATATGGTATTGGTAAAGGGATAGACACATAGATCAATGGAACAGAATGAAGAAAATTTAGGAGACTCACACAAAAGATGCCTATTTGATCTCTGACAAAGGTGCAAAAACAATTCACTGGAGGATATTCTTTAAAAATGGTGTTGAGGCTGGGCGCGGTGGCTCACGCTTGTAATCCCAGCACTTTGGGAGGCCAAGGCGGGCAGATCACGAGGTCAGGAAATCGAGACCGTCCTGGCTAACGCGGTGAAACCACGTGTCTACTAAAAATACAAAAAATTAGCCAGGCATAGTGGCAGGCGCCTGTAGTCCCAGCTACTCGGGAGGCTAAGGCAGGAGAATGGCATGAACTCGGGAGGCGGAGCTTGCAGTGAGCCGAGATTGAGCCATTGCACTCCAGCCTGGGCAACAGAGCGAGACTCCGTCTCAAAAAAAAAAAAAAAAAAATGGTGTTGAGGCCGGGCATGGTGGCTCATGCCTGTAATCTCAGCACTTTAGGAGGCCAAGGCAAGAGGATGCTTGAGGCCAGGAGTTCTAGACTGCAGTGAGCTATGTTCACACCACTGCACTCCTGCCTGGGTGACAGAGCAAGATCCTGTCTCTAAAAACAAAACAAAACAAAACAAAACAAAAGCTCAAAAATTAACAACAAGAAAAAAATAAAACCTCAGTGGAAAAATAGGCTAAGTACTTGAACAGACCCTTCAAAGAAGATATGAGGATAGCAAGTTAGGCACATGAAAAGATGTTCAACCTCATTAACCATTAGGGAAATGCAAATTAAAACAATGATGAGATACCACTACGTACTTCTTAGAATGGCTAAAATAAAAGATACTAAAAACGAGCCTATCAAAATCAAAACTTTTGCTCTGGAAGACTGTTAAGAGTATGAAAAGGCAGGCTCCAGACTGGGAGAAAATATTTGCAAAACACAAAAGACAAAATAACTAGTATCCAGAATCTACAAAGAATTCTCAGATCTCAACAGTAAAAACATAATTTAACTAGAACATGGGCAAAAGACGAGAAGAGCCATTTTATGAAAATAACAGATGGAAATTAGCATATGAAAAGGTGTTAAATATCACTAGCCATTAAGACAATGCAAACTAAAACCATAATGAGATATCACTACATGACTATCAGAATAGCTAAAATAAAAAATAGTGACAACAGCAAATGTTGGTGAGGATACAGAGCAACTGGATCACTGATAGATTGCTAGTGGGAAGGTAATATGTTAAGCCACTCTGGAAAACAGGTTGGTGAAAAAAGGCAACAGGCAACTCCTATATACTCCAGCAATGTACTACACTCCTAAGCATTTATCCCAGATAAATGAAGACTTAACATTTATTTTAAAAACCTGCACATGAGGCCAGGCGCTGTGGCTCTTGCCTGTAATCCCAGTACTTTGGGAGGCCAAGGTGGGTGGTCACTTAAGGTCAGGAGTTTATGACCAGCCTGGCCAACATGGTGAAACCCTGTCTCTACTAAAAGACAAAAGTTAGCTGGGTGTGGTGGCGTGCGCCTGTAATCCCAGCTACTCAGGAGGCTGAGGCAGGAGAATTGCTTGAACCCGGGTGGCAGAGGTTGTAGTGAGCCGAGATCGTGCCACTGTACTCCAGCCTGGGTGACAGAGTGAGACTGCCTCTCAAAAACAACAACAACAACAACAACAACAACAACAAACCTGCACATGAATGTTCATATCGTCTATATGTGTAATAATAAAGCCTGGAAGCAATCCAGATATCCTTCAATGGGTAAATGTTTAAATGAACTGTGATACATCTATACCATGGACTATTACTCAAAAATAAAAAGTTATAAACAATTCATATATACAACAATCTGGATGAATCACCAAAGAATTATGAGGGAAAAAAACCAATACCAAAGGGTTATATGCTGTATGATTCCCTTTAGATGACTTTCTTGAAATGTTAAAATTATAGAAGTGAAGAACATATTAATGATTGCTAGGGATTAAGAGGAGTTAGGGACAGGAGGCAGGTAGTGGTGGCTATAGAAAGACAACTTGAGGAATCTTTGTGGTGGTGAAAGTGTTCTCTATCTTGACTGAAACAATGCTGATATCCTGGTTGTGAGACTGAACCATAGCTTTGCAAGATATTACCATTGGGGAAACTGGGTAAAGGGTACATGGGTTCTATCTGTTGTTTCTTACAAACGCATGTGAATCTATAATTATCTCAAAATAGAAAGTTTGATTTTAAAAATATTGACAATATCAAGTGCTGATGAGGATGTGGAGGAAATGAAATTCTTATGCTTGCAGCTGGGGATGTAAAATGGTAGAAAAACCACTCTGGAAAACAGTTTGGTGGTTTCTTATAAAGTTAAACATACACGTACCATGTGACCAGTGATCCAGCTCCAGCTTAGTAAAATGAAAACTATGTTCACTCAAAACCTGTACGTGAATGTTCATAGCAACTTCATTTGTGAGAGACCAAAACTGGAAACAAAATGTCTATCAACAAGTGAATGGATAAACAAGCTGCGATGTATCCATATAGTAGAATATTACTAAGCAATAAAAATGAACTATTGATACACACAACAATTTGCGTGAATCTCAAAGGCACAATGCATAATGAAAGAAGCCAGCCTTTGAAATTTACATACTGTATGATTCCATTTATATGATGTGCTCAAAAAGACAGAATTATGGTGCTGGAGAACAGATCAATGGTTGCTAGGGGTTATAGATTGGGGGGTATGTGGCTTAAAAAGCATGGCATGAGAGAGTTCTGGAGGTGATGGAACTACTCTGCATCAATTGTGGTGGTGGTTACACAAATCTATATATGTATTCTTTTTTTTTTTTTTTTTTTTGAGATGGAGTCTCGCTCTGTCACCCAGGCTGGAGTGCAGTGGTGCGATCTTGGCTCACTGCAACCTCCACCTCCTGGGTTCAAGCAATTCTCCTGCCTCAGCCTCCCAAGTAGCTGGGATTACAGGTGTGTGCCACCATGCCCAGCTAATTTTTGTATTTTTAGTAGAGATGGGGTTTCACTATGTTGCCCAGGCTGGTCTCAAACTCCTGATCTCAATCAATCTGCCTGCCCAGGCCTCCCAAAGTGCTGGGATTACAGGCATGAGCCACCAGTCCCAGCCAAGTGGGTTAAAATCAATCTGAGTATACACCAAAAGGGGAAAAAAAGCGCCAATTTTACTATTTGATAATTTAGAAACAAATAAGTAAATAAAGATTTAAAAAGTTATCTGTTTTCCCCAATTAACAGTGCTGTGCTAGAGTTGGATTTCAGCCACAGCTTGTTCATGTTCTTGACCTCTTTTGTGCTATCCACAACCTGCCCGATCACAAGCTTCAACCCTGCCTGTTGAGCCTCAGAAAAATAGAGAAATGGAGGTATTTAAAGACTATCTGGGGAACTATAAACTACTGTGAGTAAAGGATTTATAAAACCCATTCTATTTTTTGAGGATGAATTTGATCTGGGGTTAACTTTCTAGCTCTGTTTCCCTGGAAACCTTATAATGGTAGAACGTCAGCTGTGTTACCGGGCAGAATTGCTTATGGTAAAAATGAACCCAAATAGTATATTCCATCTGGACCAAGAGGACTGTGAATGAAAGATAAATATCCAGTTGGAAGCCCTACCTTTGGGATTCTCTGAGCATAGTGACTCTTACAACTGGACTTGCCCATTGTGGGACTCTGGAAGCAATATTTATGGCACTGTTACAAAGTTGTTGATTCCTATTTGGGAAATGAGTTTTTAAAGCCCAGATAAGCTCCCACACCTATCTGTGTGATCTTGTTGTCTTACATCTGAACTGCTACTTGGAAGACCAAAGAGTGAGCACTGGATTGCTTGTCACTTGCTGGAGAGATGCTGGCATGCTATGTTTCCTATCCTTCACCTTTTTTTTCTTTTCTGAGACAGGGTCTTGCTTTGTTGCCCAGGCTGGAGTGCAGTGGTGTGATCACTGCTCACTACAGTCTCGACCTCCTGGGCTCAGGTGATCCTCCCACCTTGGCCTCCAGAGTAACTAAGACTACAGGCACACGTTACCAGGCCCCGCTAATTTTTGTATTTTTTTGTAGAGACAGAGTTTCACTGTGTTAGCCAGGCTGGTCTGGAACTCCTGAGCTCAAGCAATCTGTCTGCCTTGGCCTCCCAAAGTGCTGGGATTACAGGCATGAGCCACTATGCCCACCTATCCTTCCCCTTTCTAGGTAAAACCAATGCCAAGTGAGATGTATTATAGCCATAAGCATGAAATAACTAGTGAAGGGAAAAAATAACAAAGAGTGGGTGTTACAAATACTCTGGAAAGCATTCAGGGGTCTAAAGTAAACCAAGTCTTTTGGAACCACCCTGGAGAGGTTAGAAATCTGGCAGATAAGGGAACAAATGGTAATGCTGTGAATAAAATTCAATATTTTTTTTCTATTCATGTAGCACAAGTAATTGTTTACCCTGGGCACGTGGACAAGGTCTGATACATTGTCTTTGGATGAACAGGCTTCATATCTTCCTTACCTTGGGGAACTTGCACAAGGCCAACACTTATACCAGCAAGTAAGTCTCCCAGAAGCCAATCCTTTAATCGATACATACACATCCATTCTAGGAAGGGAAAGATTGTAAGCACGCATCGTAGGAACCTGTGCCATGAGCAGCTGTGAGAGAGAGGAGCAGAGACTTGGTTAGTTTCTCCAAAGAAAATGCCCGCATAGCCAAGAAAAGGCATTTGGCCCACATAGCCAAGAAAAAGTAGAGTCTTGTCAGCACTAATGAGAGTTTGACATATTGGACCAGATAATTCTTTGTTGTTGGGCTGTCCTGTGCATTGCAGGATGTTTAGCAGCATCCCTCGTCTCTACACATTCCCACATTTGATATCAGTAGAACTCCCCGCTTCAGCTGTGACAGCTAACAATAACAATGTCTCCAGACATCGCCACATGTTCCCTGGGGGACTAAATCACCTTAGCTTCAGAACCAAGTGCTATGTATATGTCAAGAACTAAGCCATATACGTCCAGCATGTAATCAGTTCTGTGTTTTCACAGGATATTTGGGAAGAATTAAACCTACCAATTTTCCAGTAGAAAAATGGACTGCTGTTGTTTTCTTTTGACAAGGACAGTGTTTTGAGGTGTGACATTGATAGGTGGAAGGGCAGTTAACACATTCATGTTATTCCCAATTAGGAGAGTCCCCAAGTGCGAGGCAGGTGCATAAAGTGTGTTCTTTCTAATTATGACCCTCTGTGGAGGAGAGGAGAGCATGGAACTAAAATTTTTACCAAACATTTACTCTGTCTGGCCTTGACCTGTGACATGTAGAAATTAGTAGAAAATAGAGAATATGAAGTCCTGTGCTTAAGGACTTAGTTATGTAAGGAAACAACTTTATAAAATAAGACTTTATTATCCTTTAGCCCAGTAGATCTCAACTAGGTGCAGTTTTGTTCCCCTGTGTACATGTGGCAATGTCCAGAGACTTTTTTTTTTTTTTTTAGATGGAGTCTTGCTCTTTCGCCCAGGCTGGAGTGCAGTGGCACAATCTTGGCTCACTGCAGCCTCTGCCTCCCGGGTTCAAGCAATTCTCCTGCCTCAGCCTCCTGAGTAGCTGGGATTACAGGCATGCGCCACCATGCCTGGCTAATTTTTGTATTCTTAGTAGAGATGGAGTTTCACCATGTTGGCCAGGCTGGTCAGGTGATCTGCTCGCCTCGGCCTCCCAAAGTGCTAGGATTACAGGCATAAGCCACCGTGCCTGGCCCGGAGACATTTTTGATTCTTGCAATTGGCAAGTGGGTAGAGGCTAAACATCACAGAATACACAGGCCAATTCTCCACAAGAAAGAATTTTCTGGTCCAAAATGTCAATGATGCTGAGATTGAGAAAACCTGCTTTAACTTTTAGATCATCTAAAACAACAGAATCATCATTAATCAACCAAGAAAACCAATTTGGTTTTAAATTGTTTTTCATTATTTAGATTTTAGCAGGGGTTGAAAGTAAAAAGTATGAAGATTTTTCATGTGTAAACTGAGCTAGATAATTGGGATTTGACTACAACAACAAATATAACTTTAACGTAGTCAGGGCTGAAGTGCATGCTCAGACAAAAAGTAATTTTACTTATGTTTTACTGTTACAACTATGGCATTACTATTGCTAAGGTAATTAATGCCAAATAAATATGACTTTACCAAGGTCACAGGAATAAGTGTGAGTAGAGATGGGGCTAGAAACAAGGTCCTTGATTTCTAGCTCAGTGTTCTAGCCACTCTCCTGCCTCCAAATTTCCTATTGGCAGCTGTGAAATGCTGCTCGGCAGCCATGAGTAAGACCATTGGTTTGGAAGGAACATCACATTGCTGTTCTTAGGAGAGTCCCTGGGTGTGTGGCAGGTGTACAAAATATGCTCTTTCTAATTATGAGCCTCTGTGGAGAAGAGTAGAGCATGGCACTGGAACAGTTTGTTCCTTCACCTGGTTCAGTCTGCCTTCCTCTCTGTGTGTCACTTAGGGAAAGACCAGCCAGCCACCCAAGGCAAAGTCATCAAAGCTCTTCCCCATGGTGAAAAATACAATGGACACGGAGTGATGAGGCTTTAAGAGTGACAGAAACTAAGGAGGGAATTAGAGGAATGGAAGTTGAAGCTGACGGGGGAATAATATTAGCATTTAGACATGAATCTGGATTTCAGTTAAGACATCTTAAAAGTGAGAAATGGAAGAATCAAAATGAAAGCACAAGGGAGATTTTGATAAGAGGGGGGATTTGCAGTTGCTAAAGAGGAAGAAAATGAGGAAAGCTATTAAGAGGTTTTCTGCAGAAAGGAAGAGATGGGGTTAAAAGATTATTTCATTTACATTAAAAAAACTCACTTATGGCCAGGTGCGGTGGCTCATGCCTGTAATCCCAGCACTTTGGGAGGCCAAGGCGGGCGGATCACAAGGTCAGGAGTTCGAGATTGGCCTGGCCAATATGGCGAAACCCCGTCTCTACTAAAAATACAAAAATAAACGAGGTCTGTAGTCCCAGCTACTCGGGAGGCTGAGGCAGAAGAATCGCTTGAACCCGGGAGGCTGAGGTTGCAGTGAGCTGAGACAGCGCCACTGCACTCCAGCATGGATGACAGAGCGAGACTCTGGCTCAAAATAAAAAAAAAGAAAAAAGAGAAAAAAAACCTCACTTATCTAGTGCTATTTCCTAGTTGCTTTACAAATACTCTTTAAATCCTCACAATCACTTTACGAGGCAGGTGCTATTATCATGTTGATCTTACAGATAAGGAAACTGAGGCACAGCAGAGTTGAATAGCTTACCTAAGGTCACAAGGCTGAAAAGCAGCAGGACTAGTATTCAAAATCAGGCAGCCCAGTTTCAAAATTGTGCTTTTTTTTTTTTTTTTTTTGAGAGGGAGTCTCACTCTGTAGCCCAGGCTGGAGTGCAGTGGCGCAATCCCAGCTCACTGCAACCTTTGCATTCCGGTCCTGGTTCAAGCAATTCTCCTGCCTCAGCCTACCGAGTAGCTGGAATGACAGGCACGTGCCACCATGTCCAGCTAATTTTTGTATTTTTAGTAGAGACGGGGTTTCACCATGTTGGCCAGGCTGGTCTTAAACTCCTGACCTCGTGATCTGCCTGCCTCGGCCTCCCAGAGTGCTGGGATTACAGGCATGAGCCACTGTGCCCAGCCAGAATTGTGCTCTCAAGCATTGTGCTGTGCTACCTTTCTGGTTAAAATTTAGAAGTGGAGAGAATTGTATGTTTTAGAAGTAGGGAGTAACAGTTGCTAGAAAGCTTATGGGAGGCAGAATGGGTCAGATTTAAGTGTCCGGATGGCAAGGCTAAGTAAGGAAGGTAGAAAGGAGTTAGGTTGAAATTTCACTGGGAATACTTATTTATAATGAGGGTAAAGTTAGGGAAAAAGACTATCATTTTATAGAGACAAAGCCAATGTTGCCCCCAAATACCCTCTTTGGCACATGTCCCCCGATCCATCATGGAGCAGAGGAAGTGAGAGGACTGGGGGGGATATCCAAGAACACAACTTGCAAAAGGCAGAATGCGGACAAAGGAGAATGTCTCAAGGAGAGGACAGTCTGGAGCAGGGCTGTGTAGGACTTTCCACACTTGTCACCAACATGCCAACATACCAACATGTGCCAATTGTGGGTGATAAACCAGGGGACAAGAAGGACTAATAAATTCAGAGTGTGACTGAGGACAACTTGAGTAATTAAGATTACTATAATGATGTAGGTCACAAAGGATTCTTTGTTTTTTTTTTTTCTTTTTGAGACAGAGTCTCATTCTGTCACCAGGCTGGAGTGCAGTGGCGTGATCTCGGCTCACTGCAACCTCTGCCTCCCGGATTCAAGCGATTCTCCTGCCTCAGCCTCTCGGGTAGCTGGGACTACAGCTGTGCGCCACCAAGCCCAGCTAATTTTTGTATTTTTAGTGGAGAAGGGGTTTCACCACGTTGGCCAGGATGGTCTCAAACTCCTGACCTCAGTGATCCGCCCACCTCAGCCTCCCAAAGTGCTGGGATTACAGGTGTGAGCCACTGCACCCGGCCAGGGTTCTTAACCTGAGGTTTGTGGACCCCCAAGGAGTCTGTAGATAGTATTTGGGGACATATGTGAAATTATATAGGTGAACTTATATCTTTATTTCACTAACCTCTTTAGCATTTCCTTCAATTATGAATGTTGGCAACAAAACACAGTAGTATCAGCAGAACTTGACTTTGTCACCAGTAGAAATGACAAACATTTCTATATTACATTACAATTGCTAAAGAGATCTTGAAATATTAGTTACATTCATCACTACTTTGAAATTATGGTAGTTATTAGACCCATGTTATTAAATAACACAATTTTGGTATTTTTGATATTTAGATAACTGTATTTCAATGTAACTGGTTTTCCTTATAATCCTGCTTATTTTATGCATTAAAAAATTATTCAACCAAGACCGTTTACTAGGTGAAGACAATCTCTTCAACTAATTGTCCTGGGAAAACAGAATATCTACATGTAAAAGAATAAAGCTGGACCTTTACCTTACACTATATACAAACATTAATTCAAAAAGGATCAAAGACCTAAATTTAAAAGCTAAAACTATAAAATTCATAGAAGGAAACATAGATGAAAATATGCATGATCTTGGCCCAGAGCGGTGGCTCATGCCTGTAATCCCAGCACTTTGTGAGGCCAAAGCAAGCGGATCACTTGAGGTCAGGAATTTGAGACCAGCCTGACCAATTTGATGAAACCCCGTCTCTACTAAAAATGCAAAAATTAGCTGGGTGTGGTGGCGCACACCTGTAATCCCAGATACTCGGGAGATGAGGCAGGAGAATCGCTTGAACTTGGGAGGTGGAGGTTGCAGTGAGCGGAGATTGTGCCACTGCATGGTAGCCTGGGTGACAGTGAGACTTTGCCTCAAAAAGAAAGAAAGAAGGAAAGAAGAATGGAAGGAAGGAAGGAGAAAAGAAAAGAAAAGAAAAGATGCATGATCTTGTATGATCTTGAATTTGACAAGTTTCTTAAATATGGCACCAAAAGTCCAGGCAACAAAAGAAAATACAGATAAATTGGATTTCATCAAAATTAAAAACTCTTCTACATCAGGTGCGGTGGCTCACGTCTGTAATCCCAGCACTTTGGGAGGCCGAGGCAGGTGGATCACCTGAGGTCAGGAGTTCAAAACCAGCCTGGCCAACATGGTGAAACCCCACCTCTATTAAAAATACAAAAATTAGCTGGGCGTGGTGGCACCTGCCTGTAGTCCCCACTACTCAGGAGGCTGAGGCAGGAGAATTGCTCGAACCTGGGAGGCAGGGGCTGCAGTGAGCAGAGATCATGCCATCGCACTCCAGCCTGGGCAACAAGAGTGAAATTCCGTCTCAACAAAACAAAACAAAACAAAACAAAACACCAAAAAACTTTTCTACATCAAAGGACACTGTATCAACAGAGTGAAAAGACAACCTGCAGAATGGGAGAAAATATTTACAAAATTATATAAGATTTACAAACATCTATCTGATAGAAATTTAATATCCAGAATACATGAAGAACTCCTATAACTCAACAACAAAAAGACAAACAACCTAATTTTACAAAGGACAAAGGAAATGAATAGACATTTCTCCAAAGAAGATATACAATTAACCAATAAACACACCAAAAGATACTCATCACCTTTAGTCATCAGGAAAATGCAGAACAAAAGCAAAAACAAAAAACCACGATGAGATATCATTTCATACCTAATAGGTTGGCTATAATTTAAAAAAATGGAAAATAACAAATGTTGGAGAGCACATGGAAAAATTGTACATTGCCAGTGAAAATGTAAAGTGGTGCAGCTACTGTGGAAAACAGTTTGGCAGTTCCTTAAAAAGTTAAATTTACCACAGATTTATGATGTGATTCAACAATTCTAGTCCTAGTTATAGGACTTCAAACAGATCTCCTGTGCCAATGTTCATGGCAGCATTATTTACAGTAGCCTAATGGCGGTAGAAACAACTCAAATGTCTGTTAACGAATGGATAAACAAAAATGTGGTATATAAATACAATGGAATATTATTCAGCCATAAAATGAAATGAAGTTCTAATACATGCTACAATATGGATGAATCTTGAAAACATTATGCTAAGTGAAAGAAGTCAGACACAAAAAGACAAACATATTGTATGATTCTACTTAAGTGAAATAGCTAGAATAGGCAAATTCATAGAGACAGAAAGCAGAAGAGAGGTTACTTGGGCTGAGGGGTGGGGAAATAGGGAATTATTGCTTAACAGAATTTCTGTTTGAGGTGATGAAAAAGTTTTGGAAATAGCGGTGATGGTTTCACAACATTGCGAATGTCAATCATGCCACTGAATTGTATATTTAAAAATGGTCAAAATAGCCAATTTTATGTTATACATATTTCACCACAATAAAAAACATTTAAAAAATTATTCTGAAAGATGTTGATTAACTTTATCAGACTGCTAGAAGGTTCAAAGCACAAAAACAGGGTAAGAGCCCCTGAACTGTAGGACCTAGCTAGTCACAGCGGGTATCAGAGGTGGTGGTGGTAGATTCTACCTTAGTGACCATGAGTACCACCATGTGGGCACTGTTGGATATGAGACTAGAAGAATCTCATTCCCCTACCATTAATCAGTCCACCATGGCTATCTTATTTATTTATTTTTTTTGAGACAGAGACTTGCTCTGTTGCCCAGGCTAGAGTGTAGTGGCACAATCTCGACCCACTACAACCTCCGCCTCCCAGGTTCAAGCAATTCTCATGCCTCAGCCTCTTGAGCAGCTGGAATTACAGCACGTGCCACCACGCCCAGCTAATTTTTGTATTTTTAGTAGAGACGGGGTTTCACCATGTTGCCCAGGTTGGTCTCAAATTCCTGGACTCAAGTGATCTGCCTGCCTTGGCCTCCTGAAGTGCTGGGATTACGGGCGTGAGCCATTGCGTCTTGCTGGCTATCTTATTTTTGGTCGGGAGTCTGGTAGTCATGGTTGATTGAACAATGGAATTATGAAATATCCTCCTTAGGTACCATAGGGACATCCAAGATCTTTATGCCCAGGAAGTTTACAATCGAAAAGGTACTGCAAGACAAACCACAAAAATGACTGAAGAAAAATTGCACAATAAACTGCATGATTCTGATTACAGGAACTCAGACAAGAAAGAGAAACGGACCCCAAAGGAGTCAGGTTAGGTTTCAGTCCTGCCCGGCTCGGCAGCAGGTGAAAGATTGGACACACGCACCGGCACTGGACGTGGTGTCTGAAGGTGGTGATGTTGATGTTCATGTTCCCAGAAGAGGAGGCCTTCCTTTTGTGTTCCTGTTGAAAGGTCTCCTCATTGTATACTTCACGCTTAACATCATATGCGAATGAGTTTCGCCTGGACTTAGAGCTGAAGCCAGAGATGGCGCTCCTCTCTAGTTGTGCCATTCCTGGATGAGTGGAAAGAGAGCAAATAAAAGAGCATTTTCAGTAATCCAGATCCTCGGCATATTTTTAAGGAAATAAAATTCCTATATAATAATGTTTTACACTTGCATAGCATCTTTCAGTTGTAAAAAACTCTTTCTCAAAGTTGTATAATTTTATGTGTATTCTTTTCATTTTTCAAATGGAGACAACAAAACCCAGAAGTTTAAACAGTCTTTGCTGTTTGATACTTATTAGAGCCAGGACTAGAACCCAGGTGTCCTGCTGGGAGGCCTAGTTTTCTTTATATTCAGTTGTGTTATGTTGTAGGAAAATGATCAAGAGGTGGACAGTATTAATCAACAATTTTCACTGAAAATGCTCACTATCCAGCATATATGAAGAAGTCCAGATGAAGGGTTAAGTGCTCAATACAAGTCTTGTAACTCCTCTAAAATAGCAGACATCATTATCCCTTTACCTTTTACTTTTCTTCACGGCACTTGCCAGCACCTGATTCATTATTTGTCTGTTTGTCCATTGTCTGTTTCCCCCATAAAATGTAAGACCAGGAAGCAGGACTGTGACTATTCACAGTTGCAGCCCCAGGACCCAAAAGAATGGCTTTCACTTAGCAACTTAGCAGGCCCTTAACAAGTGTTTCTTGAATGACTGCCAAGTATACAGTTAGTGGCCTCATGGTGTAGCAGAAAAAGCTATAGAAGTTCAAGACTAGACTAGGCAACATGGTGAAACCCTGTCTCTACTAAAAATAGAAACAAAATTAGCTGGGCATGATGGCATGGCATGTAGTCCTAGCTGCTCAGGAGGCTGAGGTGGGAGGATCACCTGAGCCCAGCAGGTGGAGGTTGCAGTGAGCTGGGATCGCACCACTGTACTCCAGCCTGGGTGTCAGAGCGAGACCCTGTCTCTAAAAGAAAAAAAAATCTATATTATCCTGCTTTTTTAAAAGATTGAAAAGATAGAGTAAATGAGGATGGATAGGGATCCATCTCTGGGAGAAAGTATAACCAGTCTTAATAATCTATGTTTTTGAACAATAAAAAAAGCATAAACTCTAAAATTCTTCCACATAAATGTAAAAAAGCATATGTATAAACCACATACCTATAAAATATATTGGTAAACCCTCAAATTATATAGATTACACAATTATATAGATGATGGGTGATGCTGCAGATAAGTTTAATGTGTCAGCAACTTTGTTTTCCTTCAGAAGAATCATCATCATCATCATTGCCAACATTTATTGGGCATTTATCCTATGCCATGCATTGCACTAGATTTCTTCACGAGTTATGTCATTAAATTTCCACAACAATACCAGTACTACTATTTCTTTCATTTTACAGGTGTAAAACCAAGATTTTAGAAAATGTAAGTAATTGGGCCATAATTATATATTGTATTTTTACCCTCAAAGCATTGGGTAGAAGTAATATGCTGTATAACAACCATGAACTAAAGATCACAAATTCTCTAAACCAGTGAGGTGACTGGGGAATACAGAAGAGGATGGGAGAGGTATTTTACAATATATTACTTAAGATAATTAGTGCCTCATGTCTCTTACAAAAAGAAAAAAAGGTAGAACTGTATATTGAAATGTAAGGAATCCCCCCCCACCTTTCTTTCCCCACCCATAGGAATACAGACCCAATCTTCCTTACTTTCCCCGTATAATTGTCCAATGTACTTCCATGAGTAGTCTCTTTGTTCCCAGCAACCTAAACAAGCCTAATTAGTCTGCTAATGACAAAACTGATATCCTGGGTCACATCGAGAGTCTAGAACCCAGCATTTTGTTCTGAAAGTGACATTAAAGGAGGATTGGTGTAAAATAGGCAAAATATGACCGTCAAGGAGTGGTGGGAACAGTGGGGCTGGCAAAGGCAGCAGAAGCTGCTTAGCTCTAGCCATTTTTGCCATCGGTCAATGTGGGGCCCGGAATGGCTTAGATCTGATCTTTTCCAGGAGAAGCCATAATGCCAGATTTTTATGTGGAATCTTCTGGCTTTTAAATGTTGTCAATTACTTTACATATGTTTACGTATACATATAAATATATATGTATATTATTTTATTTTATTTTTTGATATAGAGTCTCGCTCTGTCGCCCAGGCTGGAGTGCAGTGGCGTGATCTCAGCTCACAGGGTTTCACGGTGTTAGCCAGGATGGTCTTGATCTCCTGACCTCGTGATCTGCCTCCCTCGGCCTCCCAAAGTGCTGGGATTACACGCGTGAGCCACCGCGCCCGGCCTATTTTTTATTTTTTTGGAGATGGAGTACAGCTCTGTCACCCAGGCTGGAGTTCAGTGGCGCGATCTTAGCTCACTGCAACCTCCACCTCCCAGGTTCAAGCGATTCTCCTGCCTTGCCTCCTGAGTAGCTGGGATTACAGGCATGTGCCACCACATCTGGCTAATTTTTGTATTTTTGGTGGAGACAGGGTTTCGCCATGTTGGCCAGGCTGGTCTTGAATTCCCTACCTCAGGTGATCCTCCCGCCTCGGCCTCCCAAATTGCTGGGATTACAGGCGTGAGCCACTGCGCCTGGCCTATTTAAAGTCTTTCAGCAGAAGTAGTAATACGCACAGAGATGCATTTTGGGAAGATGAAATGTGCCAGTGTTATGTTCTAGAGCTGAGTTGTCCAGTATGGTAGCCACTGGCTACATGTGGCTATTTAAACTTAAAATAAAAAATTCAGATCCTCAATTATACTAGCTAGATTTCAAGTGCTCAACAGCCACATATGGCTAGTGGTTACCTTACTGGACAGTGCAGATATGCAGATATAAAAAATTTCCATCATCACAAAAAGTTGTTGGACAGTGGAGATAGGAGAGACTGAGGCAAAACAGCCAATTGGAGACCATTAATATTAGTCTAGGAGATGTTATCAAGTCATAAACTCCTACGACCACAGTGAGGATGGCTAGGAGGAGCAGGTGGAAAGTTGTCTTTAAGGAACTCCATCAAATGTCTGGCTAACAGCAGCAAGGGTAAACGCATGGTTTCCTTATTATTTTTTTTAAGTAATTTTCTTTGGAATTTCTCCAGCTCCATTATGTCTTTCTTGATTTCATAGAAATCCTAGTGGCTCATTTTCATGTACTAGCAGGACACTTCCCAAGAAGATGCAATGACCAGAAACTCCTACTGTTGAGTAGGCCCCACTTAGCAAGACCTACTGAATCAGAAACTCTGGGGGCCATCAGTCTGTTTTAAGAAGCTGTCCAGACTGCTGGGCCCCCAGAGATTCTGATTCAGTAGGTCTTGCTAGGTAGAAAAAAAGCAAAGAAGCTGTCCAGGTGATTCTGATAAAAATTAAAGTATGACTACCACTATAAATATAGTGGATTATCTTTCATGAGCCTTTCAGTGCTAAATTTGGGGGCCCTGTTAAAATACAAGCACTTTTGGCCTAGCTCTTTCACCCTCCATAGTACCCTTATCCATCCATCCATCCATCCATCCATCCATCCATCCATCCATCCATTTATCTAATTATTTACATTATCTGTGTTCAGAGTGCTTTAAAAGTAAAGAATAGGCCAGACATGGCTCAGTGGCTCATGCCTGTAATCCCAGCACTTTGGAAGGCCAAGGCGGTTGGATCAGCTGAGGTCAGGAGTTCAAGACCAGCCTGGCCAACATGGTGAAACCCCGTCTCTAATAAAAATACAAAAATTAGCCGAGCATGATGGCGTGCCTGTAGTCCTGGCTACTCAGGAGGGTGAGGCAGGAGAATCGCTTGAACCTAGGAGGCAGAGGTTGCAGTGAACCGAGATCAAACCACTGCATTCCAGCCTGGGCGACAGAGCAAGACTCTGTCTCAAAAAAAAAAAAAAAAAAAAAAGTCAAGAATAAAAAGTTTAAATACAATCCAATTTTTTAGCTATTGACCCAAATAATATGAAATCTTGAAAGCTAGTTTAGTTGCAGGAATATCTTCCCCCTGATATTGTTAACTTTCTTATGTTTTCTATAATCACGGAAAGGCAAAATTTACTTCCGAATTTTCAAAATAAGCATTTGTAATTCCATCAGAAACAACCCTACACCTGTTACTACCTAGGTTTTTATGGAGAATGTATTGGGAATACAGAAAAGGTATAAGCAAAGAGCCTGGCCTTTAGATCCTTTAGTCACTCTGGCTAGTGGCTAGGGATGACTAGTAAGATGACAGTCCTTAAGCGGATGACCATTGGACACATAAACATAGGACAACCACCTTCCATGCAATGTGGATAGAGTAACATGGTGTGTTGGAGAGATGCTCATTATTGGGGTGGGGGTGCTGGAGAAGGCTTCACGGGGCCCCTGACACATCAACGGCATTTGACATGAAAAGAAAGGGGCAAGGAGGTGGGGGTGGGGATTCAGTCACAGGGAACAAAATTAACAAAAGCAGTGGGGTCTGAAAGGAAGAGGAACGGCCGGGCAGTCAGGCCTCAGGAGGAAATGGATGGGGTAGGCGGTGGGGTGCAGGTAGCACGTCAGTTCTGGGGCTTTTGACAATATAGACAGGAGAATTTGAAAGGATGCAGCTTGCAAAACGCACACACTGTTGTCTCTTGTCATTGCCATCCACACGGCCTTTGAAAGTAGAGACAATACCTCAGAGATAAGCTCCCAGGGACGACCATCATTCATTCATTCCACAGATACTGACTGAGTGCCCACGGCGTGCCTGGCTCTGCGGCATACCTGGGTACCTGCCGGTGACGGACGCAGCCCCCGCCCTGGGACCTGCAGCCCCCGGCGCCCAGGCGTCTCCCAGCAGCGGCTCACCTGGCTCCTTGGCGGGGGCGGGAGTGCGGGCGCTGGGATCCCACACGGCTCTCGCCTGGCTGGCGGCGCTGCGGACGCGGATACCGGCGGCGGTTCCCGAGCCGTTGTGGCCTAGCCCGCGGGCGTTCCGGGCGGGCTGAGGAGATGAGAGTGGGGGAGGGGACGAGGAAGAGGAGCATGAGCAGCTGGGCTAGGGAGCCAGGAAAGTGGTACCTGGGTCGCCCTCCTCATACCTGAGTCGTGGGATCCCCTTGGTATTTGGTAAACCTGTATACCAAGGCTCCTTCTCTCTCCGAGGTTTTGCTATTCTTGATCGAGGGCCTATTTGGTGCCAGGCCTCGTGTCCTGAACATACAGCAGTGCACATGTGTCACATGTGTACTGCACAGACGGTAATTCACTAACGTCTCCGGAAGACTTAAGCCTTCCTCAGGTCAGAAGAGGTAAAAAGAAATGGAGGCTAGGAGGGTCACCCAGGTCTCCAACCATAGGCTGTCTGCCCCACAAACCCGGCTCTCCCCACTGAATGACACCCTCCTGCCCAGATCTGCTCTGGATGCAGACATGCCATCTGCACTCACTCCCTTTACCCTCCTCCCACCCTATCCCTGTCCCTAGCACTGTCTCTCACTCCACCTTGTATTCCTGCTTGGCCCAGTTACAGTTTTACACTTGTTTGTTTGATGACTGTGTTAATGTCTACCTTATAATGCACTTTATGTATTCCTTTTTGTAAATCATCTTACCCCTATGAGGGCAAGGACTTTTATCCCTTTCATTAACTGTTTTATTATCAGTGCCTACAGCAGTGTGGTGGACATAGGAAGTATTCAATTAATTTTTGTTGAATGATTGCCCTCCCATTGATTGTAAGCTCCACACCGGCAGCAACTGTAGTTTTTAATCACTTTTAAACTGCAAGTGTTTGACACCTAGTAGGCATTTAATACACATTGGTTGAATGAGTGTATGAATATACTGCTTACTTTATCTTTACCCTTTCATTCACCCTCACCTCATCATCCCAATTTGTAGGATAAAAATGTGCATTTCTGAGGATTCCTACTTCCAAGCTTCCTCCTCACCCTTTGTAACCATTCCCTCATTCCCTTGATCCCCCCAACCCCATCCCTCATGTCTTCACAATCATGTTTTTGCTCTTACTTCCCCTTCACCCTCCATTACTTCTTAGAAAGCTTCCTATCCTCCCTAGTTTGGAACATTCTCAAGCAACATGTTTTTGTAGATAAGAGAATTCCAGCCTAAGCTACATTGGATCCAAAACAGCTTTCCATGAATCACCCATGACTATCTGTTTTTTGGTTTTATATTGCTTTCCTTGAAGAGGACTGAGGATACTGTACCACTTGAAATCATGGTCACTGTTCATAATTTTTTCAACAAATATTTATGACACATGTTTTATGTTCTAGACATTGTGCTAGATGTTGGGACAAGATATGCAAAGTCTGAGCCCTCCAAGGTGTGTATGACACAAAATAGAATAATCACGGGAAATGTTGAGAAATGTCCTGGCTTGGATCTAGTTATTTCTAATACAAGAAACTAAGAGAATGAGACAGGATCTGATTCTTCTGCTCATTGTAACAAGCTTTAGCATAGGCATAGGTTGATAATGGATGTAGGCATGGGGTTAGAATGCCTTGCCCATTCACATTTATCTTGTTTGGTTTTTACAAATGACTCTGTTAGTCGGGAATGCAGGGCAGGAATTCTCTCGTAGAAGCTGGAACTGAGGTTCAGGAAAGGTCAGTTGACTTGCCTAAATTCGATGAGACTCCTGCCCTATTCTCCTTACTCGAAGAGGCCTGAGTTAAATGCTTAAAATCCTCTTCACTGATGGCTCTTCAGGATAGGAGTCAGTTTCAAATCTTCAGTGTAACGGTTTTTTAAATGCTTCTCAAAGGGAGATATCAGAGACTTTCCTGAATCAGAATCACCTAAGATGTATTATAAAAATGCATGCTCTTGATCAAGACCTCCTCTGACCTACCCAATTAGACTCCCTGTGAGTTCTGGGAACTTGCATCTTAAACTCCCAGGGTGATTTTTCTGCATGTAAGTTTAACTGGGAGAGTTTTAATGTAAAGCTTCGGTTTGTTTTTGTTTTTGTTTTTGTTTTTGAGACGGAGTCTCCCTCTGACGCCAGGCTGGAGTGCAGTGGCGCGATTTTAGCTCACTGCAACCTCCGCCTCCTGGATTCATGCAATTCTCCTGCCTCAGCCTCCCGAGAAGCTGGGACTACAGGGTCGTGCCACCACGCCCAGCTAATTTTTGTATTTTTTTTAGTAGAGACGAGGTTTCACCATGTTGGCCAGGATGGTCTCTATCGCTTGACCTCGTGATCCACCCGCCTCGGCCTCCCAAAGTGCTGGGATAACAGGTGTGAGCCACTGAGCCCAGCCCCTGGAAAGCCTCAGCTTTGATGCAGGGTTAACATTTGCCTTTGGGACATATTTCGTCAGCATCTCAAAGAGTAACCCATATGTCCTTGAGCAGATGGGAATGCAACAGCCTTCTGGCCGGAACCTGTCTCTTTCTTTCTTTCTTTCTTTTGAGACGGAGTTTCGCTCTTGTTGCCCAGGCTGGAGTGTAATGGCACGATCTCGGCTCACCGCAACTCCGCCTCCCGGGTTCAAGCGATTCTCCTGCCTCAGCCTCCCGAATAGCTAAGACTCCAGGTGCGCGCCACTACGCCCGGTTAATTTTGCATTTTTAGTAGAGACGGGGTTTCTCCATGTTGGTCAGGCTGGTCTCGAACTCCCGACCTCAGGTGATCCGCCCGCCTCGGCCTCCCAAAGTGCTGGGATTACAGGCGTGAGCCACCACGCCCGGCCACTTGTCTCTTTTTTATGCAAGTGTTTTTTGGAATTTGGGGGTTCAGGTGAGCAGGTGCTCTGCTGCTGGTAACTACTCGCAGTTAAAGATCTTTTGACTCTTTCCCCGACACGCTATTTGTCAGTGTCGTTTTCCACCACAGAGCCAGGTATTTGCCCCGCCGGCCACGGTGAGGCGCGCGAGGCGTGTGCTGCCAGCTTCTCTCTTCCTTCCCCGGTCCGCCTTCGCGCCCTTAAGGAGACAGTCCCTGGGAGTTTCTGCCTTTGGTCTCCAGTTATTGTTCTCTTCTCGCGAGAACTGCTCCTCCCATCCTCTTCTCTCACGAAGCCCCGCCCGCGGAGAGGTTCCATATTGGGTAAAATCTCGGCTCTCGGAGAGTCCCGGGAGCTGTTCTCGCGAGAGTACTGCGGGAGGCTCCCGTTTGCTGGCTCTTGGAACCGCGACCACTGGAGCCTTAGCGGGCGCAGCAGCTGGAACGGGAGTACTGCGACGCAGCCCGGAGTCGGCCTTGTAGGGGCGAAGGTGCAGGGAGATCGCGGCGGGCGCAGTCTTGAGCGCCGGAGCGCGTCCCTGCCCTTAGCGGGGCTTGCCCCAGTCGCAGGGGCACATCCAGCCGCTGCGGCTGACAGCAGCCGCGCGCGCGGGAGTCTGCGGGGTCGCGGCAGCCGCACCTGCGCGGGCGACCAGCGCAAGGTCCCCGCCCGGCTGGGCGGGCAGCAAGGGCCGGGGAGAGGGTGCGGGTGCAGGCGGGGGCCCCACAGGGCCACCTTCTTGCCCGGCGGCTGCCGCTGGAAAATGTCTCAGGAGAGGCCCACGTTCTACCGGCAGGAGCTGAACAAGACAATCTGGGAGGTGCCCGAGCGTTACCAGAACCTGTCTCCAGTGGGCTCTGGCGCCTATGGCTCTGTGTGGTGAGTGTCGCTGGGCCTGGGGCCGCTGTGGGCAGGGTGGCCCCTCGCGCCCGAGGGCCAGGCCTGCTCCACTGCTCAGCGTTGCGTCAAGTGGCAGGAATTTTCCTCGGGGGAGGGCATTGCTGCCCCTTCGAGCTCTGCCCGTTCTGCACCTCCAGCACCCCTCGCCCTGCACTCACGCAGGTATGCGGTCCACCGTGTGCAGCACTCAGGTCCGCTGCGAGAGGTAGGTGGTGGTGCTGGAGCTCGGTTCTGGCTAGCACCCTGCGCCTTCCCCTCTCGGAGGGTTGCTGCTCGGCAACAGGCACCGGGGGAAGGGCCGCTTCCTTGGGGGTCTCCCTGCCTACCTGGAGCAGAAGGACCCTCTCCCGTGATGCGCCCACGCTGGGGCTCCGGACCCTGGGTCCTCTGAGCAGACAAGCTCGGGGAACTGCCGGGAGAAGCAGAAGGGCACAGCCCAACCCGAAGACTGCGGTCATCTGAACAAAACTGACCAGGAAGGGAGCTCTCTCCGGGCCTTTTTTTTTTTTTTTTTTTTTCAAAACTCTGTCGAAATCCCATCTTGAAAAGCGTTCTTTTTGAATTCGCACTTGAATTAACAGCGATCCATAGAGCTTAAAATACCGACTTTATCTCGGTGAGCACTGTGCCAGCTTGAGTGGTGTGTTTCCGATTCGGTTGAAAGCGTATTTCCTTTCCGTGGAGGGGCGGCGGTGGTAGTGCCTGCAAGAACACTGCAGCTTGAGAAACTGGCAGGCTCACTGATTAGTCACATACCACTGCTCATTTAAGTATTGTTCGACAAAACAATTTTCTCATTTGGAGCAAGAAAGATTCAGATCTGTAAGGCGCCCTCAAGATCAAAAAGTTATTAACAGTGCTGGGAGGTATTGTAAATATTTTTTGAGATAATTCCTGCGAATACTGTGTTTTAAAAGTCCCTTAGAGAGCTTGCAGGGAGTTATCTAGTTATCTGCATTTATGGCCTGAGGTACACGATGGTTTTCGTAAGGATATGGAACCACATAGAAAAGGAAGGGAAGAGATACTTTTTAGCTTTAATTTACACCGTGAGTGTGTTTTAAATTAAGTCGATAGCATATAATTTCCAGACCTGAAATATTTCACTAACTGCTCTCTTAACTTCCAAGGTTTTATACCCTGTATTTTAGATTTTCTATAATTTGAAAGCTACGGATCTTAAACTAAGTATCAGATTTAACTGTTAGCTTTTTCTGTGTTTTAGTAATTCGTATTGTATGCGTCATTTGAAAACGGGCCTGTAAAATCGTTTTTTTGTTTTGGAACAAATTCCAGGCTTTTGGATGTGTTAATCTTTAAATATGATTTCTGTGTTTCCCAAAGTCACATCATGAATTTCCTGTTTGGTAGAATCTTCTGGGTAATTGAGATTGTGCAATTGTGTCCAGCAACAGATCATATTGCATTTTCTAGTTCAAGTTGCTTAAGTTATGTTGCAGATAGCACCGTGCTTGACATCTTTCTCCCATTTTTACAGCATGGCAGTTTACATTTTAAAGGAATTTGCAGCATTTTACATTCAGAGAGTGTGTGTGTGTAGTTGGTTTGCAGCATTTTACATTCAGTATATACATATTATATAGGTATATACATTCAGTATATACATATTATATAGGTATATACATTCAGTATATACATATTATATATATCTAGTTGATTTGCTAATTTTCAAAGACGTATTTGGATCATTGCTCTTTTAATATTTTATAGCTCATTAATATACTTCCATTTTTTCATTCTTGAATTGACATACATTTCTGTAGTATCACGTTTTCGTTTTCAATGCTATTTAAATTTTAATGGAGTGATACAGCAGAATAACTCAACTATAGAGGGTTTGGGTGAACTCCAATTGAATTGCTTGCAAGGGTTCGCTACTATTGGTGACTAGCTCTGCACTGGAACAGGAGATTCAGATTTACAGTGAAGTACCATTAAAATTAACTCCACAGTTCTTTAGTGGTATACTTTTCTGTGGTATAGAAGCCAGCAGTATCTGACACTTAAAAGTACTTTTATTTTATTGAACAGATTTTTTAAAATACATTGACATTGTATAAAATTTGAAAGTTTTACAAAGGTACTCAGTGGGCCGGGTGCAGTGGCTCACGCCTGTAATCCCAGCACTTTGGGAGGCCGAGGCGGGTGGATCACAGCGTCAGGAGATCGAGACCATCCTGGCTAACACGGTGAAACCCCGTCTCTACTAAAAATACAAAAAATTAGCCGCCCGTGGTGGCGGGCGCCTGTACTCCCAGCTACTCAGGAGGCTGAGGCAGGAGGATGATTTGAACCCGGGAGGCGGAGGTTGCAATGAGCTGAGATCGCTCCACTGCACTCCAGCCTGGGCGAAAGTGCGAGACGCCGTCTCAAAAAAAAAAAAAAAAAAGATATTCAGTGAAAAGTCTCCTTTCCTTTTTGTTCTCCAGCCACTCTACTCTCTCAAAGACAGGCACTGTTAAGTGTCTTGTGTCTTTCCAGAGAGGCAGTTTTTTTTATTTGCTTGTTTGTTTAGTAGTCTTTCTACTAAAGGGATTTAAGATGTAACCTACAGCATATTGGTGAAAGAAAATACAACTGAAACTGAAATTGTATGACAATTGACAATAAACAAATTATAACTAATGTTGGAATGAAAATACCAGAATTTAGATTTACAATTAAGTGTTATCTTATTCAGAGATTCAGCGTAGTTATTTGAAGTTTTTCTTTTCTTTGAGACGAAGTCTCACTCTGTCGCCCAGGCTTGAGTGCAGTGGTGCCATCTTGGCTCACTGCAACTTCCACCTCCTGGGTTCAAGCGATTCTCCTGCCTCAGCCTCCCTAGTAGCTGGGACTACAGGTGCCCGCCACCATACCCAGCTAATTTTTGTATTTTTAGTAGAGACGGGGTTCTCCATGTTGGCCAGGCTGGTCTCAGACTCCTGACCTCAAGTGATCTGCTCTCCTTGGCCTCCCAAAGTGCTGGGATTATAGGCCTCAGCCACGGTGCCCAGCCTGAAGTTGTTCTTTCAATGAGTACCTTTTTAGGTGTGGCAGAAAACATTTTTTGGAACTTCTTTTAGAATCCACTTTGGAGCCTGTGATATTCTTCTTCTTTTTTATTTTGAGACAGAGTCTCATTCTGTTGTCCAAGTTGGAGTGCAGTGGCACCATCTCTGCTCACTATAACCTCCACCTCATGGGTTCAAGCGATTCTCCTGCCTTAGGCTCCCAAGTAGCTGGGATACAAGTGCGCAACACCATGCCCGGATGATTTTTGTATTTTTAATACAGACAGGGTTTCACCATGTTGGCCAGGCTGATCTCTAACTCCTGACCTCAGGTGATCCACTTGCCTTGGCCTCCCAAAGTGCTGAGATTACAGGGGTGAGCCACCGTCTCTGGCCATCCATCTTCATTTTTTTGAGAGCAGATTTGATTTTAGGGAATAACAGTTCATTTGAATCCAAATAATTTAGGGAATTTGGACTCAAGTCTGATAAGAAAGATAAGGCAATCAGGTTGGTGATACTACTGTTTTAGGTCAGATAGGAGTTATAACTATAAAGTAACAACACATAATTTTTTGTGTGACTTCTTGAACTGGACCTGAAGTCTACTTCCAAAAAAATCTCCGAATTTTATTTTATTTATTTATTTATTTTGTAGAGATAGGGTCTTACTGTGTTGCCCAGGTTGGTCTCAAACTCCTGGCCTCAAGCAGTTCCCCCACCTTGGCCTCCCGAAGTGCTGGGATTATAGGGATGAGCCACCACACCCAGCCCCTGAATTTTATTTTCAAGAATGAAAATAAATGAATAGAATATTTCAATGAATAAAATTCATTCATTGAAATATTTGTCAGTTTCCGAATTTTATTGCTCTAAAGTGTGGTATACTTTGTAACATTTACAAATTATTTTAAGCCTATATTATTTTAATTTATACTAAGTATAGTAAAAAAACAAGTAGAAGCCTGTGTGATAACCAACTATGAATCAAAATAGAGTTTTACAAATATGCCTTTCCGTTAAAGGGTAAAGGGAACTAGACTAGGTCTTGCAGTTTTAAGGAACTTTATGCATTGTCTGTGAGGGGAAATGAAGCAAAATTGTTTAAGAATACATTGTTGCAAAGCATTGATTTTGGGGTTTTGGGACAGAAGGGGAGAATCTTTGTGGTGAGTTTAAGGAAATACAAACAGGAACTTAAGTGCCTTTCCTCTGGGGTAGGGTTCTTCCAGGCCCTTGCTGTTGATTAGAGGAGGTGGGACACTGGTAACCATGAAATAGGAGGTGACAGTTGAGAATTACTCTTAGATCTTATTCAACTGTTTATTCAACAGTGTTTATTGAATACCTACCATGGGCCAGATAGCTAGGTTCTGGAAATAGAGTGCTAAACAAGACAGAAACAAGACAATCCATTCTCTCCTGGAACTTACAGCCTAGTGGGTTTAATAACTACATTTTGTGGATTGCTTGCTATGTTCTAGCATTGTGCTGTGCACTTTATCATCAGCATAAAAAGTATATAACAAAACCTTTGGTAAAAGGATAGCAAAACTTGCTAAGAAATCAAATACAACTTCCTAAGTGCTTTGTGGAACAAGATTATTCTAGTATAAAAGAAATAAGTGAAGCTAACTTTTTTTAACTATTAATGGCCATTCACCATTTTAAATCTATTTTTTTTTTTTTTTAGAATGAGCCAGGGCACAAAGAAATAAAAGTGCATGATTATTAAGTATACAAGGGTGACTTTCTTGACTCCTGACCAGTGAGAAGGGTGTGCCCTTTACTTTTCTAGTAGTGATAGTAGGTCCATGCTGAGCTTTCCATTCTTTTCTTTGTAACCAAAAGTAAGGTAGTTGCCTGTATGTTACCAGTGCCAGTCAATAAGAAGTCTTTAAACATAATTAACGGCAAGCATTTGTATTATTGATGTATAAAGATTGTTTTAAGAAAGAGTTCATTCGAAGCTGGCTATAAAGTCATTTTATTATCAAATCCCATTTTTCCACTTTTTTTTTTTTTTGAGACGGAGTCTTGCTGTGTTGCCCAGGCTGGGGCGCAGTGGTGCAATCTCGGCTCACGGCAGCCTCTGCCTCCCGAGTTCAAGCAATTCTCCTGCCTCAGCCTCCTGAATAGCTGAGATTACAAGTGCGTGCCACCATGCCTGGCTGATTTTTGTATTTTTAGTAGAGACGGGGTTTTACCATGTTGGTCAGGCCAGTCTCGAACTCCTGACCTTGTGATCTGCCCACCTTGGCCTCCCAAAGTGCTGGGATTACAGGAATGAGCCACCACACCCAGCCTCCACTGGTTCTTCTTTAAAATAAGCTTATCCTGGATCTCCAGGTTTTCAGTTCTGCCAGTTTGATTTCTTGATACTGAGGAGTACTCTGCTTTTGATTTCTTTCTAGCCCAGTCTCAGAGATGATGTGTTGACTTTGCCTTTCATGGGCAAGAGTGCAGATATTGCTGAGCCCCTGGGGCCTAGAATTCAAAGATGGAAGAATTCACTGGGGTAGATCACCCTCACTTTAGAATTAACTGACATTTTTAGGGATTTTTGCAGTTTATAAAGTGTTTTCATTCAAAGCATTATCAATCAGTTCTCACTAGCTCCATGGAGGCTCATATTTATTAACTCCATTTTATAGATGGGGAGCTGGACTCATTCATTAAAGGAATGGCATACTTGTCAATGCTACTTTTAGTAGTCTCCTTTCTGATAGATGTGGGCTGCTGAGGTTGCGCGGTGGCACCTTCTCTTATGCAGTTAACCTCCTCTTGTGAAAAAGGGGTTGCTGAGTCACTCGGAATAGAGCTTGAGTGTAGGAAAGCAGTTCCACCAGTGTCATTGCCCAGTTTATGTGAGGGGTAATGACTTAACCCATTTAACCCATTAGAGTCATGTCTCTTCCTCAGAACTGATAAATCAAAAATGCACTCATTGCCCAGATTAAAATTTTTTCTGAAGGAATTATTAGGCAGTGCAAATAGTTAATTCCTGAATTTATGAATCCTATTGGATTGAAATTCTTCAGTGTACATTTATGTAAAGTTGGGACTGTCTGTACATGTTTGTGTTACATAAGTATAGGATATAAATAGAAATAACTGCCTCTCCAGCCCTTTGAAAATACATTAGATTTTTGCTTTTTGCAGTAAAATTTGGGGTAAAACTGATTTGTTCTTATCTAAGAGGTATAATTACTGCAGTGCTCAGAAAAGCCTCATTATAAAGTGGGCTCCCCTGACTTGGAACTTAGGGATGTCTTCTCATGGCTGCTATGGAAGTCATGCAGCTGTTTCGTCAGGAAAATAACCAAAAACTTCTTTAAACTTGGAAATGTTTTTGTAAAAGAAACTTTCAGTATTCAGAGTAGTTTGTCTTTCACAGTGCTTCCATAAATTAAGCACAGGCACAACTCGTTTTATTATGCTTCACAGATAATTGCTTTTTTTTTGCAAATTGAAGGTTAGTGACAACCCTGTGGTAAGCGAGTCTTTTGGCACCATTTTTCCAAAAGCATGTGCTCACTTCATGTCTCTGTGTCACATTTTGGTAATTCTCGCAATATTTCTTTCTTTCTTTTTTTTTTTTTTTTTTTGAGACGGAGTTCTGCTCTGTCGCCCAGACTGGAGTGCCATGGTGCGATCTCGGCTCACTGCAACCTCCGCCTTCCGGTTTCAAGTGATTCTCCTGCCTCAGCCTCCCAAGTAGCTGGGACTACAGGCATGTGCCACCACACCTGGCTAATTTTTGTATTTTTAGTAGAGATGGGGTTTCACCATGTTGGTCAGGCTGGTCTCGAACTCCTGACCTTGTGATCTGCCTGCCTTGGCCTCCCAAAGTGCTGGGATTACAGGTGTGAGCCACCATGCCCGGCAGTTCTGCTGGGATTACAGGTGTGAGCCACTGTGCCCGGCAGTTCTCGCAATATTTCAAACTTTCTCATTATTATTAAATATTATGGGGATCTGAGATCACTGATCTTTGATGTTGCTGTTGTAATTGTTTTGAGGTGTCTGGAACCATGCCCATAGGCAGACTTAATTGATAAACATTGTGTGTGTTCTGACTGCTCTGCCAACCAGCTGTTCCCTCTCTCCATCTCCTAAGGCGTCCTTATTCCCTGAGACACAATAATACTGAAATTAGGCCAATTAATAACACTACAGTGGTTTCTGAATGTTCAAGTGAAAGGAATGTTTGCATGTCTCTTACTTTAAATCAAAAGCTAGAAATGATTAAGCATAGTGAGGAAGGCATGTCGAAAACTGAGATAAGCTGAAAGCTAGGCTTCTTGTACCAAACAGCCAATTTGTGAATGCAAATGAAAAGTTTTTGAAGGAAATTAAAAATTATATTCCAGTAAACAAATGAATGATTAGAAAGCAACACAGCCTTGTTGCTGAGCTGGAGAAAGTTTTAGTGGTCTGGATAAAAGATCAGACCAACCACAACATGCCCTTAAGTCAAAGCCTAATCTAGAGCAAAGCCCTAACTCTCTTTAATTGTATGAAGTTTGAGACAGGTGAGAAAGCTGCAAAAGATAAGTTTGAAGCTAGCAGAGGGTGGTTCATAGGTTTAAGGAAAGAACCTGTCTCCATAGCATAACTTATAGTGCAAGGTGGCTGGGGGCGGTGGCTAACACCTGTAATTTCAGCACTTTGGGAGGCTGAGGCAGGCAGATCATCTGAGGTCAGGAGTTTGAGACCAGCCTGGCCAACATGGCGAAACTCTGCCTCTAGAAAAAATACAAAAATTTGTTTTTTATATTTTTTGGTGTTGTGGTGTACACCTATAGTCCCAGCTGCTTGGGAGGCTGAGGCAGGAGAATTGCTTGAACCTGGGAAGTGGAGGTTGCAGTGAGCCACTGCAACCAAGTGGCAACCGAGATCGTGCCACTGCACTCCAGCCTGGGCGATAGAGCAAGAGTACATCTCAAAAAAAAAAAAAAAAAATCAATAGATGAGAAATTGCTTCTCAGGAATGAATAAATAAAGTAGTTTCTTGAGGTGGAATCTGCTGTTGGGGAAGATGCTTATGAACATTGTTGAAATGACAACAAAGGGTTTAGAATATTACATAAACTTAGTTGATAAAGCAGCAGCAAGGTTTGAGAGGATTGACTCCCATTTTGAAAGTAGTTCTACTGTGGGTAAAATGCTATCAAACACCATTGCAGGCTACAGAGAAATCTATCACGAAAGGAAGAATAAATCAATGCAGCAATTCACCGTTGTCTTATTTTTAGAAATTGCCATAGTCATTCCAGTCTTCAGCAGTTATCACCCTGAGTAGTCAGCAGCCATCACCCTGAGTAGGCAGCAGCCATCAACACTGAGACAAGACCCTCCACCAGCAAGAAGATAATAACTTGCTGAAGGCTCAGGTGACCCTTAGCATTTTTTAGCAAAAAAATATTTATTTATTTATTTATTTTTTCTAGATGGAGTCTCGCTCTGTTGCCCAGCCTGGAGTGCAGTGGCACGATCTTGGCTCACTGCACCCTCCACCTCCCAGGTTCAAGCAATTCTCCCACCTTAGCCTCCCGAGTAGCTGGGATTACAGGTGTGCACCACCATGCCCAGCCAATTTTTGTATTTTTAATAGAGATGGGGTTTCACCATGTTGGCTAGGCTGGTCTCAAACTCTTGACCTCAAGCGATCCTCCTGCCTCGGCCTCCCAAAGTGCTGAGAGTAATAGGTATGAGCCACTGTGCCCGGCTAATAAAATATTTTTAAATTAAGGTATGTGCATATATATATTTTTTTGACATACTGCTAGTGCATACTTAATAGACTACAGTATCATGTAAATATAACTTTTATATGCACTGGGAAACCAAAAAATTTATGTCACTCATTTTTTTGTGATATTCACTGTGTTGTGGTTGTCTGGAACTGAACTCATGATATCTTTGAGGTACACCTGTATGTATGTGTTAAGGATTTACAAAATTAACCAGCTTTCCCGTGCAGTGTTCAAGTCTTTTAATAATTTATTATAGGGAAGAAGAAGTGGTGGTTTGTAAATTCTGTACTTGACAAATGGATACTGGGTTTTGGGCATGCTTGGCTCCAAGGCTGAATGTTGGGGGAAAGAAGTATAGGAGAGTGAGGAGTCTAGGATTTCTAAGTTTTGGCCTTGGGCAAATGGATATATTTTAGTGCCATTTTCTGAACTTTGTGTTACAAAGTTACAAAAGAGTGTTACAGGGTACAAGATTGTAGAGAGAAAGGGGAAGGAGCATAGGTTCATGGTAATCTCCTTGAGGACAGGACTCATTATACCTTGAGTGCCTACCATGTATGGTTTGCCGTAAGTGCTGGAGATGAAATGTGAACAAAAGAGACAAAAATTTCTGCCTTAAGAAGCTATATTCTGGCCAGGTGCAGTGAGTGGCTCACACCTGTAATTCCTGCACTTTGGGAGGCCAAGGTAGGTTTCCTTGAGCCCAGTAGTTAGAAACCAGCATCCTGGGAAAAATGGGGAGGCTCCTCTACTAAAAAATAAAAATAAAAAATTAGGGATGCTTGGTGGCACACTCCTGTAGTTCCAACTACTTGGGAGGCTGAGGTGGAGGGATTGCTTGAGCCTAAGAGGATTGCTTGAGCCTGGGAAGTTGAGGCTGTAGTGAGCTGTGATCCTGCCACTGTACTCCAGCTTGGGTGACAGAGTGATACCCTGTCTCCAAAAAGAAAAAAAAAAGGAAGCTATATTCTAATGGGGATGGCAGTGGAAGTAGATAATAAACAAAATATATAGTGTGTCAGATAAGTGCTGTGGAGAAAATGCAAGAAGGGAAGGAGAGTGAGTGCTAGGATGGCTGTTGCACTTTTAAGAAAGGTGAATACGGTAAGCATCATTGATAAAGTAACAATTGAGCAAAAACCTGAAGAAGGTGATATAGGACACTGGTTGGACATGGGTGAGGATGTGATAACATTCTAGGCTGAGGATTAGCAAGTGTGCAAAAGCCCTGAGGTAAGGGCCCTGTGCTCCAGGAAATAGCTAAGAGACCAGTACAGCTAGAGCTAAATGAACCAGGGGCCAAATATAGGGAGAAAAGTGGGGTGAGGAGAGGGTTGCAGATATGCAGGGATCATGTAGGGTCTTATTTGCCTTTGTACAGACTGTGACTTTTCCTTTAAGTGAGAGGGGAAGCCTTGGAGGGTTATGACCAGAGGAAGGACATGACCTAAATCTTGTTTTAACAGATTACTGTGCTCTAGGGTCCCAAGTTTTTCGTTTCGGTTCCTTACCCATTCTACCCTAAACCACTACTGTGAATAGGATAGAACGGTGGAGTTAGATGAATTGGTGCAAGCCCTGACCCATGCTCACAACTCTCATTCCAGCAGTCCCAGAGTGCCAGAGCCAGTATTTTTGTTGGGCCCTAGAAATTTAGGGTATTCCAGTCCAGCTCTTTAAATAACATGGGCTGACTTTACTTTTTCAGGTTTTTGTTGCCAAAAGGAAGGAGCAGAGATTAGCTCTTGAGTTTAGCTGAAAAAGGAAGATTAGTCTGCTGGCAGATTGAGTGTTTTTTAACTTCTTTGGCTTTTAGGGTTTTTCTTACTTTTGGATCATGTTTTAAAAGTCATTTTTACCTTCTTTCAACAGTTAAACATTTAAGTTTTATTTGATTTTATTTGACCCTTTTTCTGCTTTACATTCCTCTGCCTTTTCCCCATTATAATACTTTTAGTAGAGGTTAGACCATTGTTATCTGTCATTAATGTCTTAGCTTTGAGGCCCCAAGGACTTCTCTGTTAAACTTAAATATATCATATAGATTGAAAGATTATCTACAGACATGTGATCCTATAAAAACCCATATTATTTATTGTCCTCCCTGCCTTTACAGATGTAAACCCCTCTCCTCTTTTCATCAGAGCTCCCCCTCTTTTACTGCTCTATCATCAGGTTGCAGAAAATAAGTTTTCCTGCAAACATAGATTCCCATGGCAACATAACAAAAAGGTAATAGAACAAATGTTTATTTTGTCTAGACCTGCTGTCTGAGTACCATTAGACCCTGAACATGTTGGCTCCTGTTATTTGAATATGTGGTTACAAATTCCTTATTTTCCTCAAAACTTACTTCTCTTAGGCCTTGGTGATATTGTCACTGTGCCTGTGATATGAAGGAAGGTGTGTGTGTGTGTGAGTATGTGTGTCTTACTGTCATTCTACTCAAAAGTGTGTATTGATTGCATTTTCAAACTTATGGCTTAAAATGTAGACACCACACAATCTGAGCATGTGAAGAAAAAAAGCATACCAGTTTTGTTCTTTGTTTTCGTAAGTTCATTAATTTAATATTTCCAGTGCACTATACTAGATATTTTGTTTACAGAGATTTTAAAAAAAAGAAGGGTCCCTCCTTTCGAAAGTATCAGTCCAGGCTGGGTGCAGTGGCTCACGCCTGTAATCCCAGCACTTTGGGAGGCCAAGGTGGGCGGATCACTTGAGGTCAGGAGTTTGAGATCAGCCTGGCCAACATGGTGAAACCCCATCTCTACAAAAATTAGTTGGGCATGGTGGTGTGTGCCTGTAATCCCAGCTATTCAGGAGGCTGAGGCACAAGAATCACTTGAACCCGGGAGGCGGAGGTTGCAGTGAGCCGAGATCACTCCCCTGCACTCCTGTCTGGGCGATAGAGCAAGACTCAGTCTCAAAAAAAAAAAAAAAAAGAAAGTATCAGTCCAGAGGAGACATATTTATGTTTCCTCATAGATGGCTTTGGAAGTCCTCTGTAGTTTTGGATCTTGAAGCATTTTAGGTTTTGGATTTTCAGATTAGGGATACTCAACCTGTATAACCCAGGGTAATTCAACCTATTGACACTTTAGGTGGGATAATGTTTTGTTGTGGGGGACTGACCTGTGCAGTGTAGTATGTTTAGCAGCATCCCTGTCTCCAACTCACTGTATACTAATAGCAATTCCCAGTTGTGACAACCAAAAATGTCTAGACATTGCCACATATCTCTTGACGGGTAGGGAGGGCAAAATCACCTTTAGTTGAGAACCACTTATATAACCCTATATATTTGGATTGATAACCCTGTATATTTGATTGAGTAAAAACTAGATGGGATAACATGAACCTTCCACCTGCAAAAAGGCAGAAATGCTATACTTTCTGCATTATAAATTGGGCCTCTCTAAACATGATTTTTGTTATTTCTAGGAGAGTAACAGCATTTCTAATGGTCAAGGTCCTAGCTATAACCCAATAAGCTTAATGGATGGGAGAACTTGCACAAGCATGTTTGCAAGAGGCCAGGTGTATCACTGGCACATTTGAGAAACAACTAATTAGTGAGGGAGACCCAATTTTCATGAATAATTGTGTTTTGTCATTGTCATGGCCCCAACTTAGGGTGTTTTGAATTTTTTCTGGAAAGGAAATTAGCATGAAGTCCAAGTTGGTAGGTAGGTAGCATTTTCCCTAGTGTCTCTTCTGGTATTCTGTGTCCTTTCTCTCCTGTCTTCTTTCAGTATTTAGCGTTTTCAAACTCCTAGAAATAAAATGCTGTTTAGAAGACCACAAAGAGAGCTGCACATAAACTAAGGAGCAAGAAGTAGTACATTGTGAATTAATTTTCTGTATGTTTTTGAAGGTTCTTGCATCTGGGAAGGCTTGCTTAGTTTTAAAAATATTAGGTAATAACAGACTGAAATTTTGAAGATCTTGTGGATCTCAGGTAGCAGTAACTCAGGAAGATCAGCCTTCTTTGATTTAGAATGTCATTTAGGCACATTATGTATTCTGGTACCTTAGAAGATACAATGCATTTTCCTGAATTATCATTGCTACTGCTTTAATTACTTTAAGGGTGTGAGGCAGTAACTAACTTTAGTGTCACAATGTATACATCTTAACATTTATTGTGCTCTTTTTTTTTTTTTTAAACACCACCTTAAAGTACTCTGCTATTCAGATTTTTCCTTGTGTTTCTCTAATTCTCCTATTTCATCCATTGGTCAGTTTTTTCTTCCTCTTTTCTTTCTGCTCCATGATCCATTCTTAAATTTTCTTTTCTCTTTCTGTGCATATTCTTTTTGAATTCATTATCTGATAGTCTCAACAATGGTCTTGTTCATATACTATCCTTCCAAATTTGTACTTTCAAACCTAATCTCAAGAATGACTGATCCTTTGGATTCTAAATCTATTGAGATGTAATGTTTCATGCTTTTCCTTGATTACTTTCCTACACACTTCTTGAAGATACCAGAGATGTAGCACTAACTTCCGTTGGAATGGGATTCATGTTACAAGCTTGAATGGTTCAGTTTAGATATGTGAAGCGGATGTCATCATTAGCACTGATGACTGACAGTAGTTATAAAAATTACAATCAGGAATGAACCAATTTACCTGAAGTTTTCAATAACTCTAGGTATTAATGCAACATAATTTTGAAAGTTTGAAATATATAGGTATAAATATTGATGCTTATATTTTAGATTTACTGTAGTGAAGGAAATTTGCCAGTCGTCCATCAGTGTTAAATGCCCACCAATGTGTAAAAGAAATAGACCTAAAATATTAATAAATTGTGTATATATGTATGAAGGTATTGATGTGTACAGAGAAGTGGAGACATTGTGAGTTATAGTGGTCAGTATGGTTTTATGGAGCAGAAAGGATTTGAAGATTATTTAGAAAGATGGGTATTTGGAGAGAAGAAAAGGAAACATTTTCAGACAAGAGAAAACATAAACCAAGAGAATAGATATGAAAAGGACTGTTCTGACAGGAGGAACATCTCAGGTAGGGTGAACCCAGTTGTGGTTCTCATTCTTGTTGTGCTTCAGACTCACTTGTGGAACTTTTAAACATACCTCTGGAAATTAAGAATGAGATCTGGAGTGGGACTTAGGCAGTTGCATTTCTAAAAAGTCTACAAATGGTTCTTTAGGTAGTAGAGAGCTGTTGGAGTTTCTTGAGTTGTGAACTGTGGAGGAAAATTGTTTTAAAATTGGTCTTGGTGGAGTGTAAAGAATGGATTAGAGGAAACAAATGTATTGCTTTGTCAAAGTCTGGTAAATTTATGTGTGCCTCTGTTCATTTTGACTCCTCGGCTAGATTTCTTAGTTCCTTGAGGTCATAAACAATCAGCTTTTAAAGCTTCAGTGAAGGAATATCTTTTTTTTTTTTTTTTTTTTTGGCTGGGTTGGGGGACAGGGTTTTGCTCTGTCACCTGGGTGGAAGTGTAGTTACGCAGTCAATGGCTCACTGCAGCCTTGAACTCCTGAGTTCAAGTGATCTTCCTACCTCAGCCACCCAAAGTAGCTGAGACTACAGGTGTGTGCCGCCATGCCCACCTAATTTTTTTTTTTTTTCGTAGACACGAGGTCTCACTATGTCATGAAGTTGCCCAGGCTGGTCTTGAACTCCTGAGCTCAAGCTTCCTCCTGCCTCAGACTTCCGAAGTGCTAGGATTACAGGTGTGAGCCACCGCACCTAGCAGGAAACATCTTATAAAATCATTCTACTTTCATTTGGAACTTGCAGGCTCGTGCCTGCAATCCCAGCACTTTGGCAGGCTGAGGCAGGTGAATTACTTGAGCTCAGGAGCTCAGGATTTCTAAACCAGCCTGGGCAACATGGTGAAACTTTGTCTCTACCAAAAATATAAAAAAATTAGCCAGGCGTCGTGGTGTGCCTCAGTAGTAGCAGCTACTCGGGAAGCTGAGGTGGGAGGTTTGTTGGGGCCTGGGAAGTCAAAGCTGCATTGAGCCGTGATCATGCCACCACACTCTAGCCTGGGCAACAGAGCAAGACCCCGTCTCAAAAAAAAAAATTAAAAATGAAAGTAAGTTTCATTAAAAAATACTATATATGTAATTACAGTGGTGAAATTGTTTTGTGATTAAATAAATACTGTTGTGTTGACATTAAAACAAGATATTTGAGAGTTAGCGAAGATATTAAAGCTAATGTTTTAAATTTTGAGTTTTTAAAGTCAATCTTAAATCTCCTGCTACTCTGAAGAAGATAAATGTATATAATTTTAATTTTTCTATTTCACTAGGTTTGAAGAATATTTTTTGAGGTTCCTAAATCAAAACTTAAGTTCCAATTTTTGCATAAAGTTGCCTTTATTTTCAAGACGTTATTTCCAAAATGGCAGGACAGAGCATCCGCTTCAGAGCAACAGTGATATTTGCACATTTACTTGAATATGGAAGGAAGAAAAGCTAGGCTTCTGTAATAGAATGTAACATGTGCAGAAAAATATTTCCAGTATGTCATTTATTGAAATTTGTTCCAGGTGCTACAGGTAAAGAGAAAGTTCCAAGTTAGTGGTCTTAATTATTTAGTTATTTAGAAGGCAAGTTTTGAAGACTATTATTAATTATCCTGATTCAGTTGGAAAAAAAGCCTGAAATTGTATGATCCGGAGAAGAGGTGTCATGTTTTTGCAAATTATTTCTTCTCACTTTATAGATATTCTTTTTTCTTTTTCTTTCTTTTTTTTTTTTTTTTTTTTTTTGAGATGGAGTTTCGCTCTTGTTGCCCAGGCTGGAGTGCAATGGCACAATCTCAGCTCACCACAACCTCTACCTCCCGGGTTCAAGCGATTCTCCTGTGTCAGCCTCCCAAGTAGCTGAGATTATAGGCATGCACCACCACACCTGGCTAATTTTGTATTTTTAGTAGAGACGGGATTTCTCCATGTTGGTCAGGCTGGTCGCGAATACCCAACCTCAGGTGATCTGCCCACCTCGGCCTCCCAAAGTTCTGGGATTACAGTCGTGAGCCACCGCACCCGGCCCTCACTTTATAGATATTCTAATGAATTTAATGTATTAATGAGACTTTGCTAATTCAGTGTAACTACAGATTTCAATATATTTAAATATTTCCATTAACTTCCAAAAGTAAACCAAATTGTGTTTATCTTCTTAGAAGTCATCTATGACCATTGAAAGAAATTGTAAAATCACTTACGATCCCCACAAATTACTCAAAGACTTGCTGAGTGATTACTCATTCTTCATATTCTGTTGATGAAAACACAGATTGTTTTTTGAGGAAAATCATGGTGCAGTCGTTTGTACTTTAATACTCTGTGGACATGGGCACTTGTCCAGCACCTTACCTTTCTTAAGAGGTTGTCTCCCTTTCTCTACTCAGCTGATGTTAAATTTATTGATCTGCCATTACCTTATAACAGAAAATCTACAAGTCAGGTGCCCATCATGGAATATAAACACAAGTTCCCTATATCTCTATACCTATCAAAAGCTCAGTTGACAGCCGAACATGGTGGCTCATGCCTGTAACCCAAACACTTTGAGAGGCTGAGGTGGGAGGATCGCCTGAGGCCAGGAGTTCGAGACCAGCCTGGGCAACAAGCAAGGCCCCATCTCTACAAAAGAAAATTTTAAAAATAATAAACAAAAAGCTCATTGATAGCTCCAGTCATCTTTGGAGGATTGTCTGAAGAATATGGAGCTTATCTGTTTTTCTAAATGTATTTAAGATTTCCTCTTGGATTAAGTCTGTCAGAGAGGCCAGGTATGGTGGCTCATGCCTGTAACCCCTGTACTTATTGGGAGTCCAAGGCAGGAGGATCACTTAGCCTAGGAGTTCAAGACCAGCCTAGGGAACATAGTGGGACCCTGTGTCTACAAAAATCAAAATAATTAGCGAAGCTTGGTGGCACATGCCTGTAGTCCTGGCTACCCAGGAGGCTAAGGTTGGAGGATTGCTTGAGGCCAGGAGGTTGAGGCTGCAGTGAGCCATGATTACATGACTCCACTCCAGCCTGGATGACAGAGTGAGACCTTAAAGAAAAAAAAAAAAAGCAACACCGTAATATTTTGTACTCCTACCCTCTTTGCTAATAATGAACTGTATTTTGGCCTTACGACAGCAATCTGTACTGATGGATGCTCTAAAAAGAAAACCATCTGAAACCCACTATTATATTCTTTTAAAGATGTTGATTAGGACATTTTTACCACATTATATGTCTCCTTCTTGAACAGACACAGAATGAACTTTTCCCTGGTTTATTACAGGAATAATTATGCCTCTCTTCAGCTCTCCTGAGTACCTGGTTGGTTTTTATTGTATGGCTTCTGTGATTCATGTCCTAACTGATTCTGTTCTCTTTGTTAATGGCTTTAGTGAGCTTTGAGCCAAATTTGAGGCCTACCTCTAATGGGTATTTAAAAAGGACCTCTGGCCGGGTGTGGTGGCTCACGCCTGTAATCCCAGCCCTTTGGGAGGCTGAGGTGGGCGGATCACGAGATCAGGAGATCGAGACCATCCTGGCTAACACGGTGAAACCCCATCTCTACTAAAAATACAAAAAAACTAGCTGGGTGTGGTGGCATGCACCTGTAGTCCCAGCTGCTGGGGAGGCTGAGGCAGGAGAATGGCGTGAACCCGGGAGGCGGTGCTTGCAGTGAGCCGAGATCGCGCCACTGCACTCCAGCCTGGGTGACACAGCAAGACTCTGTCTCAAAAAAAAAAAAAAAAAAAAAAAAAGAAAGAAAGGACCTCATGATATATGCTAACCTCAGCTGTACAGACTTTCTTATTTTCCCTTAATCACTTACCATTTTGTCAGGTTTTATATATATAATTCCAGTCTGCTTTAAATCCATTGTGAATAAAGGAAGGTATACATCAATAAATTTAGAAGTTAAACAGAATTATATTAGGATATATGAAGAATCTAGTAACCCACATTTTCTATGTGTGTGTGACACAAGGGGAGGCAAGTATGAATGTGTAACAAAACATTGAAGTTTATTTAATGATTATCCTTGTGTGTTATGTACTGGATTCACGGTCAGCAGTAGATGAGTGAGAATGACATCCTAATATTGTAATAACTGCTTCTAATTTTTATATTTCTTTCAGTTATTTTTTACTATACCAATGATTTTATAAAATGTGAATTAATTTGATAATTTTGGAAAAGTTCATGTAAATTCACAATTGGGGGAAAAACTTGTTAAACAGTATGTCCTGAATTTTAGTTTGGAGAACCTGTTTATCATAAAGATAATTTCATTTTATGATGTTGTTCATGAAAACAAGGTTTTACTTGTAGCTCTACTTTTACAGATGTGATTGAGAGGCGTATTTGAGCTTTGCCATGGACCAAGCTCCTTGCCAAACCTACTATAAAAGTTATTACATTTAATCCTAACATATCCAACAGATGAAATATAAACATAATTCTCATTTCATGAAAGAATTTAATTAACATCCTCAAGATTATATAGCTATTAAGTGGCAGAACTGGAATTAAAATCCAGATAGTCTAATTCCAAAGTCCCAGCTCTTATTTAATCACTCTGTTGGAGTATTATAAACATGTAATAATAAATTGTGATTGTTGGGGTCTATAGGGTACTGATTAATTCTAGCCTGCCTTTTGCTGAATAGATTCAGGAGTCAAATAGAGATAAAAATATTTACTTTTATTAGTAAAGCTGGCATGCAGAGTGCCTTGGGCGGGCAACTCAAGTGGGCTTCTTATTTCTTCCCCAGTTAATTGAACTTGCACACTTAATCAGTCAGATCAGCTAGAAAACTGCTGCTGTTCCTTGCTCCCCAGCAGGCTTACCAATGGAGGAGAGAAGAAAGTGTTCAGCTTGCAGGTGGAAGGCAAACTCTGAGGTGGGAAGTTGAAGAAGCTGGGTCCCACAGGGGCAATGGCCATTTTTCCAGTCTCACCAGAGCTAGTTTAGAGAACTGGGTTTAGAGATGAGTATACATTTACTTGCTACTTTTGAGAGGGAAGAAGTTACTAATTTATGGGTTTGTAGGAGCAATGGGAGTGGAAAAGAAGAGAACCACCACCCTCTTTTATGTGAGATAAGGAAGGAGTCAGTGAGGGTGTTGTGACAGAGTAATGGCTTCTTAGAGGTCCCTAACAGGTTCCTGAGCAGGTGACTATTTAAACCAATACTTGAAGGATAAGGATTTAGCTATGGGGTGGGATGGGGGCGGAGGAGAAGAAAATCCTAGGAACCAGGAGCAGCCTGTCTGAATAGTTAAAAGAACTGAAAGGAGCTAGCAGAACATAGCAGCTGAGAGAGAGGGAAAGAGTAGCACAGGAACAGGTGGAATAATCAGTGGTGACCAGATCACCTGGGCCTTGTAGGCCATCATGAGAAATTTGCATTTTACTCTGTATGCCAAGGAGATTCCTTGAATGGTTTGAAGGAGGGGAGTGTTGTGATCTAATTTGTACTTTTATTGCTATTTTTTATTTTTCATTTTTGAGACAGTCTCACTGTATCTTCCAGGCTAGAGTGCAGTGGTGCCATCATGGCGCACCACAACAAGGTTGAGCAGCTTCAGCCTTCCTGGGCTCAAGCAATCTTCCTGCCTCAGCCTCCCAAGTAGCTGGGCATGGTGGCCCATGCCTGACTAATTTTTTTTTTTTTTTTGAGATGAAGTTTTGCTCTTGTTGCCCAGGCTGGAGTGCAATGGCATGATCTCAGCTCACTGCAACCTCCACCTCCCTGGTTCAAGCAATTCTCCTGCCTCAGCCTCCCGAGTAGCTGGGATTACAGGTGCCTGCCACCACACCCAGCTAATTTTTTTAAATATATATTTTTAGTAGAGATGGGGTTTCACCATGTTGGCCAGGCTGGTCTCAAACTCCTAACCTTAGCCTCCCAAAGTGCTGGGATTATAGGCGTGAGCCACTGCGCCTGGCTGCCTAATTTTTAATTTATTTATTATTATTTTTTTGAGACAGAGTCTCACTCTGTTGCTAAGGCTTGAGTGCAGTGATGCAATCTCGGCTCAGTGCAACCTCCACCTCCTGGATTCAAGTGATCCTCCCACCTCAGACTCTCAAGTAGCTGGGGTTACAAGTGTGTGCCACCACACCCCACTAATTTTTATATTTTTTTAGTAGAGACGGGTTTCACCATGTTGGCCAGACTGGTATTGAACTCCTGACCTCAAGTGATCCACCCGCCTTGGCCTCACAAAGTGCTGGGATTACAGGCGTGAGCCACTGCACCCAACCCGTTTTTTATTTTTTGCAGAGACAGGGTCTTGCTATGTTGCTCAGGCTGATCTCAAACTTCTGGGCTCAAGCAATCCTCCTGCCCTGGCCTCCCAAAGTGCTAGGATTACAGGCTTGAGCCATTGTGCCTGGCATAATTTATATTTTTAAAAGACTGTATTGGATGCATTTGGAAAGCATATTAGAAGGAGGTAGGCCAGTGACATGGACTAATATGATATTGGTGAAATGAAGAGCAGTTGACTTTGAGACGTCTTTTGGAGGTGAAAACCATGAGACTTGCCAATAGATTTGAATGAGGACTGAGGAAAGGGAGAAATCAAGGATGACAATCAAATGTCTAGCTCGAGCAACTGGATGAACAGTCCATTTATTGAGATAACAGAGCCATGGAGAAGAATAGTTCTGGGTGTTTTGAACTTGGTACGCTTCAGGTGCTTATGTGTCTTTCTTATGGAGACATCAGGGCTCAGAGAAGAGATTTCAGTGAGAGACATAAATTTGGGAGTTTTCAATATATAGATGGCATTTAATTTAAAGTCATGGGCATAGATGAGATTATCTAGAAAGAGAATGTGGGAGAGAGAAGAGGGCCCAGTACCAAGTCCTGAAGAACTCCAACATACAGAGTTTGAGTAGAAGCAGCACATGCAGTGGAGACAGAGATGGAGCTGCCAGAGGGGTCATAGAAAACCAATGGAAGTGTTGATATAGACTCCAGGATGGACAGTATTTAGAGAAAGTGGTGACTATGTCAATTACTAATCTTAGAAAAGTGGATTTGGTAGCAGAGGTCATTAATGACCTTGAGAAGAGCAGTTTCAGTGGAATTGGATTGAGGAAAGAATGGGATTGAAATGAGTCAGTTGTGTAGATGTGTGCTTCTCACACCTTAAGAGGTATATTAATCACCTGGAAATCTTGTCAAAAAGTAAATTCTATTTTAGGGCCCAAGATCTCCTTTCCTTTCCTTTTCCTTTCTTTTCTTTTTTCCTTTCCTGTTGTCTGCAGAGATCCTGCATTTTCTAATGAGCTCCCAGATAATGTCAATGCTGCCGGTCCATGGAGCACACTTTGAATAGCAAAGGTATAAATTAGTGGTTCTCAAACTGTAATATGTATTAGAATAACATGGAGAGCTTGATAAAATACAGATTATTAGACCCACTTCAAAGTTTCTTATTCCATTAACTCTGGGGTGGTACCTGAGAATTTTCATTTCTTATAAATTCCCAGGTGAAACTGATGCTGCTGATCTGGGAACCTCTGGTGTAGGTGACTTTTTTGGAGAATTTTAACTGTGATGGAGAACTGTTAAGGGAAGTCTTTTGTTTGTTGGCTGAAGGCGGTAAACAAGTAGAGCAAATTTATGCTGATGAGAATGGTCCAGTAGATAGGGAGACACTGATGATGCAAGAGAGAAGAGGAATGAAGAAGTGAAATCCTTGAGAAGATGAGGGAGGTGGCTCCAAAGCATGTATTGTGGTCTTGAATTTTGATAAGCAGGGGCATATTCTTAGTTATAGCAAGAGGGAAGGTGGAGACGATGGGTTTATAGATTTGGGGCTAAGCAAATGGAGCTCCCCTCCTGATGGTTTCTGTTTTCTCAGTGAAGGCAAGGGCAACTCTTGAGGGAAGAGGGTGAATTGGAGATTTGAGAGAGAACATGTCAAACGATCATTTTCGAGTAGGAAAATGAACTTACTAGAAGAAAATGGCTTTATTGAGAGCCTCTTTGAGATTAAGGTCAGAAACTAAGAATGAAAATCTGATTCTACAGTCTTTCTTGTTCAACCTCAGTTCCTTGGATTCAGTCATGGAGAATTAAGTGGTTGAGATTACCCAAGGTTAGACTTTATCCAGGTGAGTACATCAGAGAGACAGACAGACAGAGAGAGAGAAGTGCAAGGGAGTGATTATAATCATGGAACAGGAAGGGAGATGAAGACAGAAGAGGGCTGAAGGATAGAAACAAGCAATGACAATGAGGTTAACAAATTGTTGTAGTCAGGGTACAAGTAAACTAGAGGTAACTAGGTTTTTGATGAAAAGCAAATGCTGCTGGCATTCAAAATTTTGTAGGTGGGGCAGTTTTTGGTAGGAATAAAGGTCTAGAATGTGACCATGAAGATGGCTGGGTGTGGTGGAGTTTCCTAGAGAGGTCAGGAAACAGGATGTTGGGTGTGCCGTTCACCTGGATGTTGAAGTTGCCAAGAATGATGACAGAAGTTGAGAGTGTAGAGAGATCTTCTGGATAGAAACTAACTTTTCAATGAATGATGGAAAATTTCAGGTCAGTGGATACCTGCAGCAGAGAGGGATAGTTTATCAGGGTTGTGAGCAGGAGGTATTTTATAGAACAAACGGAAAGTAATGGTCCTGAAGTGGTAACGGCTGCCAAGGAAGACTCCTACGCACCTGCTAGCCAGGAGGTATCTGGGCTATTAGAGAATGCTTTCTAATGGCAGGGCTATAAGAGAAGCAGTGTCTTCTAGAAATGGCCTAGTTTCAGAGATGGAGGGGAGGTTCAGAAAAGAGGTTGAAGATTTATAGGAGTTTATCACAAATTGGGATTTGAAGATTGAGGGTATGCCATAAAAGTTTGGGAGTGAAAGGAAGGGCACTGGAGTAGGTACAGAGTTGTAAAAGCAAGTTTGGCAGGCAGAGAGTTTGGTGATAACAGATGACCAGAAAGTCTTGGATACATGTTAGAGACTGAGACAAACTGGAGGATGAGGCATAATGGAACTGGCCCAGACAATTTCTGTTATTACTATTTTTTTTTTTTTTTGAGACCGAGTTTCACTCTTATTGCCAGGCTGGAGTGCGATGGTGCAATCTCAGCTCACTGCAACCTCCGCCTCCTGGGATCAAGTGATTCTCCTGCCTCAGCCTCCTGAGTAGCTGGGATTACAGGCACCTGCCACTGCGCCTAATTTTGTATTTTTAGTAGAGATGGGGTTTCACCATCTTGGTCAGACTGGTCTCGAGCTCCTGACCTCGTGATCCTCCCGCCTCGGCCTCCCAAGGTGCTGGATTACAGGCATGAGCCACTGTGCCTGGCGACGATTTCTAAAAATAATTAAAATACACATCGCATTTTTGCTATAGATGTCCTCCATGATCTAGCTGCTGCCTGCATCTCTTACGTCATCCCTTCCCACTCTCCCCTTGCTCCCTGTGCTCTACCCACACAGCCTTTCTGTCTTTCTGTCACTCACTCCAGCATGCCATACGTTTCCTACCTCTGTTTCTTTTTTCGTTTGTTTGCACTTGCTCTTCTGAGAGATAGCAGAGTCAAGTGGTCAGTAGCATAAGCTCTGGATCCAGACTCCCTGCTCTGCCGCTTTTAAGCTTTGTGACCGTGGTCAAGTTACCTAACTTCTCTCTGCTTCAGTTTCTTACTTGTAAGTGGGAGAATGATAATAGTACTTATTTCATAGGGGATTCGGGGAAATACAAAAGCTGAATTGAGACAAATAAATGTAAAGGGCTTAGAACAATTTCTTGTATGTGTGGGTAAAGACTCTATAAACATTAATATTATTATTATTTCTTCTGCTTGAAGCTCTTTTTCTTATATATTTATATAGGGAATTTAATCATTATATTGTTTCCTTCTCAGCTCAGATGTCATTCCTCAGCCATCCTAGCTAAAGTGGTATAACTCCACTGGCTTTCTGTCACTCTTTATCCCATTACCCTTTTATTTAGTCATAGTATTTTCATCACTACTTGAAATTATTTTATTATTCTGTTCTGCTCTTCCCCCATTCCCTGAAGGTGCCAAGTACTTTGTAGGTGCTCAAGAAATATTTGTGGCAATTTATTGTCCTGAAAACATGGTTTCCTGGGCCTCGACTCTGAGCAGGCAGCAGATGTGGCAAGGTGACGACAGTGAGGCCTAGGCAGGGAAGACAGAATTCAACTCTGTTTATTAATCTGTTGGCTCATCTAGATCAGGCAGCTGCCAGTTTTTGTAAATTTTATTAGAACACAGCCACACCCATTTTAAAACTTATTTTCTGGCTGCTTTCCTCATACAACCACAGAGTTGAGTAGTTGTGACAGAGGTCTTACTTACAAAGTTGAAAATATTACTATCTGGCCCTTCATTGAAAAAAATTTGCTGACTTCTGATTTAGATACATAGAAAAGACAAGGAGAAAACACCAAAAATAATAACAGAAGCTTTATTTGGATAATGGGATAATAGGTCATTTTGCTTTTTATCTTTATGCTTTTTTTTGGTATTTTGTTATAGACCCTTTAATTTGGAAATAGCCTTATAAATACCCCAAAATAATATTTAGAACAGCTTTTTAATGGTGGGTTTTTTCCCTTTTTTCTCCTTAGTGCTGCTTTTGACACAAAAACGGGGTTACGTGTGGCAGTGAAGAAGCTCTCCAGACCATTTCAGTCCATCATTCATGCGAAAAGAACCTACAGAGAACTGCGGTTACTTAAACATATGAAACATGAAAATGTAAGTTATTCATTCAAGGAAGAATACATTTTGATCTTGAATAGACTGGGGAAAAATGTTTTAATTACTGCAGATGGAAATACGCTGGAGTGCATCAAACGTTGGTCCCTGCTCCTTGTCCTGGGGTGTTAGTGGCCACTTGGTTATGTCAGGTCAAAGACTTGGAATGAAAGTGATGCATCTTCCTGGAGTTTTAGTTTTACTCAAAGATTTTTAGAGGAGAAAGAACTCTTTAAAATTTTAAAATTAAAGGATATGTTATGAAATACAACACAAAATTCACAATAATTTTTAAGAGAAAATATTAAAAAGAAGTTATGTATTCTTTGCCTGGTTTTCCTAAGGCTATATTATGAGAATATGGGAGTCTGTGGCTATTAAAAGACAAAATAGCCACAGACTCCCATATTCTCATAATATAGCCTTAATATTTTTAAGTGGAAAAATCTGAGAAAGAGTGCCTTAGGCTCACTGAAAGTCCTATCAGAGATGGCTATTATTTTATATATTTGTTAATAATTTTTCTTTTTTTCCAGATTCACGTATTTTAATAAATATGTCAGAGGCATTGTTTAAGTTAAATATAACTTTTTCTTTTTTACCAATTTGTTGATTCAGTTGCCATTCTGCAAAGATGCTTACAAATTCTAATACGATAAATAAGTGGATATAATTGGAATACTAACTGAAAGTAAAAAGACAGTTGACTGAAGACACTTATTTTACTGAATTTCAAAATCAAGTTATGAATTTCTGTGACTGCTATATGAAGGGTACTGTGAAGTTTGTAGCATTGTGGAAACAATGGCCATAGAGATTTCAAAGTCCTCTGGCTGTACTGCTTGTTACCTTGTGGAAGAAAATTCAAAATCTGTGAATTTATTATTTGACTATTTAGACTGTTTTAGTAATTTAACTTCTTCATAGCGAGAAAAAAGTCACAGATAAGTGACTCTTCATTAGCGTACATTTGTTTCATTAGTGCAAATTTCTTCTAAATTGAGAACATTAAGACTTAAATTTGTAATTGGATTATGGATGCCATTATAATCACAGCTGCTGCTTTTTATTTTCACATTTTATTTTGATTGTATGCTATTGAGGAAATCCTATTTCTACAGACAACTTCTATTCCTGAGTATAATTTTACTTAAGTAGCTATGTGCAAACCAGAGTTTTAAGAATGTTCAGTGTGAAGCTGCAGCCTTCCTAATCAGTGACATGTTTACAAGAAGTTGAGATATGCGGAAAAAGCTGGCAGCAGAAACTTTATTCCTAGGTCTGCATAAAATCAAAGTGGCCTGGCAGCTTTAAGGGATGTGTTTGCGTTTGATTTTTAACACATTTAAGTGTGTATGCTGTTTTTCATTACACATTATTATATGTGACAGAGACAGTGTCACAGCTTTGCAAGTATAAAGGATATTTTGAAAGTGAAATGCAAGCCAAACATTTATGGAACCCCAGAGCACCTTTGGGAGCCACTAGGATCCTATTGATGTGGCTATGCTAATTTAAGAACATCTGGTTTAGGAGATTATCAGTGCTACACTGATTGTTTTGCTTTTCTTCATAAATATGTTAAGCCAATGTTTAGGGATCATGGTATTAGAAAAATAGGATTTTAATTTCTATACATTGTTTTATAAGTGGCTTGCTTACTAGCAGTCTTTTTTTTATATAAAGATGTTTAAGTTCTAACAGTTGGTGGTCACCTAGATATCAGTGATTTGTTATTTAAACAAAATAAGGCACATGGCTGAATGTCTCATAGTTCTCTATTCCATTGGCAAATGTTTGAAGCCAAAAGACTTGACTCAATGTAGAAAAATTCCTGCATTTTAGCCTATTTTGAAAACATTTGTTAGGTGCTTATAATGTCAAAGTAGTTTTACCCAATAAAGAACCAAAACTTCCGGTAAGTTTAATTGAGGGTTTTCAGAGAAATTCATCTCGTTTACCCTCCTCTTCTTTTTTAAAAAATTACTGTTTTGGGTCACCATCCAATTTTTATAGCGGCCAAACCTCCCACAGGCAGCAGCAACAGGCGCTTAAAACTTGTGAACATTTTAGGTGTTGGTAACAAATACAATTTTCAGGTGCCAGAGGGCACATGTGATCTTTTACACAAAAATGCCTCTGACCCACAATCGGTAGTTCATCTTGAATTGTCTCTTCTGTTAGTGATCATGAATAATAGATAAACATTTATTAGGTGAGTGACTGAAGCTAGGGGATGTCCTCTGTGACTGTGAGAGTTTCTCTCTGAACAAAGTTAGTTGGACCATTCCTGATTGAACTTCTGACCTTGATCTCGTTAACACCTGCTCTAAGGAAAGATTAAAGGGAGGCAGCCTGCCAGCTGCATCCTTTGCTGTCTGGGCAGACACTACAGAGATGGCCCATATATGGGCCTAGAGATCTGTACATTTTAGAATTTAAAAATGATCAAGGAAATTGTTTTGTAAATTTTATTTGGGAGCCTTAGATTTAACCTTACCATTGTAGACCAAGAGATTGTTTTGGTGTGCTTTTGTTAAATATGCTAAATATTGTCTCTGGATACTGAGTTAAAGTATTTTTTTTTGGATGTGTGCTAATTTAATAAAAATACGACTTAATATTTGCCAGGCTTTGGACCATGATGGGATAATCATTAGAGATATTTGCTGCTTATTTGTATTATGAATGTCTTTTCTAAAAATTTGATTCCTGGGTTACTTTGAGGTGACTGAAGTCATGTAACAGCAGAAGGAGTTAAGGAAATAGACTAAAATATGACTTGATTTAGAAGGGAATTTCCATTTAAGAAATGAGAAATGGCTGGGCGCAGTGGCTCATGCCTGTAATCCTAGCACTTTGGGAGGCCAAGGTGGGTGGATTGCTTGAACCCAGAAGTTTGAGACCAGCCTGGGCAACATGGCAAAAACCAGTCTCTATTATTATATTAAAAAAAAAAAAAAGAAATGAGAAATGAATAGATTCCTAAAATATTTTCCAGATCTATTTTAATGCTGATAAGCTTTTGTTTTACAGTATTTTCCTTATGATTAATATTCATAAGTATGATTAATGGAGTGAGGGATATTTTGTAAAAACCCATCAAAAATTTAAGTACTTTGATTTAGCATGGGTAGTTTTAATCTCAAAATTGTTATTTTCGGTGTGCTTATGTTAAACACATTAAATATTGTAAATATTGCCCTTTTTAGGAAATTAAAATTTGGTAGGGTATTTACTAGTTGGCTTTTCTCTATTTTTTTTCAGGTTACTTTATTTTTCTTCTTGCAGTCATGGTTTTTAATCATTTGAATAGTTGAGCTTTATGTCTCATATTCTGTTAATGGAAGTAGCTGCTTCAGATAGTTTGCTTAGGTATATTGTATTTTGTAATTGTCTATTCAACTGTGTGGGCTGTGGTCACCACTTATTTTGATGATCCACAGTGGGTCAGCCTTTTGTACTAGGCACCTTCAGATACATTGTCTGCTCAGTCTTGCTGTCAGTACTGTGAAAATAAGCAATGATGTCCTCATGTTTTTCATATGAGGAAAATGGGACTCAGAGAAGATACCAAATGTATTTGCCAATTATTATTTACATAACAGCCATTCATTGAACTCCTGCTGAATGCCAGGCTCCATTCCAAGTGCCAGCGTTATTGGAATGAAGAAATTATAAGCTCTTGGACCCAAGAAATCACAAACTGATACTGGGGTTCAAACTTACAGCTGCTTGGTTCCAAAATGTCTGTTGTGTTTTCAGTTTGAAATTGGAGTTTTTATTTGAAAATAGTTTTGACTTTTGTCTTTTGAGGTAACTCTTGCATGTGTAAATCAGATCTCTAATGATTTAGTTTTATTTCCATAGGAGGATTTTCACAATCACAATGGAAACACTGTAAAACAATGTAAATAGTTTTAAACTTTTCTATTGTTTTGAGGAGATGGGCATCTCAGATAACAAGAATCATTGATTAGAAAATATTGGAACGGTGAATAAAGTTAGCTTCTAGACCTCAGTTACCTTAAGTAGAAGTGGGTATAAGGGAGAGTGATTAAAAGACCAGAGGTCTTAAGCCAGGAGTATACCAAACTCAAGGGAAACGATTATGGTTTAGATGGAGAAGGTAAAAGGAAATGGATTTGACTTAAATTTAAAGCACTATTGTGAATGAGGTCACAGGTACTCTATTGGGAGGCATGTAAGTTGGCCTTACCTCTATGGAGGACCATTTGACAATATTAAGATCCTTAAATATATTGGTGTCCTTTGATTCTGTAATTCTGTTTCTTGAAATTTATTTCCTGGAAGAAAATATGAGATGTGCAAAATACATATATTTTTCTTGCAGTATTCCTTAAATGTCTAGAGATAGGAAATTGGTTAAGTTATGGTATACACAAATGATAGATATGCTGTATACAAATATTTAAATATTAAGTAAAAAGGCAGGATATAAAACTATGCATGGTGTAACCCCAATTTAATTTATGTACATCAGAAAATCAAAGGAAATATATCTCAAAATGTTAATGATAGTTATAATGGGTGGTATAATTATGGGTAATTTTGGTTTTCTTATGTACTGTTGTCTGGGTAAGATCTGAAAGTGATTCTATTTCCTTTGGAACAATTTTCAAGGACTTGAAACCTATTCTTGAATTCCAAGTATGTGTCCCACCACCTCCTTTTCAGGTTCAGACTGTAAAATTAAAGTTGCTTTTAAAAAGTGACATTTGGAGTCGGGCGTGGTGGTGCATGCCTGTTATCCCAGCTACTCGGGAGGCTGAGGCAGGAGAATCACTTATACCCAGGAGGCAGAGGTTGCAGTGAGCTGAGATTGTGCCATGCACTCCAGCCTGGGCAACAGGAGCGAAACTCTGTCTCAAAGAAAAAAAAAAAAGTCTGATATTTGGATGAGTGGAGTAACATCCTAATTAGAAGATCTTTTTCATGATAATGTTTTGAGTGTTAACATATCTTACTTCTAGAGCTTTGTGTTTAAGTTGGCAGTTTAGAACAGTGTGCTAGTGAGGCCACAGTCTTGCTTCATAACCAGATACTCTCAAATATGGCTGGGCGTATTACAAATGAATTATATATTTCTTATTTGCCTTGTCAATGCCTAACTTTGTAGAAATGAATGGCCTGGGTTTTAAGGAAAATAGATGGGAGGTAGGGGTTGGAGGGTGCTGTATGTGGATAAATCAGTATAAATTCCTGATCAGAAAAACTGCTCAAAGACCATGGGTTATTGAGTATTAAGTAGCTCTTTGCTTTATCCCTGTGTAAAAATAGACTTTTTTTTTCATTTTTAAATTGTCTGATTTAAATACCCTATACATTAAGACTTTGTGAGAATAATACCAAGAATATACTGAGAATATTTTGAGACTTTAAAAATGTCAGTTTTGAAGCATATACAGTTAATATGGAAATTTTTCGTGGAATACATTTTTAAAAAACACAATATTACGGTAACAACCATGGATGTGTGACCTTTTTCACCTGTTGGATTAATTCATTAGACCATTAGTACATACGTAAGGCAAGGACCCTAAATCTTTTTGCCTTCTGATAAACTACTGACTACATATGAATAAATTCTAAAGAGATGAAGATTTTTAATGGTAAAGTGGGTTAATATGAGAATTGATGTTAACAAGTAGAAAACAAAAGCATAATTTGGGTAGAAAATTAGTTGGAGTTATTAAGTATATGATGTGATGTTATGGAACTGAGGTAGCTGGTTTTGAATTAGTTCCTATTAAAATGATTGAGACGTGGCTGGCCGTGGTGGCTCACTGCTGTAATGCCAGCACTTTGGGATGCTGAAGTGGGAGGATCGCTTGAGGCCAGAAGGTCAAGACCAGCCTGGGCAATCTAGTGAGACACATCTGTACAAAAAAAGAAAAATTAGCTAGGCATGGTGGTGGCACGTGCTTATAGTCCCAGCTACTTGGGAGGCTGAGACAGGATTGCTTGAGCTGCAGTGAACTGTGATGGTGTCACTGTACTCTAGCTTGTGTGTCAAGAGTGAGATCCTGACTCTTTTTTTTTTTTTTTTGAGACAGAGTCTCACTCTGCACCTGCACTCTCCCAGGCTGGAGTGCAGTGGCGCAATCTCGGGTCACTGCAACCTCCGCTTCCCAGGTTCAATCAGTTCTCCTGCCTCAGCCTCCCGAGTAGCTGGGATTACAGGCGCCCGCCACCACACCTGGCTAATGTTTGTATTTTTAGTAGAGACAGGGTTTTACCATGTTGGCCAGGCTGGTCTCGAACTCCTGACTTCAGGTGATCCGCCCGCCTCGGCCTCCCAAAGTGTTGGGATTACAGGCGTGAGCCACTGCTCCCGGCCTAGACCCTGACTCTTTAAAAAAAAAGAAGATTAAGACCTGATGGGTACTATACTGAGTTTAATATTTATTTACTTTTTAATTTTTATATTTTCTTACAGGTGATTGGTCTGTTGGACGTTTTTACACCTGCAAGGTCTCTGGAGGAATTCAATGATGTGTGAGTAAATTTTTTGCATTTGCCTTCCTGGTCTACAGAATGAAGACTAATAGCCCATTTCTATTCCTGAACCATTTAGCAACATATAGACTTCAAAAAATTCTTTATTCCTATCATGCACCTCTTTTTGGGTGTAGGGATGGATACCAGAAGATGTATGTTATGGGTGGTGCGTGTTAGTATTTACATCATTTCAGGCACATTGTACCCCATTGAAGAGTCAGTCTTGAATTCTTACAAAAGTTCCATGGAGAAAGGAGTGGAGAGAGTTTTGACTATGGATTTTCTTTTCAAAGTGTTTATCCCAGGTTTGGTTTTGTTGTTGTTGTTGTTGTTGTTGTTTTTGTTTTAAAAGACACGGGGTCTTGTGATATTGCCCAGGCTGGACTCAAGCTCCTGGGCTGTAGTGATCCTCCCACCTCAGCCTCCTGAGGAGCTGGAACTACAGGCACATGCTACCATGCCTGGCCGATCCCAACTTTTAAAGGTGCTCTTCAAGAAATGTAACGGATCCCCAGCCATATAGACTCCCTCCTCTTTTATCGCCCATGCATGTGGGAGATGATACTAGAACTACATGCTGATCCTTGAAGTATTAGATTTCTATACTGGGATAAGGGGCAGACTCTACCTGTTGAGAAAGGCTTCTTCTCTCAGCTTTGTAACCACCTCTGTTGTTTTAGCCTGGGATACCCCTAGAAAGCAGAGCCTGGGATTCTCAGGAACCAGTAGTGGGGGGCTAGGGAAAATGAAACAGGAAAGGAGAGAAAGCTTCTATGAGTATATGTTGAGTTGGTCACCACTATGGACAATTGGGCTGAAAACTGCCAAGATCTAAGAAGCTGTACGTAATGCACCTCAGATGGGGATCATTAATACACTGGCTCCTGACCCCATTGGCAAGGGTTGCCACGTATGTCATTAGTGCCTTCACATGCCCAGGTTGCACATTGGTGGGCCATAAGACAGATTCCAGCAAGTGTTCCCATGTATGTGTGAACTCTCTACTATAGTAGCTTTTCTAGTATCTGAGTTGACACAGCTCTCCCTGCCCCCAGTTCACATATACACTATACCATGAAAGAGAAAAAAACCTTAAACACAGTTATACTTTTGGTCACATTGAAATTTTGGCATTCCTAAATGGAGAGTGTTACTATTATGAAAGCCAAAACAGAACTGAAGATCGTGACTTCTCTTCCTTAACCTCCATTCCCCCATTGACCCCAGGGCTGAACCTAACCAGTTTCTCCTCACCCTTATCCTGGTTTCAGTTTCTCCCATTCTTATCCTGGGCTGATTGCAAACACCGTTTACTCCTTCCCCACAGAACACAAAGGGGATATGTTTGAACTTCTATGTTCTGTCTAAGGAAAGGGAGAAAGAAATAAAGAAGATGAAATGGAAAGGGAAGGAGGAAAGGTGGCAAAAACATTTCTCCACCATTTGAATTTAGTTGGAACAGTGTATGGCTGAGAGTAGAAGAGTAGAAGTTAAGAGAGGAGAATTTGGTCCACCTACAAGATCTCCTTGGCTACATTAACCTTGATCCTGCTAATGAAAGTTTAAGAAACAAAGGAAAAAAATAGCCAATAACTAAGAAAAATTGTTCTTCTCGCAGCCCTGCTTGATACAACAATATGGAGGCTTCCAGAGATTACTGGATGTTACTCAGGGGCATGTATATTACAGTTTGTTGAGCCCTACTGTATGCTATAGTTGGAAAAGGGAATGTTACAGAATGATGGTTTTTAAAAATAGTTTTCCTAAATGTAGAAGAAATGCTGAAGTAATGTGTTTGTGAATTACTTTGGAAAACATTTGAGTTAGATCTGAGCTGTATCCCAAAATTTTAGGTATACTAAGGATGGATTTATATAACAAAGGAAATGATTTGCTGACTTGTGCAAAGTGCAAAATGCTGTATTTTGGCCTAATTGGGCATTCTGGAACCGGATTAAGAACCTATTTTTCCTATGTGAAAAGACCTTAATTAAGGCCAGTGTCTATTTAGAAGGTTAAGTGTTACTGATAGTGGTGCCTTTGTTTGGCTCCTTCATCCATGTAAGGACCCAGCAACTACAAATCTACCTTTGAACTAAGGTTTCATTCATTCATTCAACCATTCATTCATTCATTTATTCAATAAATACTATGGCTGTTGAGCAGGAATCCGTTCTTTCTATTTAACTCTAGCTGGATACTGTTTTTTATAAACAATAACTGAGTTTACCTCTTGGAAGCAAATCTCATTACTACTTGTTGACTACTTACTGAATGCAGAACACTGAGCAGAGTGTTAGCACAGGCTCAGAATAATCAGAAACAGTCGCCCTTCCTTTTGATGAAAGTGTCTGGTTGGGGGAAACGAATTCAAAGCACTTTTGTATCCAAGCTACCAATTGGCCATATGACCTTGGACAAGTCACTTTACCACTGTAGGCCCAGTCATTTCACTGTAAAATGATGAGAATTGAGGTCGTTGACTTCTGAAGTGTTTTAAATTACAGAAAGTCTCTGAAAATAGAATGAACTTGTTTGCCCTAAGAAAAATATTCCATTGTTTACTTTTTATTGTGATGTTCATATCACTGAAAAAATCACTGTAGTTCGACTATAGTTATTTCAGTGTTTTCTTTTTTTTTGAGACAGCGTCTTGCCCTGTTGTCACCCAGGTTGGAGTGCAGTGGCAAGATCTTGGCTCACTGCCACCTCTGCCTCCCAGCTCATGCAATCCTCCCACCTCAGTCCCCCAAGTAGCTGGGACTGCAGGAATGGGCCACCATGTCCAGCTAATTTTTGTATTTTTGGTAGAGACAGGGTTTTGCCATGTTGCCTAGGCTGGTCTCGAACTCCTGAGCTCAGGTGGTCGCCCTCCTAGGCCACTCAAAGTGCTGGGATTACAGACATGAGCCGCCACACCCAGCCATTTCAGTATTTTCTAAAGTTATTTTGGGATATGCATAAGAAACTAAACATCTTCACCTACACTTGCAGGGTTTGCAAATTTAAATACCTTCAGGGTCACACAAAGAACATAAATGAGGTTCAGTGTTACACAATTGGGAGTGGTGGGGTCTGTGGCAAAATACATCTGCACCTCCTAAAAGTATTCAAATTCACATTGAAACAAAACAAGTAAACAAACGAAAACCTACACTTCTGGCCAAACCAGACATAATTTAGGCTAGAGTGGTTCTACAAGCTGCCTGTTTAGAGCAGGCTATAATTTGAACACAAATTTTTAAATGCTAATTAGCAAAATCTCTATAATTACTTTCAGATTTATAGTTTTTTTTTTTTCTTTTTCTTTTCTTTTTTTTTTTTTGAGGTGGAGTCTCGCTCTGTCACCCAGGCTGGAGTGCAGTGGCACGATCTTAGCTCACTGCAACCTCCGCCTCCCAGGTTCAAGCGATTCTCCTACCTCAGCCTCACAAGTAGCTGGGATTACAGGCGCACATCACCATGCCTGGTTAATTTTTGTATTTTTAGTAGAGGTGGGATTTCACTGTTTTGGCCAGACTGGTCATGAACGCTTGACCTCAAGTGATCCACCCACCTCAGCCTCCCAAAGTGCTAGGATTGTAGGTGTGAGCCACCGCGCCTGGCCTACAGTTGGCTTTTAATCATGTGATACGTGTATTTGTCCCTTTATGTTTCGGTTAGCACTTTTAATTTATATACAGTCATGCATCAGTTAATGACTGGGATGTGTTCTGAGAAATATGTCATTAGGTGATTTTGTCATTGTGCAGACATCATAGAGTATACTTCCACAAACCTAGATGGTATAATCTACACACCTAATCTATATGGTGTATCTTGTTGCTCCCATACTACAAACCTGCATGGCATGTTACTGTACTGGATGCTGTAGGTAACTGTAACGTGATGCTATGTGTTTGTGTATCTAAACATAACTAAACATAGAAAACAACAGTAAAAATATGGTACTGTAGGCCAGGCTTAGTGGCTTACTCCTATAATCCCAGCACTTTGGGAGGCCGAGGTGGGCAGATCACTTGAGCCCAAGAGCTGGAGACCAGCCTGAGCAACATAGGGAAACCCCTTCTCTACAAAAAAATTTAAAAAATTAGCCGAGCATAGTGGTGCATGCCTGTAGTCCCAGCTACTGGGGAGTCTAAGGTGAGAGGATCATTTGAGCCCAGGGGCAGCGGTTATATTGAACCATGATTGCGCCACTGCATTCCAGCCCAGGTGACAGAGTGATATATGTGGTCCACTGTTGACTGAAACATTGTTATGTGGTACATGACTACTTCAGATTTTTGCTATGTTTTAAATTTTAATTCTTACAAATGAAGACTATACCTTTGAGAAAGGAACAATAGGTAGTGCATTTTGAACATTAGGAACAATATACAGTTACTGAATCTGGATGGAGATGATTTTTGGAAAATGTAGTGTTAAAAGATGGATATACTAAGTTGCTCTTGACCACCATAGGATGTGGTTGTACAGATGGCAAAATTTTGTAAAGATACAGTACATCTAGATCTCTTAAATGACTGGAAATCCTTTGGGCCTTTCTGTTGGCTTCTTGATAGTAATGTTTGGCAAGATACTGCATGCATATATATTCCTGTGTATTCAGCAGATATTACCAGTAGAAATGCAAAAATCTTAAATAGCCAATATTTGAACCTAACACCAGAGCAAGCTGTAATTCAGTATTACTATAATATTGCCTTTTCTTTGTGTGTGTGTGTGTGTGTGTGTGTGTGTTTGTTTTCTTTTTGTAGTTGGGGCTACAGGCTCACACCACTAGACTCAGCTGTTTTTATTTTTTTGTAAAGACAAGGCCTTGCTATGTTGCCTTGGTTGGTCTTGAACTCCTGGACTCAAGCAATCCCCCAACCTTGGCCTCCCAAAATGCTGGGATTACAGATATGAGCCACCATGCCCCCCCCCACCCCTTTTTCTTAACTGTAGTGGTTCTTTGCGCAAGCATAGTAGACAAGAATTTTTTGATTCCTCCTGGGAACTATTTCCTCAAATTTCATGGAAACTGAATTGTCATGAGTTAAGTGGAAATTAGTCTTCTGATACTTTTTCCTTTATTTTACAAGTTCCCATCCCAGGTTTCTTATACTGAATTCCTTATCTCTGCCTCATTCTTGAAGAGGGAAATGGAAGTGGGGTTTTGGATTCTACCATGATAGAAGGGAAGACCTACAACAAGGCTATTCAGCAGCCTTTGTTTTAGTGAAAGCCAATGAGAAGAGATCACTTCTTCCACTTACTAACAATGATTGCTCAACTAATAAGTTTAGCTTTTTTATTTCAATGTAAAAGTTGCTGAAAACACTGAATTGGTAAAGGAAATTTCTGGATTTACATTTTAACCTGATGTTGTTCAATAAATATTTGAATATCTACCTTATGCTAGGCACAGTAATAGTCTCTGAGGAATATAACAGTAAATAAGAGCTGAGGCTGTTAATGGGAGAGAAGAACAATGTAAATGATCAAACAAAATACCATGTGGTAAGACCTGAAAGGTCCTACATGAGTTGGTCTCCGGTGTACTCTCTAATCTAACCTCACCTAGTCCTCTTTCCACTCTGTCTCCACCCCAGTCACTCTGGCCTCTTGTTCTTTGAGTACAGACAACCACATTTGCAATAAGACCTTTGCACCAGTTTCTGTTATTGCCCTGGAACTTTTTCCCCACATACCTACATGACTGTCTCCTTTCCTTCAGGACTCTACCCAAGGGTCTTCTCATCAGAAGCTCTTCTTTTGTTACCATTCTAACTGAAATAGTACCCCTACTGTCACTGTTTACTCCTTACCCTGCTTTGTTCTTAGCAAATTTTGTTATTGTCTGTCTTCTCCCTTTCTTTGTAAGCTGTGTTCAAGCACGGAGTTTGTTTTCTTCGTTGCTGAATCATTATTGGAGTATATGCACTCCATTGTTTGTTAAACAGGTGAACACAAGAATTGCCATTATAGGGCAGGTATAGAGTGCTAAAGGACTGCATAGTATGGCCACCTAACCCAGACATGGGGTGTCTTCAGGAAAGCCTCTGCAAAAAAAATGTATACACAGAGGGCTTAACGGATGAAGGAGAGTTGGAAAGGTGGGGAAAGTACAAGTTCATCCAGGGGCCGAGAGAGGGAGCTGAGGGCAGAAAAGGTGTGTGTGTGTGTGTGTGTGTGTGTGTGTGTGTGTGTGTTTGGTGGGAATAGAGGTGTATATGGCAAAAGATGAAGCTGGAATGGGGAGGGACTAGATCTTTGGGGCTTTATAAGCTAAGCCTCATTAAGGTGGTTGCTTTAGAGAAGAGATCAAAGGGTACTGGGAACTGGAAATGGGATTGGAAAAAGGATGAAAGGTTTTACTTTTATGTGGGATGACATAGTTACAACTCTCTCCCCCTTCCTCCCCACACAAACACATTCCATAGTGTGTGATAAAAAGATATCATTTTACCAGAGGCAGTTTTCTCCTGGATCCTTAACACATTAGGAAATATTTTGGATGAGCATACTAGTTGAAAATCTGAAATGGATATAAGACTTTTCTGGGAACTTAAATTTATGTAATGATGCTTCTCATTGTTAATATCTGACTTTAATTTCTTTTGGTTTGACTTCTTGCCAACATTACAACTATGTCCTTTCTTCAAAAAACAGGGTCTTATGCTTATGAGTGAAACTGACAAAACATGTGGGTGAGCAGTTCTATAAAAACTCTTTTTTTTTCAGTAACATCTTGGAGGGTACAAAGGGCTTTCACATAATCTTATTTGACACAACAATCCTGTGAAACAGATGGTATTATCTCTAATTTTCAGATGAGGGAACTGAGGTTGAGAGAGATGAACCTAATTGTATAATATCACATACAAAATTGCATCTCTCCCTGGTCTTTTGGCTCTAAACCTATTTCTCATCACATTTTTCTGATCTAAGGCTATGATTATTATTTGAAAGTCTGCTACCCCTTCTTATTGAGTAAATATTGTGTTAAGTTCTATGTAAGATGCCAAAACTAAGGGCCTGTCTCGTTTTCCAATTGCTATGGTCTTATTAAAGAAATGAGGCATTTCTTATTAAGAAATGCTTACCTAAAATAACTGAAGGGCTGAGTCAAATCTGTAATGTCTAGACAACTTACAGGGTGCTGCATGAAACTCAGAATATTAGAGAAGCTTAGTGGAGAAAAGCCTCTAAAGAAGGTAATAACTGTGTCCGAAGAAACAAATAGGGATAGGATGTGGAAGTTGAAATTTATTCCAGACAGAGAATGAAGGAAATATGTAAAGTGTACAGAAAAGAGATTTGTATGGAATGGAGAGTGTTAAATGAGAATAACTATTGATACTTCTTTTGTACTTGGATAAAAATTGTGCATTGATGAATTCTGGGTGTGTGTGTGTGTGTGTATGTGTGTATGTGTGTATGTGTAGGGTTATTCCTGATTTAGCTAATAAATGTGATCTTTTTGGAAATAATGGTGAAAGAAATACCTAGCCGAGTTGCTTGGACTTACAGGTTATTTCCTAATTTAGCTAATAAACATGGTAGTTTTGGAAATAATGCTGAAAGAAATACTAGCCTAGTTGCTTGAAACTAGGCTAAGTGCTCAAGATAGTGAACACAGGAAGAGAAGTGGTCTAGGAAAAAGATTAATGAGTTAACTATTAACATTTATGTTTACAATTTTTTTTTTATCAGAGAGGTCTGCTGAAATGGAGATGGTGGGTGGCGAAACTCCTTGTAGATGTTTTTACAAACTCACATTTGAAATCTAAATAAGTTACATATCTCTTAAGAAAATATCATTCAGTTTTTGCCTGACATGATCAATAAGATGCCACCTTTTTCTCAGATTAGCTAGTTTTAAAAGGTAAAGAAGCTTCAAGGCCTAGCTTAGAGTTTGAGTCCTTCAGCAATCTCTCTCTAATTCACTTCTTCCTAAGTCTGTGCTGGGACCCTCTCCTGTGTGTTCTCCATCACCGTATGTCCCTTTATTATGATTATATATTCATATATGCCTTCCTTTCATCTAAAGGCTGTATCTGTCTTTCCCACTGCTGCATCCCCAGGGCCCAGAAATACGTATTTGTTGATGGAGTGATAGAATGAGTGAATAACTTTGTGCTGTCACTGTTTATAACTGGTTGATGATTTGGTTGTCTGAAAGCATGCTCAGTGCTCTCTCCTTTGACTAGCTTTTTTGTTTTCATCCTGTAATGTAGACTGTGTGGTAAAATATTGAGTCTAGTTTCACTGATGCAGGTAATGTAGAGGGCATCTTTTAGTAATCTTTGCTTCAAGTGAGAATAATTTGTTGTGAAATAAGCCTACTAAGCTGCCTACTTGGCTGCTGAATGATTCTTTTACCCCTAAATTAGAACAGTCTGGTCTGCTTACCAGTAAGATCTTTGGCACATGTATTTCAATAAAATGAGCCCTTGTCTTATCTTACTAGTAGTGCTGTGTGAGTTGTCCTGAGTCATTCAGTGGTAATTGAGTGCCTACTATCTATCAGACACTGTTCTCGGTACTTTAGATACTACAGGGAACAAAAAATAACCCTGTCCTCCACGAACATTGTACAAGCAGATAACAATAAACAACAGTGAGCATATAAAAAAGGAAATTACATAGTCTGTTAGCAGACAATAATGCTATAACTAAAAAGAAAAGGTAGAAAGGTAGAACAGGAAAGGGGAATTAGGAGTACAAGGGTGGGGGGAAGATGAAATTTTAAATGGATAGGCCTTATTGAGATGAATTTTGAGCAAAAGTGTGAAGAAGTAGAGGAATTAGACCTGGGGATATCTAGAGGAAGAGCATTCCAGGCAGAAGAGGAAGTCAGTGCAAAGGTCCTGAGGCAGACTGCATGATATATTGGAACTGGAGCAAGGAGGCCAGTGTGGAGCTGAGTAAGAGCAAGGGACAGAGACATAGACTATGAAATCAGAGACATAATTAGGGGCAGTGTACTGGATTAGGTAGGGCTTTATCTGCCATTGAAAGGAATTTTGTGTTTTACTCTTAGTAAAATAGGGAGCCTTTTGAGGAAAGGAGTGCCCTGATCTGAGTTTTATTTCTAAAGAAACACTCTTCCCCTGTGTTGAGAATAGACTGTAGTAAGTCCCAAGGATCAATAGGTGAGTTGCAGAAGCTTGTGCTTACAAATTGTCAATCCCTGTGATTGTTTTAAGCACCCTGTTTAAATATGGAATAAATGGGTTTTTTTGTTTTGTTTTGTTTTTTGCCTTTTGATAATTGCTTTGAATAGGACTGATAGTAGTAAGAGACGCCAGTCTATAGATATCGAAGAGTTTTTTCTACATAGGTTCTTTCTGATTGTTCTGTGCTTTAAAAAGTGGGAGGTGGGGAGGAAGAGGGCGGGGGCAGTGGTGCTGGTCTTAACAATTGGGTATTATCCAAGAAGTATAAATGAAGCTGTAAAATGGGGTGCTGTCTAGAGTACTGAAAAGCATTTATGACAGAGTTCTTCCTTCTTGCTGTCACAGTACATTTTACTCACAGGAGTCACATTGAGAAATGTGATTTGTGCTCTCTATACTTTGATTAAATTTAAAGAAGACCAACTTCACAAGAAAAGTGAAAAACAAGATTTGTATCAGTCCATGAAATTGTTTTCAGCTTTTAGCCTAATAAAGTCCAACTTAACTTAATTCCTTTGTAAAGATGTGAGAACTAGATAGCTTTCCAACCATACTCAAGTCTAACCTTCCTTAATTTACTTTAATTTACTTTACTTAATTTACTTTAGGTGTTATATACATTGACAATATTAGGCATGTCTTTACTAAAATGTAATTGACTATGCTTTCCAGAAACAAATACTATAGAAATTATGTGACTCTCCATTAATGCCTCTTTTGGAATGTGCTTCTTAAAATGTGCTCATTTATATTCCTTGCCCCCCATCCTGTTCATTATTTTTAGAAGTTGGTGCATCTTCCATAAACAATCAGCAACTTTGCATGATGCTTGCTTTTGTCCCCTGTTGTAAGACTTATTTTGAAAATCTTTCTATATGGGAGTTAGAATGTAACAATTGGTGGTCATGGATTGGTCTTTGGGCCTCCTGGAAACAAGTATAGTGATTAAGTTAGTTCCTGCAAGATGCTTCTGCCATAAATAATGCCTTTCAGTTTATTTCATTGTAGCTTAGTAGTAATGCTTGATAGTTATTACTATATAGACTGATTAATCTTATAAACTTACATAATGTTTTGGCAGTCTCACCCTCGTTCTAAATTTTGGTGATAAAATGGATGTGGTCTCTGAGGGGGAAAGGATTTGAGAGAAATTACATAGTGGTAAACTGTTCTAATTAAAAGCTCTTTCCCTCTCTCTCTCTCTCTCTCTGTTGCCATGCAGTCAGTGGTCCTCTGGCTGCCTAAGATTTCTTAACTCACTGGTAACCATTTACACATAATAGCTGTACTTGAAGTTGCTATGGTTTCATTAGTAGTTTTGCCTAACCTTTGTGAACTGGCTCAGGCCTATTAGTTAGGACTAGTATTATTTTTATTTAAAAATAAGTTATGTTTGTCTCTTCTCCATAAAATTATTTAGAAAAGTTCAAAGAATAACCCTCTTATTATCCAATGTCAAAAAATATAATTATGTGCAAAGTAGTCTTATATGACCGAAATTAGATTCTGTCTTCCTCAGCTTATGCATCAATTTAGGGTTAAAAAATACAGTAACTGTGATTAGGACAGAATACTGCTATGTTCTTGCCAGCCTGAGAACTTTGTTAAGATTAACTTTGATAGTAAATACAGTATTGAGAATTACTAAGGAAATTATTCAGACATATTGCTTCCCTAGTTATTGTGACGTTTAAAGAGTTTTAAAAAGGTCATTCCCTTGATGTAAATTTTGTATCAGCTGAAAGAATTGTTGGAAGAATATGTGCTGTGATTAAGATCATGGTCTGTGGGGTCAGTTAGTTTTAGATCCAACTCCTGACATTACTACTCTTTTTGACCTTGAGTAGATGGCTTATCCTTATTCTGTCTCTATTTCCTTGTCAATGAAATGGGAACGCTAATGGACATTATCTCACAGAGTTATTGGGAAGAGTACATGAGACATAATGAGTACATGGACATAATAAACTGCTTGCTGCAGTGCTGGACACAGAATAAGTGCTAGTTAGTGCCTTTGGTTATGTTGTGTTGAGATTGGAACATTTCTTAAAACGTTTCAGTCTCATTTACTTATTAATTACATTTAGAGTCTACTCTTTCCTCAAGGCCGTATAAACATGCAAGTTTTAAAAATATGAAATGCTAACATCTTAAGGTTGCAACTAGGTTAAGTCCTGTTGATCTTCATGAAATTGAGAACTGACCATGGCAGCCCTACCAGGAAATTATGACAGAGAAAAAAATTCCATTCCTCTTGGAGGACAGAAAGTAATAAATATAGTGTATTAGTTGTGTGTGTAGGTATATAAAGAGAGGTCACACACACACACGTTTATTCTTATAATATATTAATAATAGATCTAAATTACTGACCTGCTTTCTTCCCTCCAAAATTCATAAAAAAATGAAAATAGAAATGAAATCAGCATTCTTTATAGCTCAGCTGATATATATTATTACCCAATCTCAGGAATAGGAATGATTCTTAGACAGTAAATAAAACTTACACTTATTTTTAAAAATTCAGCCTCTTAGCCAGGCACGGTAGCTCACTCCTGTAATCCCAGCACTTTGGGAGGCCATGGTGGGTGGATCACTTGAGATCAGGAGTTCGAGACCAGCCTGGCCAACATGATGAAACCCCGCCTCTACTAAAAATACAAAAATTAGCCAGGCATGGTGGCGAGTACCTGTAATCCCAGCTACTCGGGAGGCTGAGGCACGAGAATCGCTTAATCCCAGGAGGTGGAGGTTGCAGTGAGCCGAGCTTGTGCCACTGCACTCCAGCCTGGGCGACAGAGCAAGGCTCTGTCTCAAGAAAAAAAAAAAAAATCAGCCTTTTTAGAACCGATCTACTTTCTATGTTTCCATAGCTGTGTAATACAGTAATGAGTGGGTTAAGGCATTGTGTCTAGAATATGTGTGGTGAACCTGTTGGACTTGAATGTAATCATTCCCTAATCTTACCACATAAAGATGGGATTAATAACCAGCACCACACCTGTGAGGAGAAATTCTGGAATGCCTCATCTTGCCTCCAGATAAAACATGTTCCTCCTTCCTTTAAGGTAAATGCAGGAATATTGTCAATGAACAAAATCCTTTCACTAGTCATTCCTGAAAAAGAATTACAGTTGGAAAATAAAAAAAATACTCCTATTTTAGAACCTGTAATGTGGAAGACTTATAATGAGGTGAAAATGTAGCGGTGGATTTAAAACTACAAGATACTTAATTATAGCCATGCAGTAAGTTATACTATATATTTGTCATGCAAGAATAACATTTGTAAGAAAACTGATACTGACACATGTATCTTTCTAATCCCTACCTTTGCTGTTTTTGTTTTCTTTTCTCTTTTATTTTTTGTAGAGATGGGGTTTCCCTGTGTTACCCAGGCTGATCTCACACTCCTGCCTCAGCCTCCCAAAGTGCTAAGATTATAGGTGTGAGCCACAAAGCTTGGCCTGGTTTCTTTTTTCTTGAGATAACCTGGAAAAAGATATGTCAAGTAGGAATAAGTATGTAAATGTTTAGAACAGATGGCAGGTAGTTAAAGTTAGAATAGTAATGTTGGGAGGCTAAATTGGGAGGATCACCTGAGACCAAGAGTTAGAGCCCAGCCTGAGCAACATAGTGAGACCCCATCTCTACAGGAAAATTTAAAAAAATTAGCTGTGCGTGGTGGTGCACACCTTTAGTCCTAGCTACTCGGAAGGCTGAGGTAGGAGGATCACTTGAGCCCAGGAGTTTGAGGTTGCAGTGAATTACTATGATTGCTCCACTGCATGACAGAGCATGACCCTGTCTCTAAAAAAAAGAAAAGTAAAAGAATAGCGATGTTGAAAATGAGGTAATGAGGTGCCCTTCCCCCCAAAAAATGAGTAGTTGTTAGCTTTTAGCTGTCATCGTGGTACAGCTACCATTTTAAGGGAAGGGTAGCCTTCCCTTAAAAACTTAGAAGTCGGGCCAGGTGCGGTGGCTCACGCTTGTAATCCCAGCACTTTGGGAGGCTGAGGCGGGGGGATCATGAGGTCAGGAGATCAAGACCATCTTGGCCAACACGGTGAAACCTCGTCTCCACTAAAAATACAAAGATTAGCCGGGCATGGTGGTGGGCACCTGGAGTCCCAGCAACTCGGGAGGCTGAGGCAGGAGAATGGCGTGAACCTGGGAGGCAGAGGTTGTAGTGAGCTGAGATTGCGCCACTGCACTCCAGCCTGGCAGTAGAGCGAGACTCCATTTCAAAAACAAAAACAAAAACCAAAAAAACCAAAAAACTTATAAAAGTCTTCTGAAGATAAGAACTTTCTTAGGGGTTCTAGATTGTTATGTAACTTTTCACTAATTTCTAGGTATCTGGTGACCCATCTCATGGGGGCAGATCTGAACAACATTGTGAAATGTCAGAAGCTTACAGATGACCATGTTCAGTTCCTTATCTACCAAATTCTCCGAGGTCTAAAGGTACAGATAATACAAGTAATAATTTTTTAAAATGAATTCTCCCTTTCTCCCCTCCTTTTAGGGCTTAAACAAACAAGTAAACAACTTTTCTAATGGAAAATTCAAACACATAAAATCACAGGTAAAGGTCATATAGTACAGTAAACTGCCATGTTCACTCAGTGACAACAGTTACCGACATATGGCCAATCATGTTTCTTTTGTATTTCCCAAGCCCTGGATTATTTTAAAGCAAGTCTAGACATTATATAATACCATCCATAGATACTTCAGTTTGCATATCTGAAAGATAAGGACTCTTCATTCTTACATCTAAACAATAATTTATTGATGTAATCTAATATCTGGTCAGCGTAATGTTGAGATTTTCAAAAAATCCTCAAGAAAGACTAATTTATTTGTTGGAGGGGCAGATAAACAGTGTTTTAAAATTAAACCCATCTTTGATATTTAGCTGCTTTGAGTCCTTATTGAGCTCCAGAGTGCCAACCAGAAAATAGATTAAAAGCTCAACTGAGTGGAGTCAATGGCTGTGGAAATTATAGTAATGGTAAATGTACACAATACTGATAGTTACTTATGCTGATTTCTAATCTTACTATTAACACTAGCAGTTCTTACTGATTCATGAAAATGTGCAGCAAATATGTTATATAATATGACAATAGAAGGTTGGAGGTAACTTTGACTTTTTTCTCTTTTGCAGTATATACATTCAGCTGACATAATTCACAGGGTATGTATTGTGACTTTGATTACATTATTTTGGGGAAGTGGGGTGAGAGTGGAAGAATGGCATTTAGCCAAGATCCTAATCTAAACTTTAGCCATTGAAATGTTGATTGATTGCAACTTTACTGTAGGTTTAAGCTGATTAAAGAAAGAAGATGTGTAGTTTTTTTCTATGTAAGGCTAACTTGGACTGGATATTGACTGTAGGATGGAGATTGTCTTTTGATAGCTGGATGAAGTCTTTTATGTCTGGATCCTCATTATTACCTGTAGGGGGAGAATTGATCATGCATCATAAAGTTGATCCTGTCTTCCCTGTATTTGCTTCCTAGGACCTAAAACCTAGTAATCTAGCTGTGAATGAAGACTGTGAGCTGAAGGTAAAATGAAGAGACAGTATTCATTGTTTGCTTTACTTTGAGATTATATGTTTGACTAAGCAGGCAGACTTTCTTAGGGAGTAGCTTTGTGAGCCATGACTATCTGAAATTCGTATTATTTTTATTATCAGACTTTGAAATTTAAACCATTTCTGAGTAAGCTAAGTGACATTGAAAGTGGCATCACTTGTTTTTATTTTAACATAAAGTTAAATTATAAATTTGATATATTAGTCATAATAAAGGAGGATAATAGTCAAATATCAAGTAAGTAGGCCCAAAGAGGTGATAACTAGATTAAATACATTTCTAAGAGGAGAAATGGCAGAAACCCACTCACTCAAAATAATTCAAATAAAAAATAAGTGAATTAATTGTTTCTAAATAGCAAGCAGCTCTAGAACTTTTGTTCCATTTCATTTTTTTAACTTGAAAAAATGTCTGTACATTAGAATGCACCATTTCATTTGGCAAAATTATATATCCACTTAACTCACATTTATGATAAAGACCATTTCTTTTTTTTTCCTTTTTTTTGGGATGCAGTCTCACTCTGTTGCCCAGTCTAGAGTGCAGTGGTGTGATCTTGGCTCACTGCAACCTCTGCCTCCCGGGTTCAAGCGATTCTCCTGCCTCAGCCTCCCGAGTAGCTGGGACTACAGGTGCACGCCATCACACCCGGCTAATTTTTGTATTTTTAGTAGAGATGGGATTTCACCATGTTGGCTAGGATGGTGTCGATCTCCTGACCTCGTGATCCACCTGCCTCGGCCTCTCAAAGTGCTGGGATTGCAGGTGTGAGCCATTGCTCCCAGCCAAGAACATTTGGATTACTTTAAAAAGTTTATGGCCAGGCGTGGTGGCTCATGCCTGTAATCCCAGCACTTTGGGAGGCCAAGGCGGGTGGATTATGAGGTCAGGAGATAGAGACCATCTTGGCCAACACGGTGAAACCTCATCTCCACTAAAAATACAAAAATTTAGTTGGGCATGGTGGCGGGCACCTGGAGTCCCAGCTACTTGAGAGGCTGAGGCAGGAGAATGGCGTGAACCTGGGAGGCAGAGCTTGCAGTGCGCCGAGATAGTGCCACTGCACCCCAGCCTGGGCAACAGAGCAAGACTCCGTCTCAAAAAAAAAAAAAAAAAAAAAAAAGTTTATTGTGTCCCTTCCTAGTCAATCCCTACCCCTCCACCCCTAACTCTGGCTCCAGGCAACTATGGATCTGCTTCTAACACTATAGATTAGGTTTATCTTTTCTGGAGTTTCATGTAAATGGAATCATATAGTGTGTATTTTTGTGTGTCTGGCCTTTGCTTGGTGTAATGATTCGGTATTGTTGTGTGTGTCAGTGGTTTCTTCCTTTTTATTGGTAATAGTATTTTGTTTTATGAACATAACAGAATTTTTAAATCTATCCACCTGCTGATGGACATTTGCTTGAGTTTGAGGCTGTGTAAAGCAACTGTGAATGTTTATGTGCAAACCTTTGTATGGACGTAAGTTCTCATTGCACTTGATTAAATACCTGGGAGTGACATTTTTGTTTTGCTTTTTGTAATTTCATTTTAAGTTCTTGCTGTATATTTACCATACATTCTAAGTATGGACCAGGAAATCTCTTTATGAAAGTGCTATTTTGTTCTCCTTTTTAATAAGGCAACAGAGGTTTGTTTGTTGTTGTTGTTTTGTTTTTTTTTCCCTGCCTGTTTCTAAGTCTTAGCAGTTTGTCTGTTCCTCTTCTGCCCTTTAGATTCTGGATTTTGGACTGGCTCGGCACACAGATGATGAAATGACAGGCTACGTGGCCACTAGGTGGTACAGGGCTCCTGAGATCATGCTGAACTGGATGCATTACAACCAGACAGGTATTACTCGCCTTGGTTATTTAGGGCCTTATTTAATTCCATGTTGGATGCATTTGGGATTCTCAGAAATAGAGATGGTGGGAGTGGGAAGAAATGTCTTTTCTTCCCTCAGTGATCCTTTTAAAGCCTGCAAGTAAAAATATTTCACTTCCTCAGATGGGGAAGTGGGGTTTTATACACAGCTTTTAAACCTTGTGATTTAGCAATTGGGTTTTTATTTATTTAGATTTTGAATATATTCTCTGAGTACTTATACCTAAAGACAATTAGTCCATAATTTTAACCCCTCAATGTTACTTGGAAGAATCTACCATTCTACTAATAAGAAACTTGCCCCTTTTTAAACAGCTTATTTCTCTTAAGTGTGTTTTGACTTACCCCACCTTTGAACAGCCCTTTAGTCAGGTGAAGATCTTAGTAAGCTATTTATTTCTGTAAAAATGAGTATGATTGTTGAGCCTCAGATGTCTTAAATAGTAATTTGAATATTTCACCCCTAGTTACGGTTTCATTTGTTGCCAAGAATTGTAACAGTGACATTGCATATACTTTTACTTCTTTTTAATTTTGCCAGTTGATATTTGGTCAGTGGGATGCATAATGGCCGAGCTGTTGACTGGAAGAACATTGTTTCCTGGTACAGACCGTATCCTTTAAAAAGTTTTGGATTCTTGTTTCTTATCTGTATTCCAGTGTCCATGGGTGTATACTCCTTTTACTTATCTCTAGGGAAGACTCTCAGTATTTTGCTTTTATAGTCTAGATAATGCATTATGAGGTCTTTCTTCAAACTGAGTAGCTTGCCTTGCCAAGAAAGAGGCTTCAGTTTACTTTTGTGAGTTGGAAAAATTCCTCATAAGTTGAAAAACCCATCAAGTCTGTCTTCTTTTTGCAACAGTCCCTTATTAATCATCCCACAGCAGTTCTGAGACCTGAGCATACTCATGAGAAACTCCAGATCCCAGTGACAGTTTTAGTCTTCTTGTATAAACACTTAATGAGCACAAGATGCCCATTTATAAATGAAGGGCATCTTGCTGTTATGTTTATGTATTAAAAGGGCTATGTTTGGTACCTGCAGTGATATACTGCTTACTTGTTATGTTTGTTGTTTGACAACAAATAGTAAAAGCAAGAAGTGAAAAGCTTACCATGTAATGTACTTTTGTTTTTCCAGCACAACTTTTTCCCAGATTGCAGCCAAACCCTAATTTACTCCAAGACTTACTGTCTAGTTTATGGTTTATTATAGCCCCTTTATTTTAGCTCCTTTCCTATCTGCGGTATGCTTGTTTCATGGTTTAGTATTAATGTCATGAAAAATGTGGTCTGTTGGAACTCTCATCAGTTCTACTTATGGAAGATGTTTAGGTGAGAAAGATTGTTAAAATATATGTCTAGAATTAGTTTTGGGGATTTTTTCTTTTTTTAATAGAATTGAGTTAACTAGCCTTCAGGTGGTTTTGGTTAGGCAATATTAGACATGCTACCTCTGATCTATTATGCCTAGAGATCTAAAAGCCATTTTAGTCCCTTACCTAAATAAACTAATTGAGTTTATAAACCAGAATGTCAATTCACTTGCTTACAGTTTGGGATATACTTCTGTAATGGCTATGATGTTCATGATATCTACCCACGTGTTCTAACTATCTTCTGCTAGAGAGAATGTACTTTCATTATGAACTGAAAAAACCTCTATTTCTCAGGTAAAGCTGTTTCTTTCTCTCTGAATATTAGGATTGATAACAGAGTTCAGTCTCCCTGTATTTAGCTTACCTTATTACTCCCTACCTCTGGATTTTAAATTAGTTTAATACCTGGTGTTTCTCCTTTGTCCTTTGTTTCATTCACCTTATATCTGTTTCTCAGAAATTTGGTATATATATATTACAGTCCAAGGTAAGAGAATTAGGGAAAATTCATACTTCCCCCTTTCCTCAGGTACATATCTCAGAGTCCCATCCTTGCTTTGTCCTCTAGAGTAGCTGCTGTCCTGATGCTATTCTCTGTTCCCTGCTCCCCTTCCTCTTCTTGTGTCTGTATCTCCAGCTACCATTTAGTCAGTCACAGACCTCCATGCCGGTGTAGACACACAAGGTGGCAGAGAGGGAAAGGCAGTATAACATACAGGTTAAGCACATGCTCTGGAGCCAGATTTCCTGGATTTAGATCTTAGCTCTTTTATTTCCAGCTATGTAACTTTGAGTAAGTTTCCTAACCTCTATTTCTCTCAGTTTCCTTAACCGTAAAATGATAATAATCATACATACTCACAAGGTTGTCGTAAGAATTCAGCCAGAAAATAACTGGAAAGTACTGAGACGAGCCTGCCAGTAAATGTTAGCCATCATGTTCAGTAATGGCCTTGCAAAACAGATTACCCCTTCACCTTCTCACTTAATTGTCTACCTATGAATCATTAATGTTTTGTTTTGTTTTTAATTCTGTGATAGGTAGGAAAGGATGGAACTCCTTGGCAGACTAGTGTTAGAAAGTTTTCGAAGCAGTGTGAGTCTTGTACCTTTGTGGTCCTGTCTCACAGACACCTGTCTATTCCCTGACCCTTTTAAATGCTAACTTTCTGCCTGTAGGAAATCTTCCCTTTGTGCTTAGGTCTTTTTCTTCTGTGAGCTTTAGATAAACAACCTAGTGTTTAAACTTTTTAATAAGGGATTCATTTTTTAATACATGAGAATTCATTTCAAAATTTTGGTTTTAGTTATTTATTTTATTCTACTTGGCTCTTTTTCAGACAGATGTTCTCTCCTGGATTGTAAAAGTCGAATTCAAAGGATTTTTATTTGTAATATACTTAACCTTTCTCTTGTAAGTTGCCATCTGTGTAGATACAGCTTTGATTGCCTGACAAGAGGAAAATGTTTCCCATTATCTTTTCCTGCCTGAACTATACGGTCACTTGTGTTCCAGCATAGTGGTTCTTAACCCTCATAGTGTGTCAGAATCACTTTGCAGAGCTTTTAAAAACTCTAGATGCCTGGGGACCACCCCAAAGACTCCATTTTGTTGTCATGGGTCAAAGCACAGTCTTCTAGTTTGCAGCTAGTGTTGAGTACAACTAGAGTTTAACCCAGTTGAATTTTAGTTTAATCTTGGCTGGTCTTGAAGATGTTAGTAATCTCTATTCATTTTTTTTGAAAAGTACCAATGAGATCAGAAAGTTAATTAGAAAACATCTAGTTGAATCCCCTGTTTTTAATAGATGGGGAAACCAAGACCCAGAGAATATAATCCAAAGCTACCTGTCACATAGGCCACAATTTCTTTTCCAATATTCTGTTCTTCGCTGTTCTTCTAATTTGCAGAACTCCTCTTTAAAAAACCTTTGGAGAATGTATTGGCCTCATACCCTCTTCCTTCAGCCTGAAAGACATGCACCTGTCACTTATTTATGATATTTAAATGCAACCTCTAGAACAGGGGTGTCCAATCTTCTGGCTTCCCTGGGCCACATTGGAAGAAGAAATGTCCTGGGCCACACATAAAATACACTAATGATAGCCGATGAACTTAAAAAAAATTGCAAAAAAAAAATCTCGTAATGTTTTCAGAAAGTTTACAAATTTGTGATGGGCTGCATCCAAAGCCCTGGGCCACGTGCAGCCCGCAGGCCCTGGGTTGGAAAAGCTTGCTCTAGAAGGTACTCATTGTTTGAGTGTCCAGTTTTCTCCCTGTTTTCCTTATTTATTGATCATTTTGCATTTGGAATTGGTGGTTTGGGCTTGTAAGTAAGAACTGTGTACTAGAACTTTTGTGGTATTGCAAATGTTTTATATCTGTGCTATCCAATGTGGTGGTTATAGGCACCAGCTGCCTGTGGCTAATTATTAAGCAACTGAAATGCAGCTAGTGGTGAGCAGTAACGTTGTGGAGAAGAAAAAAAAGAAATGTAGCTAGTTTAACTTGGAAATTGAATTGAAAATATTTTTGTGGTTAAATGTATTTAACATAAAATTTACCATTTTAACCTTTTTTTTTTTGAGACAGTCTTGCTTTGTTGCCCACGCTGGAGTGCAGTGGCATGATCTTGGCTCACTACAACCTCCGCCTCCCGGGCTCAAGCGATTCTCCTGCCTCAGCCTCCCAAGTAGCTGGGATTATAGGTGTGTACCACCATGTAATTTTTGTATTTTTAGTAGAGACAGGGTTTCACCATGTTAGCCAGGCTGGTCTCAAACTCCTGGCCTCAAGTGATCCGCCCACCTTAGCCTCCCAAATTGCTAGATTACAGGCGCGAGCCACTGCACCCGGCCCCATTTTAACCATTTTAAGTTTACAATTCAGCGGCATTAATTACATTCATGATGTACAATCACTACTACTACCTATTTCCAGAATTTTTTCATCACCGCAGATGGAAACACTCAGCCCGTGAAACAGTAACTTCCCATTCTCCCCTCTGGTAACCTCTGTTCTTTCTGTCTCTGTGGATTTGCTTATTCTAGAAATTTCATAGAAGTAGAATCATATTATACTGTATTTGTCCTTTTGTTTCTGGATTATTTCACTTAGTATAATGTTTTCATGGTTCTTCCATGATGTAGCATGTATCAGAATACTATTCCATTGTAAGTATTTAATATATCCCACATTTTGTTGACCTGTTCATCTGTTAGTAGACAGTTGAGTTGTTTTTACCTTTGGCTATTGTGAATAATGCTGCAGTGAACATTGTCATACAAGCATCTGTTTGAGTCCCTGCTTTTGATTCTTTTGGTTATGTACCTAGGAGTGGAATTGTTGCATCATATGGTAACTCTATGTTTAACTTTCTGAAGAGCCACCAAACTCTTTTCCATAGTGTCTGCACCATTTTACATGCCCACCAGCAATGCATGAGGATTCCTGTATCTCCAAACTTGTTCTTTTTTTTTTTTTAATAGTCACCCAAGTAGTTACAAAGTGGTATCTCACTGTGGTTTTGATTTGCATTTCTCTCATGACTAATGATTTTGAGCATCTTTTCATCTGCTTATTGGCCATTTGTATGTCTTCTTTGGAGAAATGTCTATTCAAGTCTTGCCTATTCTTAATTAGGTTGTTTGTGTTTTTGTTGTTCAGTGGTGGTTCTTTATATATCTTAGACCCTTATCAGATACATGATTTGCAAGTATTTTCACCTATTTTGTGGGTTGTCTTTTCACTTTCTTGATAATGTCCTTTGATACATAAAACATTTTTAATTTTGATTAAGTTCCAATTTATTTTTTTTCTGTCCTTGCTCATGCTTTTTTGATGTCATATTTTAGACTGTATTGCCAAATTCAAGGTCATGAATAATTTACCCCTATGTTTTCTACTAAGAGTTTTGTAACTACTAGGAATATAATAGGGTTTAGCTCTTATACTTAGGTCTTTGATCCATTTTGAATTAATTTTTATAGATGATGTGAGGTAGGGGCCCAACTTCATTCTTTTGCATCTGGAAGTCCAGTTATTCTAGCACCATAAAGAGACTATTACTTCCCCCATCGAATCAACATGATACCCTAGGATTTCTCCTTTGTTTTTTGTTTCTTTCACCTTTTACCTGTTTCTTAGAAATTTGGTATATATAATTAGCAATACACGTGTGGGTTTAATTCTGGACTCTCAGTTCTATTCTATTGGTTTATATATCTATCCTTATGGCAATACCACACTGTTTTGATCACTGTAGCTTTATAGTAAGCTTTGAAATCAGGAAGTGTGAGTCTTCCAGCTTTGTTCTTCTTTTTCAAGATTGCTTTGACTATTCTGGGTCCCTTGTAATTTCATATGAATTTAACAATTGGCATTTCTATTTCTGCAAAAAAAAGGCTTTAGAATTTTGATAGGGATTGTGTCAGATTTTTAGATCACTTTAAGTGATATTGACATCTTAACCACTATTAAGTCATCCTGTTCATGAACAAAGGATCTCTTTCCATTTATTTAAGTCTTTATTTTTTTTTCAGCAGTGTTTTATAGTTTTCAGTTGTAAAGTATTTTACCTTGGTTAAATTTTTTCCTATGTATTTTATTATTTTTGCTGCGATTATAGATGGAAATTCTTTGGTGTGTTCATTGTTGATATATAGAAACCAAATTAATTTTTGATTGTTGATCTTACACCCTGCAAATTTGCTCAATTTATTTATTAGCTCTAGCAGCTTTCTTCTAGATTCTTTGTGATTTTCTATGTATAGGGTTATGTCATCTGCAAACAGAGATAGTTTTATTTCTTCCTTTCCAATTTAGATGCTTTTAATTCTTTCTCTTGTCTAATGTAATGGCTCTGTCTAGAACTTCTGCTACAATGCTGAATAGCAACAGTGAAAGTAGGCATCCTTGTCTTGTTCCTGTCTTAGGGGGAAAGCTTTCAGTCTCTTCCCATTGAGTATGATGTTAGCTGTTGGTTTTTCATAAATGCCCTTTATCATGTTGGGGAAGTTCTCTTCTTTGGTAGTCCATTTCACATTGCTATGAAGGAATACCTGAAACTAGGTAATTTATCAAGAAAAGAGGTTTATTTGGCTCACAGTTGCATAGCTGTAAAAGAAGCATTGTGCCAGCATCTGTTTCTGGTCAGGACCTCAGGAAGCTTTCACTTATGGTGGTAGGGGGAACAGGCATGTCACATGTCAAAGGAGGGAGCAAGAGAGATGCCAGACTCTTTTAAACAACCAGCATTTGCATGAACTGATAGAGCGAGAACTCACTCATTAATGTGGGGAGGGAACCAAGCCATTCATGAGGGATCCAAGACCCTAACACCTTCAATCAGGCCCCACCTCCAACATTGGGGATCACATTTCAACATACTTGGAGGGGACAAAACATCCAAACCCTATCACCTTCTGTTCACAGTTTTCTGAGTATTTTAATCTGAATTTTAAATGCCATTAAAATTTTATTTAGATTACATTGAAACTTAATTACACATGGCTAGTGGTATTGGTTTATGCATTTTTAGATCCCTTCAAGTTATCTTCCTGTTCTACCTTTTTCTTGGGTTTTGTAATTAGTCTCCTTCTTGAAAGATTATTTTGGTACTGGTTGTTAGTAATTCCTGGATTTCCTTTAAAGATATAAGAAATACTGGGGAGGGGACAAGATGGACAACTAGAAATAGCTGCAATCAGAGGCTTCCAACAAGAAGAACGAAAACGGTGAGTGAATCCTGCACCGGCAACTGAGGTATTCACCTTCTCTCAATGGGACTGACTAGGTGGTTGGCATGACCCATGGAGAGTGAGGAAAAGCAGGGTGGAGCGACAGCCCACCTGGGAGCTGCAAAGGGCAAGGGGAGCTCCCACCCCAAGCCAAGGGAGGTGGTGAGTGATTGTTCTACCCTGTCCAGGAAATCATGCTTTTTCCAAGGATCTGTGCAACCTGTGATTCAGGAGATCCCCCTCATGAGCACATGCCACCAGGGCCTTGGGTCCCAAGCACAGAGCTGTGTAGGTTCTTGGTAGCCCTTTGGCTGGAGACTACATAAGACTACTGAGTTCCTTGGGGGAGGGGTTGCTGTCATCACTGCAGCTCCAGTCTGCTGTTTTCCCCTGCTGGTGCTGGAGAGACTGGGCGGTTGGGACCCAGAAGGAATTCCCTACAGTGCAGACCCTACAGTGGTGGTGGCACATCATGGCCAGACTGACTCTTTAGGCTGAACTCTGACTCATCCCCCTACACGGGGCAGGGCCTCTCTGCGGGAATTTCAGCAACTCCAGCCAGGGGTTTACAGACAGAATTCCAATCTCCCTGGGATGGAGCCCCTGGTGGGAGGGGTGGCCACAGTCTCCACAGATCAGCAGAGTTAGTCTTTCCCCTTGCTGGCTCTGAGGAATCCAGGCAGTCTGGATGAGTGAGATTTCCCCCAGTGCAGCACACCCCCTCCACCAAGGGGCAGCCAGAGTGCTTCGTTAGGTGGGCCTGTGCCTCTTGACTGGATGAGACCCCTCCAACAGGGGTCGCCAGACACCTTATGCAAGAGCATTCCCACTGGCATCAGGTTGGTGCCCCTCTGGGACGGAGCTCCCAGAGGAAGGAACAGGCAGCCATCTTTGCTGTTCTGCAGTCTCCACTGGTGACACCTCCAGGTACAGGAGGGACCCAGGCAAAGAGTCTGGAGTGGACCCCCAGCAAACTGCAGCAGCCCTATGGAAGAGGGGCCTGACTGTTAAAAGCAAAACAAATGGAAAGCAACAACAACATCAACAAAAAGGTCCCCACCAAAACCCCTCCAAAGGTTAGCAGCCTCAAAGTTCAAAGCTAGGTAAAGTCATGAAGATGAGAAAGAATCAATGAAAAAACGCTGAAAACTCAAAAAGCCAGAGTGCTTCTTTTCCTCCAAATGATCACAGCACCTCTCTGGCAAGGGCATAGATGTGGGCTGAGGCTGAGATGGATGAATTGACAGAAGTAGACTTCCGAAGGTGGATAATAATGAATTTCACTGAGCTAAAGGAGCATGTTCTAACCCAATGCAAAGAATCTAAGAACCATGATAAAACATTACAGGAGCTGTTAACCAGAATAACCAGTTTAGAAAGGAACATAAATGATGGAGCTGAAAAACACAACATGAGAACTTCATAATGCAACCACAAGTATCAATAGCCAAATAGACCAAGTGGAGGAAAGAATTTCAGAGCTTGAAGACTATCTTGCTGACAAGATAAGAGAAGAATGAAAGGAAATGAACAAAACTTTTGAGAACTATGGGATTATTTAAAAAGACTGAACCTGCGAATGATAGGGGTACCTAAAAGAATTGGGGAGAATGGAAACAAGTTGGAAAACACACTTCAGGATATCAGCCAGGAGAACTTCCCCAACCTAGCAAGACAGGCCAGCATTCAAATCAGGAAATCCCTAGAGAACCCCAGTAAGCTACCCCATGAGAAGATCAACCCCAAGATACATAATCATCAGATTCTCCAAGGTTGAAATGAAGGAAAAAATACTAAGGGCAGCCAGAGAGAAAGGCTAGGTCACCTACAAAGGGAAGCCCATCAGGCTAAGAGTGGACCTCAGCAAAAACCCTACAAGCCAGAAGAGATTCGGGGCCAATATTCAACATTCTTAAAGAATTTCCAACCCAAAGTTTCATATCTGGCCAAACTAAGCTTCATAGTCAAAGAAGAAATAAAATCCTTTTTAGACAAGCAAATGCTGAGGGAATTCGTCACCACCAGGCCTGTCTTGCAAGAGCTCCTGAAGGAAGCACTAAATATGGAAAGGAAAAACTTACTGGCCACTACAGAAACACACTGTTTTCTTTTACCAGTAACACTATGAAGCAGTTACCTCAACAAGTCTGCAAAATAACCAGCTAGCATCATGATGATAGGATCAAATTCACACATAAAAAATATTAACCTTAAATGTAAGTGGGCTAAATGCCCCAATTAAAAAACACAGAACGGCAAGCTGGATAAAGAATCACGACCCATCAGTATGCTGTTGTATTCAAGAGACCCATCTAACATGCAAAGACATACAAAGGCTCAGAATAAAGGGATGGAGGAAAATTTACCAAGCAAATGGAAAGCAGAAAAAAGCAGGGGTTGCAATCCTATTTTCTGACAAAACAGACTTTGAACCAGCAAATATCAAAAAAGACAAGGGCATTACATAGTGGTAAAGGGCTCAATTCAACAAGAAAAGCTAACTATCCTAAATATATATGCACCTAATACAGGAGCACCCAGATTTATAAACCAAGTTCTTAGAGACCTACACAGAGACTTAGACTCCCATACAATAATAGTGTGAGACTTTAATACCCCACTGTCAATATTAGACAGATCATCAAGCAGAAAATTAACAAGGATATTCAGGACTTGAACTCAGCTCTGGACCTGATAGATAGCTACAGAACTCTCTATACAGAAACAACAGAATATACATTCTTCTTAGCAGCACATCGCACTTAGGCTAAAATTGATCACATAATTGGAAGTAAAACACTCCTCAGTAACTGCAAAAGAACTGAAAATATAACACACAGCCTCTCACACCACAGCACAATCAAATTAGAACTAAGATTAAGAAACTCACTCAAAACCACACAATTACGTGGAAATTGGACAACCTGCTCCTGAATGACTCCTGGATAAATAATGAAATTAAGGCGGAAATCAGAAGTTCTTTGAAACCAATGAGAACAAAGAGAACATACCAGAATCTCTGGGACACAGCTAAAGCAGTGTTAAGAGGGAAGTTTATAGCACTAAATGCCCACATCAAAAAGCTAGAAAGATCTCAAATTGACACCCTAACATCACAACTAAAAGAACTAGGGAACCAAGACCAAACAAACCCTAAAGCTAGCAGAGGACAAGAAATAACCAAGATCAGAGTGGAACTGAAGGAGATAGAGACAGGAAAAACCCTTCCAAAAATATCAGTGACTCCCAAGATCTGGTATTTTGAAAAACATAAAATAAAATAAAATAGACTCCTAGCTAGAGTAATGAAGAAAGAAGAATCAAATAGACACAATAAAAATGATAAAGGGGGTATCACCACTGACCCTGCAGAAATATGAACAACTATCAGAGAATACTATAAACACCTCTATGCAAATAAACTAGAAAATCTAGAAGAAATGGATGAATTCCTGGACACATATGACCTCCCAAGACTGAACCAGGAAAACGTTGAATCTACCAATAACAAGTTCTCAAATTGAGGCAGTAATAAATAGCCTACCAAGCAAGAAAAGCCCAGGACCAGACAGATTACAGCCAAATTCTACCAGAGGTACAAAGAAGAGCTGGTACCATTTCTTCTGAAACTATTCCAAACATACAAAAGGAGGGACTCCCCTATAACTCATTTTATGAGGCCAGTATTATCCCAATACCAAAGCCTGCCAGAAATACAACAGAAAAAGAAAACTTAAGGCCAATATCCCTGATGAACATCGATGCAAAAATCCTCAGTAAAATACTGGCAAACCAAATCCAGCAGCATGTCAAAAGCTTATCCATCCACCACGGTCAAGTCAGCTTCATCCCTGGGATGCAAGGCTGTTTTAACATATGCAAATCAATAAACATAATTGATCACATAAACAGAACTAAAGGCAAAAACCACATGATTATCTCAATGGATGCAGAAAAGGCCTTTAATAAAATTCAACATCCCTTCATGTTAAAAACTCTCAGTAAACTAGGTGTTGATGGAACATACCTCAAAATAAGCCATGTAAGACAAACCCACAGCCAGTATCTTACTGAATAGGCAAAAGCTGGAAGTATTCCCCTTCAAAACTGGCACAAGGATGCCCTCTTTCCCTACTCCTATTCAACATAGTATTGGAAATTCTGGCCAGGGCAATCAGGCAAAAGAAAGAAAGAAAGGGTATTCAAATAGGAAGAGAGGAAGTAAAACTCTGTTTGCAGGTGACATGATCCTATATCTAGAAAACCTTGTTGTCTCAGCCCAAAAGCTTCTTAAGCTGATAAGCAACTTCAGCAAAGTCTCGGGATACAAAATCAAAGTGCAAAAATCACAACTATTCCTATACACCAACAGTAGGCAAGCAGAGAGCCAAATCATGAATGAACTCTTATTCACAACTGCTAAAAGAGAATAAAATACCCAGAACTATAGCTATTAATAACAAGGGAAGTGAAGGACCTCTTCAAGGAGAACTACAAACCACTGCTGAAGGAAATCAGAGAGGACACAAACAAATGGAAAAACATTCTGTGCTCATGGATAGGAAGAATCAATATCATGAAAATGGCCATATTGCCCAAAGTAATTTATAAATTTAATGCTATTCCCATTAAACTACTGTTGACATTCTTCACAGAATTAGAAAAAAACTTTAAAATTCATATGGAACCAAAAAAGAGTCCATATAGCCCAAACAATTCTAAGCAAAAAGAACAAACCTGGAGGCATCACACTACCTGACTTCAAACTATACTACGAGGCTACAGTAATCAAAACAGCATGGTACTAGTACAAAAACAGACCAATGGAACAGAATAGAGATCTCAGAAATAAAACTGCACATCTACAACCATCTGATCTTCAACAAACCTGACAAAACGAGCAATGGGGAAAGGATTCCCTATTTAATAAATGGTGCTGGGAGAACTGGCTAGCCATGTGCAGAAAATTGAAACTGGACCCCTTCCTTACACCTTATACAAAAATTAACTCAAGATGGATTAAAGACTTAAATGTAGAACCCAAAACGATAAAAACCCTAGAAGAAAATCTAGGCAATATCATTAAGGACATAGACATGGGCAAAAATTTCATGATGAAAACATCAAAAGCAATGGCAACAAAAGCAGAAACTGACAAATGGGCTTCTGCACAGCAAAAGAAACTATCGTCAGAGTGAACAGACAACCTACAGAATGGGAGACAGTTTTTGCAATCTATCCATCTGACAAAAGTCTAATATCCAGAATCTACAAGGAATTTAAACAAATTTACAAGGAAAAAACCCATTAAAAAGTTGGCAAAGGGCCAGGCACAGTGACTCATGCCTGTAATCCCAGCACTTTGGGAGGCTGAGGCAGGTGGATCACGAGGTCAGGAGATCGAGATCATCCTGACTAATTTGGCGAAACCCCATCTCTACTAAAAATGCAAAAAATTAGCCAGGCATGGTGGTGTGCGCCTGTAGTCCCAGCTACTCAGGAGGCTGGGGCAGGAGAATGACGTGAACCCAGGAGGCGGAGCTGGCAGTGAGCCGAGATCACACCACTGCACTCCAGCCTGGGCGACAGAGCGAGACTCCGTCTCAAAAAAAAAAAAAAAATATTGGCAAAGGACATGAACAAACACTTCTCAAAAGAAGACATTTATACAGCCAACAAACATGAAAAAAAGCTCAGTGTCACTGACCATTAGAGAAATGCAAATGAAAACCACAATGAGATACTGTCTCATGCTAGTCAGAATGGTGATTATTAAAAAGTCAAGAAACAACAGATGCTGGTGAGGCTATGGAGAAATATGAACACTTTTACACCGTTGGTAGGAATGTAAATTAGTTCAACCATTGTGGAAGACTGGTGAAATCCTCAAAGACCTAGAACCAGAAATAACATTTGACCCAGCAATCCCATTACTGGGTATATACCCAAAGGAATATAAATCATTCTGTTACAAAGATACATGCATGTGTATGTTGATTGCAGCAGTATTCAGAATAGCAAAGACATGGAATCAACCCAAATGCCCATCAGTGATGGACTGGATAAAAAAACATGGTACATATACACCATGGAATACTATACACCCATAAAAATGAATGAGATTGTGCCCTTTGCGGGGACACTGATGGAGCTTGAAGCCATTTTCCTCAGAAAGCCAAACACCACATGTTCTCACAAGTGGGAGCTGAACAATGAGAACACATGGACACATGGAGGAGAACAACACACGCTGGGGCCTGTTGGTGGGGTGGGGGTCAGGCGGAGGGAACGCATCAGGATAAATAGCTAAGGCATGCGGGGCTTAACACCTAGGTGATGGATTGATAGGTGGAGCAAACCACGATGGCACATATTTACCTATGTAACAAACCTGCACATCCTGCACTTGTATCTCAGAACTTTAATTTAATTTTAAAAAAATATAAGAAATACTCATTTTTGTCTTAAAGCCAATAATGTGTTATCAGATTAGAAATTATTCTTGTTTGTGACTTTGCAGAACCCTTCCATCTGGCCTAATGATAGCATTATTATTTTTTAAAGAATGAAGCCCTTTCTTAAAAGCCTAGTTGACTAGGGATATCAAGTGGACACAGCTGACAGAACTTTGTACTAGAAAGGAGGGAGGATACAGAATGTCTCTTCAGGTACAGTACTAACTTATTTCAAATACCATAGATCTTGAAATGAATAAGCCACTTTGAAAATTCTGTTACCAACGCTTAACACTCTGCAGCTTAAGGAAGAGAGAAAGTTTTATAGCCCTGTTATGCATCAAATACCGTTTTTCTACCAGAGATCACAGCCTTGGCTTGCTGTTGTTTTCCTTTTCTCCATAATCAAGTGAATTTCCTTATGTGTAAAACCTTCTTTAATTTTAACAGAAATGGTGCTCTTAAGACATAATGGGTTAATGGAGCTGAGTTAAAATCCACTTGCCATCAGTTACTGCCCTGGTCTATGGGAGTTTTCCTAGTGTATTAAATTTGCTTCTTATATATTTTTTTTTATTTCTTCTTTTGCAAACATGTTTTGAAATATTTCAGACATACTGCTAGACAAAGAATAATAAACACCTCTGTTCATACTGTCCTGCTTGTGAGTTAAAACACTGGCAATAGAGCTAAAGCTTCTGGAGACCCTTCTCTCACATCTGCCCATCACTTTCAGTCATTGGTTTCAAATACTCTTTCTTTTTTTTTTTGAGATGGAGTCTCACTCTGTTGCCTAGGCTGGAATGCAGTGGCGCAATCTCGGCTCACTGCAACCTCCACCTCCTGAGGCTGGTCTAGAACTCCAGACCTCAAGTGATCTGCCCGCCTTGGCCTACCAAAATGTTGGGATTACAGGTGTGGCCACTGCACCCTGCCAAATATTCTCCCTCTCTCTCTTTTTTTTTTTTTTTGGAGACAGAGTCTCGCTCTGTCGCCCAGGCTGGAGTGCAATGGCGCAATCTCTGCTCACTGCAACCTCCACCTCCCGTGTTCAAGCGATTCTCCCTGCCTCAGCCTCCCGAGTAGCTGGGATTACAGGTGCACGTCATCACGCCCGGCTAATTTTTGTATTTTTAGTAGAGACAGGATTTTGCCATGTTGGCCAGCCTGGATGTTCTCTCATTTTTAAAAAGCAGTTTCACTTTAGACACCAAAAGCAAGTGTCCAATAAATGCTGAAGAAGAAAAATATTTTATTAGGTTATTTGCCCTTTCCTCTCTAACTTGAAAATACATTTTCTCAGGAAAAGGTAGAATCCTCAGATTTGTCCATAAACCAAGGGTCCCTTAAGAAATTTTCTTTGTGTTACAGTGAAAATGACTATTTTGACAACTTGGAAGATAAGGAGCTAGGCTAAGTCTTATTCTAGTCTATCCTGTCTGTCACCAGGAAGATTTCCTACCTTCCCAAAGGTTAGTGCTCCACTTCACCCCTATGTGGATTTATGTCTTTGAAAATTACTGCTCATGGCAGGTAGGTCCTGCAATTGGTCCTTTTATTTATCTTCAACTTTCTGGCCTGTGGAGGTTTTTTAGGAGTGCCTGGAGCACTTAGAACTGACTAGAATATCCCTCTTTTACTTTCCCTAGAAATATCCTGTTATGCTTAGTTTTTTTGTTTTTTTTTTTCTTTACCTGTTCATTCTGACTGACTTGCTTCTGTTAAAGATGACTTCGTCTAAAGAGTAATCTTAGGCTTAAGTTGTTCTTTTCTTCATTTGTTTTAGAAAGATTCAGGAGATTTATGATTTAAATTTTGACGTTGTGATCATTACAATTAAAACACATTTTAAACTAATAGTAAAAATATTTTCTACCTAAGAGAAACAGGGCTAAACCTATTACAAAGGATGGCTCACTGTGGAAATAACTGATTGTCATGATGTGGTGAGTTTTGCTTTACTCCGCTAATGTGGCTACGTGACGCTCCTTCTGGTCTTAACTGCCTGGACAAATCATAGTGGCCTTATAGTAGCTGGTACTGTTGGAAGACTGGCCTGTATTTCAGTGGATTTGCCAGCTTTTGAAGAACCCATGGTGATTTCTTCTGAGGTTTGCATGTTTTAACTTCCTTCATGCAAATGCTTTTAGTTACTAAGATTTTTATTTTATGTTGTGTGTTTTTCCATGGAGTATGGTCATTCTGTGTTTTGAGGGCAAGGCAGTGGGGTAAAGCTGAGTTGAAAAGCATAATATGGCTCATCTTTTCTTTTCTTTTTTTTTTTTTTTTCATTTTTTGCTGCTTTTATTTTACGAAAAAGCTAATTCAAATCTACATTAAACTAAGTTGAATACAAAGCCTTTGTGAAGAAGGCCTGGTAGTCTCATTTACAAAAATGGCCAGTGTCGTCTTTGGCCTTAAAATTTCAGGACGGGCACTTCAGATGGCTTCACATTTGCATGTTTCAGTGCTAGAGCATGGGAATAGACTTTGGCATCCACTGTAAGATGTTTTTCAGCTACGAGAGCATCGAGTCCCTGCAGCAGGTCATTCTTGGGTAACGAAATGACTTCCACAAATTCTCCATCCCCTGGCTTTGGCTTGGGCCTTACATTTTCTGCGTCATCTCCGTTAATGATTACTGTCACGATGTGTGTGGTACAGTTTGACAAACCTGGGTCCATATAGACCACTGGAGAACATTCAGCAGCGTCCCCTTTGTAGCCAGTTTCTTCCTCAAGCTCCCAAAGAGCAGCTGCTCCTGGGGTTTCACCATCTTCTATGAGTTCCCTGCAGGGAACTCTATGCAGTAGCCACCCATTGGTGGTCAGGACTGTTTCACCAGAACGATACACTCGTAGTGAAGCGTTCTCTGCAGCACAGGGATGACCGCTACATCATCACCAGTCTGTTCTTTCCTGGTTGTATGTTTCACTGAGTCCCAAGTTCCAGTTTTACCAATAGGAGCCATGTATGTTGTTTTTTCAAGTTTGACCCATTTTCCTTCTGAAATTAACTCCTCTGAAATAATATAGTGTTTCCATTCTGAGACAATTCAGTTGGTTCTTGGCTCTCCCTTTTCAAACTAGTCTTTACAGCCCTCAGGAGAGAAGTTCACCTCCAAAGTGTAGGGGTGACAAAGGGAAGAGGACAAAAGAACTACTGGAGGCAGCAGTGTCAGCATACGCCGGTGTCACGACTCAAGACATCGGCACCTCCCGAGGTGATGAAAGGATGTGCCATGGCTCATCTTTTCAAGTCAACTAGTATTTATCAAGCTGCTCTGTGGAAGGTGCTGGGGACAGGATGGTACCTGTCCTTAAAACCAGAATGATCAGACTCAGTGGAAAGAGAGTTACAAGAGTTACTTGAACAACTGTCTCTGATTATAAAATAAGATGGAGTGATAAATACACTAGAATAGAGTTATAGATAAGCTATTGAAAAAAATCCAAGAAGACTTCATGGCAGAGTTCTTGTTTGAATAGGACTTCAAAGTGTAAATAGGAATAGAAAAGGCTTGGAAGGACGGGAGAAGGGGGAGGTATTCTGGTTTATGAGTACATAAATAAGTACTTGGAAGCTTAGAAGTGCCTGGAATATCTGATGTGAGTTGAAGCATTGAGTGCATTAAAGAATAATAATTTGAGCCAGAGTCAAACTAGGCTTGATTCTTCAGGCCTGATATTGTTTCATGCCAGCAGAGGTGGGAGAGAGAGGGTTTCTCAGCTCATTGATGTAATGAGCCACTGTGACTAATGGAAATTGCGTATTCTTCAGGTAGGTTGGGGTGAAGTTCAGGTAGTTGAGAAATTCACAGCTCAGAGAGCCTGTCTTCCTTAGAGAGAGTATAAAAATTGACTCTCAGCCAGGCACGGTGGCTCACGCCTGTAATCCCAGCCCTTTGGGAGGCCGAGGCAGGCGGATCATGAGGACAGGAGATTGAGACCATTCTGGCTAACATGGTGAAACCCCGTCTCTACTAAAAATACAAAAAATTAGCCGGGTGTGGTGGCAGGCGCCTGTAGTCCCAGCTACTCTGGAGGCTGAGGCAGGAGAATGGCGTGAACCTGGGAGGTGGAACTTGCAGTGAGCCGAGATCGCGCCACTGCACCCCAGCCTGGGCGACAGAGCGAGAGACTCCGTCTCAAAAAAAAAAAAAAAAAAAAAAACAACTGACTCTCATTGTTAAGTAGTCAGAAAGAAGTCTCTTAAACAAGAGTACCAATATCAAAAGCTTCATTTTAGAGATTACTTTTGATGCATATATTGTAAAGCCACTTGTTTGAGATTTGAAGTAGTCAAGATTTTTCCCATATATGATTTACTTTATCTTGTGGTGGCTACCCAGTTAAATATATTCCTGAAGAGTGTTAATGTGAGGAAACTAAATTTTTTGAATTGAGTCATTTTAGATGAGCAAGAATTTTTTTTACTGATTTCTATTGTAATATAATTAATCTGATTATTTTAGAGCAAGACAGTATCCATCCCACCCCCATTCCTACTCTGTCCCATGAACATATGCTATAAGATTTTTTACTTGTCAACATCTTGAACTGAGAAGCCAGTATTAAAATCTTAACCTTTATAACACAATGATTTTTGCCATTTGCAGATGACAAAATTCCCTGTTATTCTTAATTTAGAAATAATGTGAGTGGACTTGTTTCTAGTTTGTTTTTGCTTGCTAAAGAACACAAGTTGTTTGGGTTTAGGGTGGGGTTTGGCGCACCTTTTCTGAAAGGGCCAGGTAGTTAATATTTTAGGCTTGGGAACCATATGGTAACTGTGCTTGTTGTAATTGGAAACACCTATAGACTGTACATAAATGAATGGGCATGGCTGTGTTCTAATAAAACTTTATATATAAAACAGGCAGAGCCTGGGGTTTGGTGACTCCAGCCTAGAATTTTCTTCCATTTAAGCTGATTTCATGTCTGAAAGAAAGTAAAAGACAGGATGTCAAATTACTGCATTAAGTTATTCCTATAACGTAGGCACCTGTGGCTTATAGAGACTGTTGTTTTTAAGTGCTGCTATGTTGCCTTTATATGTATAACCATAAGCAAAAATTTCTTTCATCCTGCTCTACCTTTTCCTCAAATATTTTGACTACCTGTCATGTACCAGATGTTAGGCTGGGGATAAATGGTGAAGAGGCAGAGTGGCCCCTGTCCTCGTAGAGCTGTAGACCAGTACAGGGGGCAGACAGTAAGCAAATAAAGTAATTCTAGGCTGTGATAAGCACTATGATGTTATCAAGCATGGTGCTGAGAGAGAATTGGGGGGTGGGGTGTTATGTATATAGAGTGTTGAGGGGAGGCCTCCCTTAGGAGGTGAAGTTGAAGCTGAGACCTGAAGCCAAGAGGATTTAGTCATGTGAAAAACCTGATGGGTCAGAAGACAGTCATCCTCCCCTTCTCCCTCCCTGGAATGTCAGTCAGTATAAACGTGGATAAACTGTTCACATTTTCAGAGGAAATATTAAAAGCTATTTTATAATATTTTTCCCCCTCTTTTTAACTTCCTTTTTAGGTAAGATTAAAAGCAATGAGAACAAACAAATTTTTGTCTTCTGGTTAACACATGCACATACATTCTGAGTATACATTGAAGTGTTAGCTACCAGGATAAAAGTTATGGCATTGTGGCCTATTATTTAGAGCCTTTGGGATGTGTGAAGTTTGTTAAGCATTGTTCATTTGCATTTTATAAGGTTGAAACCGCCTGTATTTGCGTTCTCATGGCGCTCCTAAAGGAACATGCGATGGGAGAGCGCCCTCTGCTGGCGACTCTCCCTCATAGTGCCTGCTATAGCCAGTGTGAGAGGCGAGGCTTCCCTTTCCAGAGGGTGTGCTCCAGTGGTCAGGCTTTGGGGTCTCACAGGCCTTCCACTGTCATATCACAAGCTCTTTAGGTCACGCTTGGGAGAATATTCATAAATAGACTTGTACATCCCTAGCTCCTGTCTTCTGCTGCTTTTTTCCTTATCTGTGGCCCTCTAATTATCAGTGCACTTTGCTGAACTGGTTACTGACACTGTGATGGCAGATGAAGAGGGCAGTGTAAACTGAGTGAAGCTCTTGTGTTTTCACCTGCTGTCTTTGGCAGCTAAGAACCAGCTAAAGTTGCCTCACTTTACTGATACATGCTGTTGACAGATGCATAAAATGAATATAAAGTGGATATGTGTTTGGTAGCATTTTGAATCTTTGTACAGGAGGAGCATGCCCTACGTGAAGTGATCATCCTGCAGGAGCCTTGACCTAGAGGGATTCACCGTGTTGGCTAGGTTTGGGGTGTTTCATTTTTGTTCTCGGTGTGTTCTGTTTGTTTGTTTTTGTTTTGTTTGTCATTGTTTGTTTTTCATTTTTATTTTGTCCCAACATTTTCCTTTATGGTCCACCATTAGATATTGATCAGTTGAAGCTCATTTTAAGACTCGTTGGAACCCCAGGGGCTGAGCTTTTGAAGAAAATCTCCTCAGAGTCTGTGAGTTGATGCTTTGTAATTATCTGCCCTGTTGGGAGCCTCTGCCACTTGCCTTCTACCAATCTGTACTTTGACCTGGGTGTGTTTGTAAGCACACATGCCCTTTGTGTGCTGACTTCCCGGATGAGTGAGGTATAAGACAGTGTGAGTGTGTGTGTGCGTGCACGCATGTGTGCCTGCTTGCATGCACAAGTGTGTTTTATTCTCTATCTGGGTACACACTAAGATCACGGGAGCCTCCATTAGACAATAGTATCCCAGTAAAGCAATGAGATTTGAGATTCTAATTCATTCCAAGAGATTAATGTAAACTTTGTGTCTCTGTCCTCAAGACCTGACTTTCTTCTTTCTCAGAAGTTTCACGTATGCTCTAGAGCTCTTTTCACTGTTTCTAGTGTTTGTTCTCAGAGCATGAGCTTCACCATGTATTTAGTTTAACTTAATCACTAAAAGAATAAAATGTACATTGTCTGCACACTGTTGCCCCTTCCCAGAAGTTATTTTTTATTGTTTTAGAATAGATACTCACATATCCTATGTAAAATGTTTGTTCCCAACAGAGGGACCTTTCTACCCAGTCCCTAGACCCCACTCAGAAGAAACAGCTTCACTCCTGATACCTCAGATACACAGGAATGTGGTTATAAATTTTCCTCCTATTGCCTTGTAATTATAAGTTAGATAACCTGAGACAGAGTTTGGAACTAGTGCTTTCTTGCTTCTAAGCAGGGACTTAGACAGAAGCCATGGGAATGTGAGTCTGGCTTACTTTTGCTATGATTTCCTGCTCTTGGTCATTTTCTTGGGCCAGAGGCATGAGAGAAGCCATGAAAGCCCAGCTTTTCTTTTTCCCTCGATCTGCTGCCAGGCAGTTGAACAAAAGAAAAAAAGAGCTATGGAGCCAAGCTCCAGTTATGCCTTCCTGGATTCTCCTCCCAACATTTATGACTGAAGGGGCCCTTTGCCTAGTTGGGAAGATGGCTGGGTAGCTTGAGGCAAGCATAAGCAGGTGAGTTGGAACCGTTCATCATCTTCCTGACAAAATAAAGAATACCGTCATCTGGTATGTATCCGGTACATTTCTTGAAAGGATCCCAAAGCCCAGTGTATTTCTGAACCTCCACTCTGAATTTGTTTCATTTACTTATTTAAGATAAAGAAGCAAAAGCCCAGAAGGGCAGTGACTTTTCCATGTCATGCACTGAATCACGTGGCAGAGCTGAGTATAGATCCCAGATGTTCTGATAACATGATCCAAACTATAATCCCATGTGATTACACACTATTTTGAAAGTCATTGTCAGTGTTACCACAATGTCAACCTAAAGAGGTATTTTTTTCTCCTTTATGATATGTAGAAGCTGAATTAGAGTGAATCAAAGATATCAGATGATGCTTAGAAAGAGCAGTACTTTTTTTTTAATGTTTTTGCTTAGAAACACTGTCTTACAGTAAGAGGACCTAAGGGCAGAGGGAGGAGCTCAATTAATAAATAGTGCTAATGAGACCAAGCAAATTCATTTCCTTCCTGAGAGTGTCTCCTAGCAGCCCTTTCTTAGTCTTCTCTTCCATCCCAACCATCTGCCCTATAGATACGTGCTATTAGTCATTTGGAATTGGATTAGGAATTCAAACCAAAGTCTAGGTAAAATAGTCAATAGTATTTATCTGTCATTAATCCATCACTTATTTTTAAGAAAGAAACAATGAGTGCACAGCCTAATAATGGAGGTCTCTCTGTGAAATGAGGCACATTATACATTTCAACAGCTCTACTGAAATTGAGTACCAGAATACAGAACTTAACTCAAATAATATTATATTGAGTATAAGAATAAGAAAGGTTTTTTTTTTTGGTTTGTTTCCTACATAATTGGGGTGAGTGGATAAAAGTAGTTTAAACATCCTAAGGGGTAGACAAGATTAATTTGATGTTCGTGACACGGCCCAAGTACCTGTTTATCTTAAAAGCGCATGATGTATGGGAACAGAATGGAAAAATAAGGCCAGGTGAGTAAAATTGTTCAGAGATTTTAAAAATTAAAAAAAGAAAAAAGACATTAGTGAAGGAGTGCAGTAAATAGCCAACAGCTGTTTTCATTCTCCTGAAAAGTAGTGAAGTAGTGATGGCAATAATTATGAAGAAATTGAATGCCGAGTAAGAGAATGCAGTAATGGATTTAGAACCTATTAGAATGAGCCATAGGAAAAGGTATAAATGGGTTGTGATGGAGGCCAAGGACAGAGAATTCATTTGGTTAATGTCCCAGTATCTATAATAATCAGTGAAAGAACAAGAAAATCATATTAAGAAAGCAAAAGCAGACTGGGCACAGTGGCTCACATTTGTCATCACAGCACTTTGGGAGGCTGAGGCAGGAGGATCACTCGAGGCCAGGAGTTTGAGGCTGCAGGGAGTGGTGATCATGCACTGCACTCCAGCCTGGGCAACAGAGCAAGACCTTGTCTTTAAAAATAAATAAACTAATTAATTAAATTAGATAAAAAAGCGAAGACCTGACTCATTCACATTTTCCTCCAGAAATAGAATCTTTCTAACTTCTTGACAGAAAGGGGATATAATAACCTCTTTGACTAAAGGAGACAAAGACAGAAAATGTGCAGGCCAGGTATCATTCACAGAAAGAAAGGGGAAGTGGAGGATTTTTACATTTTAAGACCCAACTGGTATTCTGCTATTGCTGGTTTACTTTGTGGCCCCTTTTTGTTATTTCCCTTGGCATGAAAAGTATCATTTGTTATGTGATTTGTTAAAGGTAACTCTAAATTCTGTTATCTGTACTCCTAACAAAATAAAGAATTCCATCATCTGGTATGGATCTGTTAACGTTTCTTAAAAGGACCGCAAATCAAAGTGTATTTCCTATCCCCTTTTGGAATTTACTGGCCTCTGTCTTTGGGCTTAGGGAGCGTAAAAGGCAGCGTGGAGCACATGGCTCTAGCTCCCTCCCTGTGGCCAGCCTTAAACAGATTACTGCTAAGTCATCTGACCACTAGGGAGTTCAGTTCAGAGGACGAGCTAAAGTAGAAAAATTATTTGGGAAAGCCATGAAGTAAAATTGCTTGGCCATGGTGCTTATTAAAGATGACACTTCACCTGAATGAGGGAATTAGTAGTTAACAAGAACAGGACTAGAAAAGGGGTTTATTGAATTACATTGAATATTTTTAAAATCTCATCACTTCTGCTCTTAGTAGGAACATGATAAACAGTTCTGACATTTTAGAAGAGGGTGAGTTGTATTAACATTGATGGAACAGTTAAAAGAGAGAAGTTGTAGTACAGCTTACATATGTGCCTATACATATAGAAAATCTCATAGTTCTGCCCTTATCAGATGCTTGCAGAGTATTCTGCAGACTTCCCTCCAGCTGTTTGTTAAATGAGGTTAGTCTGTTCGCTAGTTGAAGAGACTTGTGGAGGAAATCATGTGGCATGCTTTAACACTCTCAGCAGCCTGTGACTTCTGTTTTGCCTTTGCCATTAGCCTCTAACCTTCTCCTCTTCTCCTCTTTCTTCATTTACCATTTTGTGTTTGTGGCAAGTATTTTAAATGTACCACTAACTAATGTCTTTGAAATGTGGCATTGCTTATTAACCCAGATGCCCACGTGTGTCTTAATTCGGAGGGATGGTGCCTTGGAGAACCTGTGCCGCAAAAGTTTAGTCTCTTCCTTGAATGGATATGTTGGATATTTTATTTTGTTCAAAGTTGAGTCAAAATTTTTGGAATCATCTATATTTCTCCCACAAACAGGTTTTGGCCATCAGTACTTGAAAACAGTTCTATGGCTGGCATCCTGGATCAAGGGGCAGTCTGTTTCCAGGGAACCTAAAATATTTAACAGTAAAGATGATGCTAAAACCAAAGAAAAGTAATTTTTCTTATCTGCATGGCCAGTCACTGGCTACGTGCCTAGTTACTCATGTCATTCACAGAAGTGTACTGTAGCATGCAGCTGTGGGCTCTCGGGTAGGGGGAATGGAGGGTAGGTTTTTTTGTCTGTTTGGGGGTGGCTTTTTGACCTTTTTAAAAACTTGAGTTGAAAATTATTTTTTGCACTGTATGTTTAACAATGCCCTTGACTAGGCATCTAAGATATTAACCAGCTTCAGCAGATTATGCGTCTGACAGGAACACCCCCCGCTTATCTCATTAACAGGATGCCAAGCCATGAGGTGAGAACAAAGAGACTGTACAGGGATGTCGCACTGAGAAGCCACATTCTCATTTTATTGCCACCGTATAACCAACAGTTCTTAACATCACTGGATGCTTGCATGTGCCTTGAGGCCTGCCTATGTGCTATTGCAAGATGTTGACTTTTGGGATAAAATGTCATCCAGTCCTGTGAGATTGGGAATATAATTAGTAAGCTTGTAAATGGAAAATTGTTATTTTTATATTTGGTTGTGTGAATTTAGTGCTTGTGAGGCGGTTTCTTTCTAGGTGCTCTGCCTGTAGCTAGGGTGTGCTACTATCGTGACCTTTATCAGAAGGGTAGTTAACTGAAGTCCATTAGCATGCTTTCCAATTCATCCATTTTTTTAATGACCAAAAGAGGATTCTTTATTTAAAAACAAAACTGAAATATCCAATACTAATATGTACTATATTTAAAAGAAAATACACAAATAATATAGAATAAATACAAACACTTTGGTACAGTTAGGTACCTTCTTTATTAATTATTAACTACTTAGTCTAACTCTTGTTTTATTATCAGAGATGATTGGGGCACTTCTTTCTTTGTAAGATACCCTTAATATTTTGGGGAACCAGGTTGGCATCACAGAGGGCCCTTCCCAGCAGCTTTGTTTCTACTTCAGCTATATTCAGGTCGTCTTTTGATTTATCTTTATTAAAGGGATGACTGTTCTCTGAATGAGATAGTTCTCTCTTACCTGTTTTCCCTTCCTCTTTTTATTTACATGTTCAAGTAGAAAGGGATTACAGCCATTTATGTATTCAATTCCTAAAACTTTCTTTTCAAATCAGAAAGATTCTCAATTGCTTTTCAAAGCAGACCTTTCCTCCTGACTCCACATGCAATAATTAAGAAGCGGAAGGCTGGGTGTGGTGGCGTGCACCTGCAACCTCAGCACTTTGGAAGGCTGAGATGGGAGGATCAGTTGAGCCCAGGAGTTTGAGACCATCCTGGGCAACACAGCAATACTGCAGCTCTACAAAAAAATTTAAAAATTAGGGCATGATAGCACATGCCTGTAGTCCCAGCTACTTGGGAAGCTGAGGCAGGAGGGTTGCTTGAGTCAGGAGTTAGAGGCCATAGTGAGCTGTGATTGTGCCAGTGACCTCCAGCCTAGGCAACAGAGCAGAGACTGTGTCTCTAAAAAAATTTTTTTAATAAATAAAGAAGGTGAACTTGCCCAAGCAACCAGATTTTTTTTTTTTTAAGACAGGATCTTAACTCTGTCACCCCAGCTGGAGTGCAGTGGCACGATCTTAGCTCACTGGAACCTCCACCTCCTGGGCTCAAGCTTCCTGGGCTCCATCTCCCTGCTCAAGCGATCCTGTTACCTCAGTCTCCCAAGTAGCTGGGACCACAGGCATGCGTCACCACACCTGGCTAATTTTTTGTATTTTTGGAGACAAGTTTTCACCATGTTACCCAGGCTGGTCTCAAAGTCCTGGGCTCAAGCGATCTGCCCACCTTGGCCTCCCAAAGTGCTGGGATTACAGGCGTGAGTCACCGTGCCTGGGCAACCAGAACTTTTTATAAACTTGTGTGTGTATGTGTAAACATAAATATACATACATACTTTTACTGTTGGACTGTATTAAAACAGGAGTTTTAAAGAGGTGGTTAAGATAGACAGCAGACTTTGCTTCTGAAGGTGATAGTGGGATAGCAGATAATGTTTCTTGAACTGTCACTTGGAACCAAGTACTGTGTTAAGAAAGTACTAGGTTTGTTATCTCTAATCTTCACTCCAACCCTGTGAGGTAGGACTGTTATATTAAGTTTATATTAACTTTTTTGTTACCACCGTTACTTTGTTAGCAAGGTTTAATATTGATATCCTTTGATGTACTAAGAGCACCTACTGAAGTCAGCACTGTCAAAAGACTGCTGGTCCAAGACTTGCTTTGGGAATACCAACCCCTCTACCAATTTAGCTGTTTGAGAAGGCTGTCTCAGGGCTACTTCTTACATATCTTGGCCTCAGTTTTTAAACTTCTCATCCTGTGATCAGAAAGCTAATGAAAGAGAATTTGATTGATGAGCATTCTCGTTCACTTGAAATGCAACTGTGAGAGATAGCAGGAATAAAGAAGGTGATGATCATAACTAGGGAAGTTAGGATGGCAGTAAGGGAGAAGTTCTATCAAAGACAGTTAGAAACACTGAAGTTAGTGGACTTTGTCAGTTAACACTCGTTCCTTAGCAGGACCAAGATTCTTTCTTTGAGAGCAGTAACATTATTGAACAAAGTCATTCTGAAAACCCTTGTTTTTTCAGGCAAGAAACTATATTCAGTCTTTGACTCAGATGCCGAAGATGAACTTTGCGAATGTATTTATTGGTGCCAATCCCCTGGGTAAGTTGACCATATATCCTCACCTCATGGATATTGAATTGGTTATGATATAAATTGGGGATTTGAAGAAGAGTTTCTCCTTTTGACCAAATAAAGTACCATTAGTTGAATCTTGGAAGGTGATAAATACGGCTTTTATTATCTATTTGTGTTGTCAGATTTTTTTTTAATCACATGAGATGATTGTATGTTTAAATGATCACAGAACTTGGGATTGGGGGAATGGGCAGGTACAGTGGAGAAAGGAGAGAAAGTAATGGGAATGTTGAGAGAAAAGATTGGTGAGGCAGGAAGAAGCAGATACAGAAGAAAGCTGTAACTTGCTCACAACTGCTGTGGATTTATGGTGTCTCTGAGTGGAGGACAGAAACCACTGAAGTGCAGGTGGGTGTTTAGAGGAGCCACCCAGGAGCTCCCTGCAGGGTGCTCTGCTCTAACGGTAGCTGCCGTTGCTACAGATCCTGTCGTCTTCCACACTCATGAACTTTTCCCCTCTCCTCTTCTTTCTCTGCCCTCAGAGGCATAACCGTCCTCTCCTGTTTGTGGAGCTTATTTGCTACCTAAACTTAAAGGAATGGCTTCCTATGCCTTCAAGATCCTTGGCAGAGGGAAGTGATGGTGGCAGCTGAAGATATGTGTTGCCTTGGCTAAAAAAGGAGTTGCTTTATTATTATTATTTATTTATTTATTTATTTATTTATTTTGGTAGTGTCAGGGTCTCGCTCTTTTACCCAGGCTAGAGTACAGTGGCACAATCATAGCTCACTGCAAGCTTGAACTCCTGGGCTCCAGTGATCCTCCTGCCTCAGCCTTCCAAATAGCTAGGACTACAGGCATGCATCCCCAAGCCTGGCTAATTTTTTAAAGAATTCTTTGTAGAGACAGGGTCTCACCATCTTACTAATCGTGGACTCCTGGACTCATGCAGTCTGCCCACTTCAACTTCCAAAAGTGCTGGGATTCAGACGTGAGACACTGTGCCTGGCGGACTATATTCTTTGAAGGGGAGGAGTGATGTGTGCTTCAGATGGCCCCTGAAAGCTGCTTTGCCTGAGGCTCATTCCCTGACTCTTGAAGAGGACAGTGGACAGTGCTGTTTAATGGTGGACACAGAAGGATCAGACCAGGACCTCCCTACAATAGGGAAGGGAGCTATGCTATGGTAACGAGTATAATCTGCCTTCTCACTTTTCTTAAGATTGTATTGTGTGGTGTGTTTTAAAATCTCACTGCATTTCTTTGCATCTGTTTGGGTCATCTGTCTTCTTAAGGGTCTTGGCAGCTATGCTTCAGGTTTAGTTTTATCTTTTTGAGGGCTGACAGCCATGCTGACCTCTTTAGAAGCTGGGGTGAAGGCTAGGTGATTTTACCTTTTTAAGTACTTCATCCATAGTGATTATGGAGAGGAATTTTAGTGTCGCTGTGATAATTCTTATAATAGCAGAGATACTCACGCTCTTTGAAGTTTTGGGCAGTTGTGGATGAGTTCGTGTCAGCCTTGGAGACAGAGAGTATGTCATATCTCAGCTGGGTCGCTCTCCTGCCCTAGGATGAATCCACAGTCTCATCAGGGGTGGGTACGATTCTACTGAGACTGGCTTAGGTTTGCATCTGCCCTGGCATGCTCTCATTGGCTTTGTGTGATTTATTTGAGCTGTATTATCTAGTTCAAGGGTCTGTGAGAAGCTCTCTTTGAGCCTTAAGTACTACAGGATGTTGGGAAAAGATGTTGTGTTCTTTCTTTCCTTTTTTTTTTGAGACAGAGTCTCGCTCTGTCGTCCAGGTTGGAGTGCAGTGGTGCGATCTCGGCTCATTGCAAGCTCCACCTCCCGGCTTTAAGTGATTCTTCTGCCTCAGCCTCCTGAGTAGCTGGGAATACAAGTGTGTGCCACCACACCTGGCTAATTTTTTGTATCTTTAGTAAAGACGGGGTTTCACCGTGTTAGCCAGGATGGTCTCGATCTCCTGACCTCGTGACCTGCCCGCCTCGGCCTCCCAAAGTGCTGGGATTACAGGCATGAGCCACTGCACCCAGCCCGTCGTGTTCTTTCTTGTCGTCATTCTGTTCTGAAGTTGTTTCATTTTATAAGCCTTAAGTTTTGAACAGGGCAGTACTCACTGACACCCTCTTAACAGACTCAGAAAGATGTGTTAATTCATTTTTTAGGGGGAGAGGGGAGATATTTGTGTTCCAGCAGCTTATTTAGGTCACATACCTCCTGATAGGTCTTCCCATTCTTTGAAATCATGACATTGAAACCTCCAAAAGAACTAGATACCACTTTGCTAATGAGTTGAAAGGAGGCTTTGGTCCATCTGGTGCTCAGCACTGTACTTCTCAGCATTTAAACGTGCCTTACAGCCCATTGCCAAACAGTGATGTCATATAATGAGGCTCCCCTTGCTGGGCAGATGGAGCACAGTGTTACTATCACAAGCTCGTGCCCAGCATATTAACTGAGCAGGAACATGCCAGAAATATAAATATTAACAGCTCTGTTTTGTCAGCCACTGACTTTGTTTCACTGCTATTCCCAAAACATGAATTAAAACTTAAATTACCCCTTGATGTTAGTGTATGTATTTATCTGTCAAGATTTTTTTTTTTTAAGAGATGGCATCTCACTCTGTCACCCAGGTTAGAGTACAGTGGCACAGTCACGGTTCATGATAACCTCGAACTCTTGTGTTTAAGTGATCCTTCCTCTTCCCTATCCCAAGTAGCTGAGACAACAGGCACATAATGCCATGCCCAGCTAATAAGATCTTTGAGGAATTTGTTCTTGCCCCTGACCTTATTGGTTATAAGAACATGGTCCTTTTTACCCTAAGGGTAACAGAGACTTGTCGTATAATCTGTGTTCAATTATAAAATCAACAGCTGATAAGGTTTCTTTTTCTAAGAAGAGAAGACCATCAGAAGAATATATATATATATAATCCAGGCATTCACCTAGTACTGTAAAGTGTAAACTTATGAACTTGAATTGACACATGAATATTTACTTTGTTTCTGTATCCCCTTGAAGCCCATATTTCTCCAGTGGATTACTCTGGAATTCAAGCTGTAGGACGGGTGTTTTACAGCCTCCAATATACACAGCAGTAGATCTCTATAGGAAGCTGTCCTCTTCACTACTCACCCCCACACCCTCCACATTTAAGGAGTAATTTGCAAAGTCTCAAAAGCCTTTTTCACCACAGTGATAACTGGTTATATGGCAGTATTTATTCTCCCAAGTGCCACCATGCTGAAACACAAAAATACTCATTTGAAATATAGAGTTAGACAAATTACCATTTTGTAACCCCTTATGAAATAATTGCTTTTGGGAAGGAAACCCAGTGAATGCAGAAAGCCATAAGTGAAAAGAATGGATATTTACTTGGTACCAAAATATCCCGCAGATTACTTGCTTTGGTCAAAGGGGAAACATCTTAACCCAGTGATCAATTTTAGCTCATTAGTAGTGGGACAGATGGCCTTAATGCACTGTCACGTGCACAGCATCACCTGTATTTTTGCTGAAAATGTTTAACCTGATTCTTACCAAAATTTTTGACCTAACTTCCGGTTTTTGGGAAGTACAGGGGATAGTGGAAAGCAGGGTATAGACACATGACAGCAAAAGAAGCAAAATCAGACACATCCCGAGAAACGGTCATTCTCAGGACAATCAGAGGGTCTCTTTAGATCAAAATCAGGAAAGAACAGGGCTTAGAAGTAAGAAGATTATTCTAGACTAAGAGAGACTAAAGAAAACCAGTCAGTTGCAGTGCATGGCCCCTAATTGAATCCTGGTTTCAACAAACTAGTTCTAAAAGACAACGTTGGAATAATTGGAGAAATCTTAACATGAACTGGATTTTAGATGATATTTAGAAATTATTTGTCAGAGATAATAACAGTATTATGATTATATAGGAAGATGTCTTCGTGTTGAAATATTTGGGGAGGGTAAAGTGTCATGTCTATAATTTTATTTTAAAACAGTTCAGAAAAAAATACATATAAATACAGAAATATAAAAATGTTAATTGTTGAATATGCTAGGCATATGAGTGTTCACTTTATCATAGTTTTTACTTTTCTGTTTCTGTATATTTGAAATTTTTCATAGTGAAATTTTTAAAAATAAAATTCCCTTTGATTTTAATACCATGTCTCACCCTCATCACCATGTAAAACCCCCAGTTTATTCACTGTTTGAAGATCTGTTGATGAATATTTGATGTTAGTAAATAAACAGCTTAGGGGGACAAAAAAAAAACAGCCCTGCCTACCTATTGTAGGTTACTTCAGCTGTAGGCTTTGTTTTATACAGTTTGACTACACTGGTAGCAGTTTGACATTGACGGTCCACAAAAGCCTGTTCAAACAGAATCCCAGTCATTTAAAAAAATTCTTCTTTAGTAACATATTCTTTAAAAATACAAAATACAGGAGGAGGGTGAGGGTTGAGAGATAACCTATCGGGTACAATGTTCACTATTTGGTTAATGGGCACGCTAGAAGCCCAGTCCCCATCAGTCCGTGGTGAGACCCATGTAACAAATGTGCACATGTACCCCCAAATCAAAAATAAAATAAAAAAATTTTAAAACATAGAAAATACAGATACACACACACACACACACACACATACACACATAAAGGAGAAGAGGGCTAATATATCCTAGAGTAGGTATTTTGGAGGAGAGTTCTTTGTTTGGATATGAAGGGTCAAAACTATGTTTGCTCAATAAGGCATACTTTTTTGTAACATGTTAAAAACTCTTTTCCTTCCTGTCTATGGTACTGATAGCTGTCGACTTGCTGGAGAAGATGCTTGTATTGGACTCAGATAAGAGAATTACAGCGGCCCAAGCCCTTGCACATGCCTACTTTGCTCAGTACCACGATCCTGATGATGAACCAGTGGCCGATCCTTATGATCAGTCCTTTGAAAGCAGGGACCTCCTTATAGATGAGTGGAAAAGTAAGTCCTAAGGGTAGGATTAACATCTTGAACCACTAACCAAAAGCGGTGGGAAAAATAAAAACTGAATGGTCATAACCAACTTGCTAAAGCTTGTAGATGAGGTCTCTAATGCAGAATGAATATGTTCTCTGGTGGAAACTGTTGTAGACAGTGATACTCTCTGGACCTTTGAGATACTTATGTCTGGTCTGATTTTATGCACAGCCCCTCACATAGGAGTTTTGCATGGAGAGTTGAGGTTTTCAGAGTCATTGCATTTACAACATCTCTCTGAGCTTTTACAGTTTTACAATTAGTAGAACTGGGGCAAAGAGAATTTATGTCTTATCAGTTAACTTAGAACTAGTTAGGGACATAGCCAGGAATGGAACCCATGTATCCTGTGTCCAGTCCCATATTCTTTCCACAAAACACAAGTTCAGAACTCTAGTTAAATCCCAAGAGCCAAGACCATCTGTTGCTGTAGCTTGTGAGAGTGCTCTTTCATTCTTGAGCACCTCCGTAGAGAGCTTAAAAGAAGAGGCACTCAGCGATGAAAAACATGAGAAAAAAAATGGTTCTTTTCTATGTCCCTTGAACTTCTGTGTGATAACGTGTTCCAGTAGGCTATTACATACAAGCTGTGAGGTAGCCCATCAAACCACTACCTGGACAGAGAGGAAGGATCTTGAGCTTAGAAGTCAGAGTGCTTGCCAGCAAAGAGAATAGCCTAAACTCTCACATCTTACTTTTCCTTCCCAATTTCTAGGCCTGACCTATGATGAAGTCATCAGCTTTGTGCCACCACCCCTTGACCAAGAAGAGATGGAGTCCTGAGCACCTGGTTTCTGTTCTGTTGATCCCACTTCACTGTGAGGGGAAGGCCTTTTCACGGGAACTCTCCAAATATTATTCAAGTGCCTCTTGTTGCAGAGATTTCCTCCATGGTGGAAGGGGGTGTGCGTGCGTGTGCGTGCGTGTTAGTGTGTGTGCATGTGTGTGTCTGTCTTTGTGGGAGGGTAAGACAATATGAACAAACTATGATCACAGTGACTTTACAGGAGGTTGTGGATGCTCCAGGGCAGCCTCCACCTTGCTCTTCTTTCTGAGAGTTGGCTCAGGCAGACAAGAGCTGCTGTCCTTTTAGGAATATGTTCAATGCAAAGTAAAAAAATATGAATTGTCCCCAATCCCGGTCATGCTTTTGCCACTTTGGCTTCTCCTGTGACCCCACCTTGACGGTGGGGCGTAGACTTGACAACATCCCACAGTGGCACGGAGAGAAGGCCCATACCTTCTGGTTGCTTCAGACCTGACACCGTCCCTCAGTGATACGTACAGCCAAAAAGGACCAACTGGCTTCTGTGCACTAGCCTGTGATTAACTTGCTTAGTATGGTTCTCAGATCTTGACAGTATATTTGAAACTGTAAATATGTTTGTGCCTTAAAAGGAGAGAAGAAAGTGTAGATAGTTAAAAGACTGCAGCTGCTGAAGTTCTGAGCCGGGCAAGTCGAGAGGGCTGTTGGACAGCTGCTTGTGGGCCCGGAGTAATCAGGCAGCCTTCATAGGCGGTCATGTGTGCATGTGAGCACATGCGTATATGTGCGTCTCTCTTTCTCCCTCACCCCCAGGTGTTGCCATTTCTCTGCTTACCCTTCACCTTTGGTGCAGAGGTTTCTTGAATATCTGCCCCAGTAGTCAGAAGCAGGTTCTTGATGTCATGTACTTCCTGTGTACTCTTTATTTCTAGCAGAGTGAGGATGTGTTTTGCACGTCTTGCTATTTGAGCATGCACAGCTGCTTGTCCTGCTCTCTTCAGGAGGCCCTGGTGTCAGGCAGGTTTGCCAGTGAAGACTTCTTGGGTAGTTTAGATCCCATGTCACCTCAGCTGATATTATGGCAAGTGATATCACCTCTCTTCAGCCCCTAGTGCTATTCTGTGTTGAACACAATTGATACTTCAGGTGCTTTTGATGTGAAAATCATGAAAAGAGGAACAGGTGGATGTATAGCATTTTTATTCATGCCATCTGTTTTCAACCAACTATTTTTGAGGAATTATCATGGGAAAAGACCAGGGCTTTTCCCAGGAATATCCCAAACTTCGGAAACAAGTTATTCTCTTCACTCCCAATAACTAATGCTAAGAAATGCTGAAAATCAAAGTAAAAAATTAAAGCCCATAAGGCCAGAAACTCCTTTTGCTGTCTTTCTCTAAATATGATTACTTTAAAATAAAAAAGTAACAAGGTGTCTTTTCCACTCCTATGGAAAAGGGTCTTCTTGGCAGCTTAACATTGACTTCTTGGTTTGGGGAGAAATAAATTTTGTTTCAGAATTTTGTATATTGTAGGAATCCTTTGAGAATGTGATTCCTTTTGATGGGGAGAAAGGGCAAATTATTTTAATATTTTGTATTTTCAACTTTATAAAGATAAAATATCCTCAGGGGTGGAGAAGTGTCGTTTTCATAACTTGCTGAATTTCAGGCATTTTGTTCTACATGAGGACTCATATATTTAAGCCTTTTGTGTAATAAGAAAGTATAAAGTCACTTCCAGTGTTGGCTGTGTGACAGAATCTTGTATTTGGGCCAAGGTGTTTCCATTTCTCAATCAGTGCAGTGATACATGTACTCCAGAGGGACAGGGTGGACCCCCTGAGTCAACTGGAGCAAGAAGGAAGGAGGCAGACTGATGGCGATTCCCTCTCACCCGGGACTCTCCCCCTTTCAAGGAAAGTGAACCTTTAAAGTAAAGGCCTCATCTCCTTTATTGCAGTTCAAATCCTCACCATCCACAGCAAGATGAATTTTATCAGCCATGTTTGGTTGTAAATGCTCGTGTGATTTCCTACAGAAATACTGCTCTGAATATTTTGTAATAAAGGTCTTTGCACATGTGACCACATACGTGTTAGGAGGCTGCATGCTCTGGAAGCCTGGACTCTAAGCTGGAGCTCTTGGAAGAGCTCTTCGGTTTCTGAGCATAATGCTCCCATCTCCTGATTTCTCTGAACAGAAAACAAAAGAGAGAATGAGGGAAATTGCTATTTTATTTGTATTCATGAACTTGGCTGTAATCAGTTATGCCGTATAGGATGTCAGACAATACCACTGGTTAAAATAAAGCCTATTTTTCAAATTTAGTGAGTTTCTCAAGTTTATTATATTTTTCTCTTGTTTTTATTTAATGCACAATATGGCATTATATCAATATCCTTTAAACTGTGACCTGGCATACTTGTCTGACAGATCTTAATACTACTCCTAACATTTAGAAAATGTTGATAAAGCTTCTTAGTTGTACATTTTTTGGTGAAGAGTATCCAGGTCTTTGCTGTGGATGGGTAAAGCAAAGAGCAAATGAACGAAGTATTAAGCATTGGGGCCTGTCTTATCTACACTCGAGTGTAAGAGTGGCCGAAATGACAGGGCTCAGCAGACTGTGGCCTGAGGGCCAAATCTGGCCCACCACCTGTTTGGTGTAGCCTGCTAAGAATGGCTTTTACATTTTTAAATGGTTGGGAAAGAAAAAAAAAGAAGTAGTAGATTTTGTAGCATGTGATGTAAGTAATGTAAAACTTAAATTCCAGTATCCATAAATAAAGTTTTATGAGAACAGAGCCGCACTCATCTGTTTATGTATTGTCTGTGGCTGCTTTTGTGCTACAGTGACAGAGGCAAATAGTTGCAGCAGAGACTATAGGACCTCCAAAATGTCAACCATTTACCATCTGGCCCTTTAGAGAAGTCTGCTGACCCTTGGCCCAGGGCTACAGTTTTCTCATCTATAAAGTGAAGTTCAGGTTTTTTTCATCTTTGACATTTGAGACTATCTATAAGCCATATATTTTTATTATAAAACTGCCAGAGAGAAGGTTTGGTTTGTATATATAGGTGTACATTGTTTGTAAGCTTTTAGGCGAATGTATTTTATGACTCTGTTTTGTCTTAGCTGGCTACGGTCCTTGAAAATATTCTTCAGAATGACTGAATTGCATCACGGGATGAAAGAGCCACGGGGTCTCACAGCTGAGTTCTCAGGGACTTTGCTGATGTGCTTCCTTTCTTGGTGTCCTTGGAATGACACCCAGCAGGTGTCCCAGGGTGGATTGTGGGGCTCAGCCTGTGAGGATATTGAGAGCTGGGTTTTTGTCCAGGCCCTGGCTGGCAGCTGGGAATGAAGGCAGTGATCGAAGGCAGACCAAGCATAGTCTCCTTTCCATCCCCAGTGACTTCGTAAGGAGGTGAGAGAAAAGGGCCCCGGTTGTTACATGGGGTCCTTTAGCTCCTGTTAAGAATCAGACAGTTGGCCGGGCGTGGTGGCTCACGCCTGTAATCTCAGCACTTTGGGAGGCTGAGGCGGGCAGATCACGAGGTCAGGAGATCGAGACCATCCTGGCTAACACGGTGAAACCCCGTCTCTACTAAAAATACAAAAAATTAGCTGGGCGTGGTGGTGCATGCCTGTAATCCCAGCTATTCAGGAGGCTGAGGCGGGAGAATGGTATGAACCAGGGAGGCGGAACTTGCAGTGAGCCAAGATCATGCCACTGCACTCCAGCCTGGGTGACAGAGTGAGACTCCGTCTCAAAAAAAAAAAAAGAATCAGACCGTTGTAGGGAGTATTTTGCCTTCACATACCAGACATGAGACATGAGAACAGCCTTCCTCCTAGGCTTCTGAGAAGAGGGCCTGCTTAGCCCAAAGAGAGCTGACACCACAAAAAGCTCCCCTGAAGTGAATCCACTTAAAACGGGGACCAAAATTTCATATGTGGTGGACACTGGGGGATAGGGGAAACCTGAATGGAACTTTAATCATGAAAATGGAACAAAATGACAAAAGCATGTTCATAATTTTAAAGATATATTAATTCTGACAAGGAAATTAAGTTGTTTTTGAAGTGAAACTGATTTTGTATCTTACAATAATTTTCTCATTTGATTTTTGCAACGTGATCATAGAAGGAAGTTTTGCAAAAATATTTGAGGGCTTCATCAGTTTTCAGAAGGCCTCTTGATATTTTGATATTCACATTCTTTTTTATAAGTATCTATCGGTGATCACCTCCTCAACTTTCCTTTTATTGTTAACTGGTCTGAGTCTGTCACCCACACTTTTCAGAGCTTTTGCTTAAGGTTTGAGCAGTTTTCTAGCATTATTTATCAACTTCATCAAATCCACCACCATTTGCAAGATTTGTGATTATTGCAATTAAGTTGCATTCTATTTGTGTCATTTGTCATATGCTTACAGTATAACCATAGAGACTAACAGAAGACCAGAATACAGTGGGCAGGATAAATACATTGGCTTCAGGTACTTAAGAAGCAAAGAGGGACTAACTTTTTATAAATAGCTCATTAGTGAATGTTTTCACATTGGGATGACTTTCACTTCTCTATATAATTTGGTAGCTGCAAGGACTTGGTTAATGAATATGCAAATAATAAAGACCCCCTTTTATTTATAATGCAGATATGTTTTAATAATGTACATGCCCTTTGAACTTAGCATTTACACTTCTCAGAAGTCTTCAGCCTGAGCAACATAGCTGGGGACTCTTGACTCTACATTAGCCAGGTGTGGTGGTGCATGCCTTGTAGTCCCAGCTGCTTGGGAGGCTGAGGTGGGAGGATCTCTTGAGCCCAGGAGTTCAAGGCTGCAGTGAGTCATGGTTGTGCCACTGCATTCCAGCCTGGGTGACATAGTGAGACCCTGTCTCATAAAAAAAAAAAAAAAAAAAAAAAAAGGTCTTAAGTGCACAAAGTAGAATGTTTTTCAGTGTCACATTCTTTGTACAGCAAAATACTGGAAGTAACCCACATATCTATGAATAAGGACTTGATTGAATAAGATGGTCATCTGTGCAGTGGAATACCATCCAGCTAGGCATGGATAGATGTGCAACATACATTGTGAAGGAGAAAAAGTCAGTGGCAAACTGTAGTATCCTAGCCCCCTTTTTTGTTGATAGGTAATGCCTGGCTAGGAAATGAATATACATTGAACTGTTAGCAACCATCTCTAGGCAGTGGGATTGTGCCCTTTAATTTTTATGCTATTTCTGTAATGTGTACCTTTTTTTACACTGAGAGTTTTGTTTTGTGATCAGAAGAAACCTTTTCTTTCTTTGTTTTGTTTTTTAATGAGAAAGGTGTTTAAAAGTCTATGTGACCTGGGGAACCATTCTCAAATTTCAGTTTTGCCAGGGCTAGAGCCCAGCCTTTCAAGGCAGGAGAACAGTTGCTGGAAAGAAATTGCACCCAGCTGTTAGGCCTCTGGCAAGCAAAGCCGCACCAGTACTTTGTAGCGGCATTCTCCACCCAGCTGGGAGGGTTTGGTTGTTTCTTCTTCAGTAGAAGGGTGTATTTTAAGGATCTTAAGCAGGATTTTTCAATTTTGGCACTATTGGCATCTCAGACCAGATAATTATTTGTTGTGGAAGCTGTCCTGTGCAGTGTAGGGTGTTAGGCAGCATCCCTGGCCTCTACCCACTAATGCCAGTAGCACTCATGCTCCCTTCCCCCAGTTGGGATAGCCAGAGATGTCTCCAGATGTTGTTGCCAAATGGCTTCTGGGGAACAAAATCATCCCTGGTTGAAAACCATGAATCTAACACTTCATCCCTCCTAATCTTGCAGAACACCAAAGCCTCTTTTCTTGAAAAAAGAGTTAACACCCACTGGCCTGTTGTAACTTAAAGAAGTAGTTTGGTGGCCGGGCACGGTGGCTCATGCCTGTAATCCCAGCACTTTGGGAGGCCGAGGTGGGCGGATCACCTGAGGTCAGGAGTTCAAAACCAGCCTGGCCAACATGGCAAAACCCTGTCTCTACTAAAAATACAAAAAATTAGCCGGGCTTGGTGGTGGGCACCTGTAATCCCAGCTACTTGGGAGGCTGAGGCAGGAGAATCGCTTGAACCTGGGAGGCGGAGGTTGCAGTGAGCCAAGATGACACCGCAGCACTCCAGCCTGGGCAACAAGAGTGGAACTCTGTTTAAAAAAAAAAAAAAAAAGTAGCTTGGCATCTTGGAGGAAAAGTACAAATTGGAAAGGCCTTTTTAGACTCAAATACATATTTTTAGGGGAAATATGTTTGGTACTGAATAAAGGTCATTTCATTTCTTAAAAAAAAACAGTAGGTTGAGTAAATTAAGTTATCCTTTGTTCAGAAGTTCTTTGCCATTATCCACAGGCAGAAAATCTGGTAATTAAACTGGGGGTATGACTACAAGATTTTCTTAGACCAGTAAGGAAATAACAAATCTCAATGTGCCTGGTGTGTTGTCGACACTCAAGATACTGGTTAGTCTGCATCTCACGAGTTGACAGGGGGCATCGAGGCTGTCTTGTTAGGGGGAGTTTGCAGCCTTCTGCATCTGGGAACAGTGTGTGTCTCTAAAGCCAACTGGGGAGAGAGCTTCTGAGGACAAATGGTCCTGAGGCAGTTTCTGGAAAACCCATTATTGAAGCCATAGGCTGTGGTCTAAGTACGCATAGCCAGTGGGATAATGTTATATTGCAGAGTTATTTGAGTAGTTCAATTTAAGGAAGGTGCTTTGTTTAGAAGTTATTATAAGTTAAATAAGGAAGTAACCTTCAGTTTGCAACTAAAAATAGAAACTGCCACCACCATTTGAGTGTCAGTTGCAGCAGAAAAGAAGAAGGTGTAAAACCACAGACCCAGCCTAGATTCTTAACAAAAACCAGTGGTTCTAAACTCTTGTCAGATCTATTACCCTTTGCATAACTAATATTTTATAATACCTCTTTTATAATGCTGAGGTGAAATTCATAGATAATTCACACAATTTCAAAGAAAATATAATGATCCAATATAAATGACAAAGGAAAAATACGAATACATTTCCATATATAAGTGCTGGCTGGGCATGGTGGCTCGCACCTGTAATCCCGGCACTTTGGGAGGCTGAGGCGGGCAGAACACTTGAGGTCAGGAGTTTAGGATGAGCCTGGCCAACATGGAGAAACCCGTCTCTACAGAAAATTTTTAAAACGTTAACTGGGGCGGGGCGCAGTGGCTTACACCTGTAATCACAGCACTTTGGGAGGCTGAGGCAAGTGGATCACTCGCCATCCTGGCCAACATGGTGAAACCCCATCTCTACTAAAAATACGAAATTAGTACAAGATAGAAAAATTAGTCAGCTGTGGTGGCACCCACCTGGGTCCCAGCTACTCAGGAGGCTGAGGCGGGAAAATTGCTTGAACCTGGGAGGTGGATCTTGCAGTAAGCTGAGATCATGCCACTGCACTCCAGCCTGGGCAACAGAGGGAGACTCCGTCTCAAAAAAAAAAAAAAAAATGAAAAAATAAAAAGTTATCTGGGCATGGTGGCACACACCTGTAGTCCCAGCTACTGAGGAGGCTGAGGCAGGAAGATTGCTTAAGCCATGGAGGTTGAGGCTGCAGTGAGCCATGATCATTCCACTGCACTCCAGCCTGGGTGACAGAGTGAGACCCTGTCTAAAAAAAAATAAAAAGTAAATTCTCAGGCATAGCTACATAAAAGAAATAATGAAGTAGTTAGATGCTTGTACCTATACATAGAATCACCTTGAATATGACAGCTCCAAATGCGTACTGATACAGTTGTGTTGTCTTGACAACTCAGATACCATGGCTGACTGCTGTCAGTCATGATTTTTCTGAAAGTGGTAAGCAACTCTTGGTAAAAATTTCAAACAAACAATTAGAATCTTTTTTTTTTTTTGGACAGGGTCTCAGTCTGTTGCCCAGCCTGGAGAACTTTTTTATTTACTCAGTTGTGATCCTGGGAAATGTAAGTATATTAATATGCAGAAAAGTATTTGTTTGATATGTAAAACCAAGTTACAGTCTAGGCTCAGATAATCATAAATAGTTTTTTCCACCTTCATGAATGTCCAGCAGGATGTTTGTAATGTGAAGCAATTCTTGTTAAGAATCCCACTCTGCACAGTGGCCCGTGCATGCTCATATCAGTAATACTCCTGATCAGTATGATAACCAAAAATGGCCCCAGAGATTTCAGTGCACCCGCTGAGAACTGCTGACAGATCAAATGACTCTGGGACACCTGGAGTCCTAAGAAGTGAAACCTCCACAATGCAGGACAGACCTGGCTCCCTATGGTCTTCCTTCCTTCCTTCACCTCCTTCCCCCTACTTTCCTTACCTCCCTACTAAAAAGTAGTTCTTTTAATGAACTGCTACTGTATGTTAGGCAATTTACATTCTTGCATATTCTATACAAGTAATGTCTCTTTCTCAGTCACGTTACAACTGAGGCTAGATTCAACAGACTATCCTGATATCAACGTTGAAAGACTCCTGGTTCCAAAGAGTTTTATAGCATTGGTGTTAGACAATCCTCTTTTGGTTTTTTTAAAGAAAATTTAAAAAAATTAATTCAGCATAATTTCCATAAGGACTCCCTGGCTGCTGCTGGCCAAATTGGGGAGGAGTCCCTGGCAGCCACAGCCAGGCACTGGTGCCTTATCTTGTTCAGCACACACTGGGTCTCTCTCCCTAGTTCCAGGCCCCTTGCCCTCGCTTCTCTACTCATCTGGGATAGAAATGCACCTCCAGGCCTCTGAAGAGAAACTACCTTTTCCCTCTTTCAGCCAAAAGGGCTCAAGCCAGCACTCGCTTTGTATGTCCTAGAAGATGAGCATGCTTCCCTCTGGCTCTCTATAGCAGTGCTCTAATGGGACAAAGTCACTGTGTGCTCTTGCTTTCTCTCCTGGTCTTTGTGCGTGATAGTCCCTCTCTCTAGAACCCTCTTCCTCCTCCTCATTCCTCTGAGCTAATGTATTCGTTCTTCTGTTCAGCCTTGACATCACTCCCTCAGTAAATTTCTGACCATTCCCAAGCCTGGATTAGCTGTGTCTTCTGCATGCACCCTGTAATCTGGAATGATCATTGGTGGCACTGATTACACTGCTTTATCATTGCTTGCTGTTTGTACCACCTGCTCAAAAAAGAAAAACATATAAAGGTTAAGGATACAGGCTCTGGAACCTTTGATGTGATTAAGTAATTTGCTCAAGATTGTACCAATAATAGAGAGTGGGGCTGTGAGGACTAAATGAGTTAAGACATGAAAAACCCTGAGTATACAGTAAATGCTAAATACTGGCTTAAGGCTGCATGTCATCGAAGACAGATCATGTCTTGTTCACTGTGGTGTCCCTGTCACCTAGCTTGGTACCTGGCACACAGTAGGCATTCAGTCCTTATTGACCGAGTCCATAAATGACTGTCAGCTTTTAATCCCTTGCAGATCACCTTGTCTTTTGCTTCCTGTTTTTACAATCAATAGTCTTTAGAAGCAAAGATCATTTAAAGAAAAACCAAATATGTAGGGGTTATCTGCCTTGCCTAAGAAATGGTGCTGTGTGGAATTTCCTTGTTTAAGAAGAGATACGTGTTAGAAGAATTGGCTTCTGATTCTCTTTGCTGTGTCTTGCTGTGTAATTCAAGTTGGCTGCACAGCAATTTAATGAATTAGAACAAGAACCAAAAGATTATTGAAAGTGGCTGATGGCCATAATCTAGATAATTCCTACTGTGTCCCCATCCATCTGCCACTTTAAAATGAAAATAGCAAGGCAAAAGAAAGATAATTGGAAGGCATTATGGTGTCTTGCACCCTCATTCAGCCATTCTACAAATATCTATTAGGTACCTTCCATCTGTCAGGCACTGGGAATATGGGAAAGAATAAAAGTCAAATTCCTGTCCCCATGGAGTTGTTCGTTGTTTTCATGGGAAAAGGCAGTGGTAAACAATGACTGTACCATCTCGCTGGCACCCCTAGAACAGAACATCTAAGCACCTGTTGCTGGAGGCCATTTCTGGGCCGGTGCACCTTTGATCCACCTCCCTGGCACTCAACTGACAGACAACAGGATTTCTCGTGGCGTCCAGGGCTGCATGTCCTCTTGGGTTACCTCGACCTGATCAGCTGGCTCCACTGTGTGTTTCCAGTGTGAGGTGTGAGGTCACCATCCGCTGCCATTACACAAAGACCCATTTCCCCTGGGCCATTGCTCAAGTATGACAGAGCTGATTGTCCTGTATGGAAACTCAGCCACTCACAGCTCTGCCCAGTGAGACAGGCAATGACTATCTGATCATGGTTGCTGACACAGTGCTTGTGGTGGGGAGTGTCCCTATCTGGAGGCAAACAGCCGAGTGGCTGCTGTGCCCTCAACAAGCCCCACCCTGCTTCACGGTGAGGAAACAGCCCCCACCCAACCAGTCCTCTCCCCAGCCTCCAGTTGAGTCAGGTGCCCCCCTCCAAGTGTTTATGTAATTTGTGCTGATCTTACCAGGGTCAAAGCACTTACCACATTACTTTGTCTAACTATTATTCTTTCATGACACAAAACATATTTATTGTTGAAAATGTTTAAATGTAGTAGGTAACATCTATTATCCCACTACCTGGAAATAATAGCTGTTGACAGATTGGCATAACTCCAAGAAATTTTTTTAAATCTGGAAAACATCGCTTTTAAAACTCATTATTATTCAGTGATCTGTGTCAATAAATGGCATTGAAACAGCTAGATAGACACTTTCCTCCTTCAGCCACAATCATTTCCAGACAGGTCAAAGATTTAAATGGAGAAAGGCTTTCAAAGCATGTCCCCAAACCTAGAAACCATGCAGGAAAAGGCAAATGAATTTGCCCGTGCAAAAACTGTAGAGCTTTCATACATTGGCGTCCATTTGGCAGGATTCAGTAAGGGCAGAAGCTGTACATAGCTGCGGTTCTAGGTAATTCTAGAACTTTCTAGAAGCTTTCTCGTATGTCAACAAGGAACAGAGTACAGACTTTTCACTCAACATCATTTGTAATAGCAGGAAAAAATGGGAACAAACCTCAAACACCATCAATAGGGGAATAGGAAATAAACTGCAGTATGTATTCATGCAATGAAATATTAAATGGCAGTGAAGACAAATGAACTAGAATGATTCCCCCACCACCACCCCAGACCCCTGATTTTGCCTCTGTCCCAGGAACAATAGGCAATGTCTGGAGACCTTTTTAGTTGTCACACTTGGAGGTGAGGGTGGTGAGCATCTAGTGGGTAGAGGCCAGGGATGCTGCTGAACATTTTGCGACGCACAGGACGGCCCCCACAACGAGGAATTACCCAGCAGAAACATGTCAGCAGTGCCGAGGCTGAGAAACAGAGACGACTCAACATCTTGGCAGATCTCACCAACAACCTTAAGTGAAAAAGGAGGCTGCAAAACGATCTATCTGGCATCGTTTACAGATGCATACGTATATAGTAAAACTAAAAGCAGACGAGAATAATAAACACCAACTTGTAGAGGGGTCACCTCTAGGGAGGGAGAGAGGGCATGGAATCAGAGAGGGGCATGAAAGGGCTTCAGCTGCCAAGAGCCAGACAGCTTAGGTTCTAATCCCGGTTCCACCACTGACACTGTGTAACCTCCGCAGGTTGCTTGATCAATCGGGGCCTCAGTTATCACAACTGTAAAATGGGATGATATTGATAATAGTGCCTTCTTCACAGGATTGTGGTGAGGGTTAAATACGTTAACCAATGTAGAGCACTTAGAACAGTGTGTGGCTCATAGTAAGAACTATATGTTTTTGTCACCGTTTTCATCATGATGATGAGTATCTATGATGTTCTATTTTTAAAATATCAGAAGTGAATATGGCATGTGTGTGAAACATCTCAGCGTTCTGCCTTGACAAGGACCTTCACTCCTCCTCCCACCCCCACCAGCCAAGTGAATTTCACCCTCAGCACTTAGTCTATATTTGTTAAGGCTGGCCATCCGGAACATACTCTCCAAATCTGAGACAATTCATCCAAGCAGTGTGTTTCCTTTTCCTCTTCCCCCACCACCACCGCCACCCCCCACCATGATGCTGGAAACTTTTCTTTATTGATACAGATGATGAGCAATGCGGTGATAAGTGTGTATCCCCCGGC